>NC_000003.12:134614664-134917695 GCF_000001405.40 Homo sapiens
TATTATTTAAAAAGATCTGTGTGTTCCAGTTTGGTGCACTGTATCCTAGTGTATTAATTTGGTATTATTTTATACTGAGATGGTCCAGGCCCTGCCATAGGAACTGTATGATGCTCCTACAGTCAGTACCAAGGCCAGGCCCCAACAGCTGTGTGGCTGAAATATCTGGGTGGACAGGTGCACCCTACACCAATGGGCTCTGACCGCAGTAGACTTTCCCAAATCTGATCACCTCTCCTAGGATGTGTGAGCCAAGTGAGGGAAAAAGGGAGGGAGTGTGCCTGTAGGAGAGACTATGAAGTATGCTTTTCTTTTGGTATTTTGTTGAAAATACTGTGGTTTCTATACTGCAGCAGGACAAACAAACCATGACTTATCTTTCACAATTTATGTACTTGATTTCTTATAATCTGACAGTGTGTTTATATTTCTCCCATGTGCTCTCTTTTCCCTTTTCTTACACACTACCCTTACAGCTACGTCAATAACTAGTAATCTTGATAATAATTCTCTCTCCAGGGCCCCATGCAGAACCTCATGAGACGTGACTTCAGAGGCCTCCTCTCTGAAGGTGAGGGAGGCGTCAGCTGTTCAGAGAGAGAGGCTGCCTTGCCTGGGGACACACAGCTAGCCAGTGGCCGGAGCAGCAGTGGATGCAGTTGTCCTGATGCATAGTTCAAGAAGCTTTTTTTTTTTTTTTTTTTTTCACGTGTGAAAACATCTATTGGGAAAATGGAAAAATCATTTGACCTCATATTCCTCATAGCTGACATGGTAAGTTAATTTTTTTTCTTTTTTCTTTTTATTTTATTTTATTTTTGTTATTATTATACTTTAAGTTTTAGGATACATGTGCACAATGTTGCACCAGCTCTTTTGTAAATCAAGATTTTGTTTTGATCTATACACTTGTAGGTGGTATAGAGAGTGAAATGGAAAGGTGGTTTGCACCAGTGACATAACTCATCTTTGTGAGTGCCATCCTTTGGTGTAGCTATAAGGGTGGGGGAGCTAAGATGTCCCTTTCAGAGGCCTTATACACCAGCATCAGATTTGGTGATAATTTAAGGTTATCCAATGAATCTGCATCTCCCAGAAGGCTTAGATGGCCACTGCCTATCTTTTGGGGCCTTTGGAACCAAGTGATGTTTTAGGATTATAGGGGACATACTGCTAACCAGAAGCAGCCATCTGACTGCACACACTCCTGCCCCTGCTCTCAGTGACAGCTGGAGGATGAGTGGAAAGCCAGCTGACATCTGATTGGTGACAACCAACTCCCTCAGTGTCAGGGCTCAAACTCGTAATAAGTGCCTGGCTTTATCCAACGTCTCTGAAACCTGCTAGCTGGTGATGCTAAAGCCATGCTAACGGGAAGAGAATTTACTGGAGGCCGACTCAAGAGCAGCAGTCTGGGGAATTAAGCTTGGCTCCTGCGAGGAAATTAGGCAGAATCAACTAAGGATGCAGGCAACTGAGGCAAAAAGAGAGACATTAATGTTGGATGATAGAAAGTCAGAAGGAAACTGGACCAGCAGTTACAAGCTATAGCATTAACCAAAAAACCCCACATCAGTGACTTGGGACAGACAGAAGGAACTGAATGATGTTGTGAAAATATCTGAATTCCTCCCCAAATTACTTTATTAAATCAGTCTTTAATGAGACAATTTCAGGGAGGTGGAATGGACTGGCAAAAAGTAATGATGTCCACCCTGACAACCAAGAAGGGATAAATCAGCAAGTGCGGATTATATGTCCTCAGTTATTAAGGAATTAGCTAATTAATTTACCAAACTTTTGGCAGTTATTTTAAAGGTAAAGAGAGTTAGTAGAGGGATGCATAGATAGGTTACTGATCTTTAAAGAAACAGTTAAAGGAATTCAGGGGACCGTGAGCTATTGCTACACATCTCAGGCAGTGTGAGGAATTTTGCACATGGTAATCACCATGTTGGAACTAATTTTAAATGATGCAAAATGTTAGGGAGAGTTTTAATGATAAGCTGCAGGCCAGAATAGGGCCATTGTTAAGTATCTGGACCAGGGCAAAAAGCTGACAGTTTCACTCAAGGCAAGTGTCAATTTTCTGAATCTATGTAGGCTGGCAGAGTCTGTAGGAAAACTCCACAGAGCAAAAGGACTCCAATCAATACTCAAGAAAGACAAGATAGGTCAAAAAACACCCACCCCAAAATCGGGTTGGTAACCCCCAAACTGCAGTCTCATTGAGTCCTATAGCCCTGCCAGGTAGGCAATCTAGTCTCCAATATATAGATGAGAGCACTGAGGCTGCAAGAGGTTAAGGGCCTTACCACAAAGAACAAAACTAATAGGTGGTAAATTAAAAACTGGGAGCCAGGTCTTTCTGGCTTTAACTTTGGCACTCCTTCTAAAGGATGCTAGGATGCTTATACTGGATCAAGGAGGCGATACCACTCTAAGTGGTAGACCCAGGTCTTTCTAGCTTCAAATCTGGCATTCCTTCTACAGTATGCTAGAAAGCTTATACTGGATAAAGAGGAATATATCCTGGAACTTGGAAAAAATGCTAAGCATTTTTCAAATTTGTAAAATCAGAGGAAAATAATCATGTTCTGAAAGATGCTAGGCACAAATGGAGCTAAGAGACTTGTGGCTATTTCATCAGTTAAAAGAGAATTCCACATTCCATTCCACATAAGTCTGCTAGGAATATCCTGTCATTTCTATATATGTCTATTGAGGGCCTACTGGGTGTAGGATTCTGAGATGGGTATTCGCAGGGGAGGTAGAAGGAGAGAGGAGATAAAGGCAAATATAGACGTATACAATCGATAGGATGTATGACAACAACCGAGCACAGGTAATTCCTGTATGCACAGAACACAGTCTGGAAAGTAATATGACCAAATGTTACCAGTGTTAGCTGTAAGTGGTGAGATTCAGAGTAATAATTTCTTTTTTGCTTTAGTGCATTTTATAAACCATCTACAATGAATGGTATTTTTTAAATTTAAAAATGTTATTAATTGAAAGCATAAGGCAACACATGAGTTTGGTGTGCAACTGGGCTGGGGGTACAAAGGAAGGGGAAGGTTGTGGGCTGTCCTGGAGCGGGGCCTGGAAGGAGCTCTGGGGAGAGGGAGCAGGTGTGCATGCAGAGGTGGTCAGGAAGGTGGTGTCACACAGTGCAGGGCTGGAAACTTGGCTGAGGTCAGATTTTGGAGGACTTTGCTAGATAGTGTGATCCTTTAGTGATGTTAGGAACCCAGGACCAGGGAAGCCTGGACAGAGAGGCCAGTGAGGATCCAGGTTCCTGGAGAGGCCTGCAGGCAGCAGGAGGTATGCTTGGGTCTGGGGTAGGGGGTGGGAAGCAGCCTGGGTGGCATATTCTGTACCCTGACCCACCGTGGCTGCGTCTGGGGCTGTGGTCTCAGGGATTGGCCTTGAAAGTGAGAAAAGGGAAGTACAGGAAGCAGAGCAGGAGGCTTAGAGTAACTCAGCAGCCGGGTAGGTGCCTGTGCTTGGCAGTGGTGATGGGGGCAGGAGGCAGCACAACAGGGGGTTTGGGCCAGGAATAGGTTGCATGCACCCAGTGCTCGGCAGCTGCCGCCTCTGCAACACTGAGGCCATCACAACTGCCTGCCTGTGGACTAAGTGTTACACTTGGTTTGATGAATTGCCACCTGCAGTTCTGGTGGGCTGACATCTGGGTGCCTAAGAAGACTCACTCCCAGAAGCCTAGAAAGACAGTGGGCCGCTGTTCATCCACCCCCTGGGGAGGGGTTCTTTGATGGCCCCAGGGCTAGCTGACTGTTTTCTGGAGGAACCCAGCAGACCTCAGAGGGTAGGCTCAGGAAGCTGTGGGGGTCAGTGGCCATCCCCTCCCCCCACCCCACATCTTGAGCCTGTTTTGAGTCACTGGGAACTGGCAATGGCCTGTTCTCCTGCTCAGGCCAGAGCTGTCACCCACCCCAGCAACCTGGCCATATGCCCACTCCCAGAGTGCTGAAAATGGAGCCCAGCGACTCCAAGAGTAGCCGCTTCGTAGTGATTCAGCTGTCCAACTGACAAATCTTTTCAGGTGGGAGATCTTTTGTTTCCCCCAAAAGAGGCTCCCTGTGTCAGCCCTGAGGACAGCCTTTCACAGTCCCCTTGGCATCTGCAGTCACTGTCCTCCCGCTCCCAGGCCTGCCATTCTTTTAACCTTCAGCTGCATAGAGATGGGAGAAGGCGGAAAAAGGGCTTTTTATAACCAAATTATCTCTGTGCATTCATCTACCATTATGTTAATGCATCGCGAAGCCCGGCAGATGGTACAAAGTCAATTATGCTGGTGTTAAAAAGGGAGAAATTGACCTTTTCAGGACTCACTTGGGTTCCAGAGCAGAGTTTGTAAACTCAGGTTTCAGGCCTGGCATGTGGGCAAAGGCACATGGCACTGTGGAAGAGGGAGAGGGATGGGTCCGGTGGTCAGCATGGGGACTCCTGTCTCTCGTACCTGCACATTCTCTCGAAGAGGCCAGCATAGCCATCACAGTTGGTCTTCTGGGTCCGCAGGATGTCAGTGGGTTTGAAGGCTTGGCGGTCCTTCTCCTGAGCAGCTGCAATGTCATACTCTATAGGGCAGGTGAGGGGATCATGAAGAGCTTGAGCCTGGGAGGCGAGAAGACTCCACCCCAACCCCCAGCTGTGCTCTGGCCATCACCAGCCCCAGGAAACTACAGTGGGCTGAATGGAACTACAGCCCCAGCACAAATGGGATCTGGGAACTATCACCTCTTTGTGCAAGTGGTGAGAGGAAGAGCAGGCCTTGGCAGAGGGGGCCACCTGGCTCCCCAAGCCTCTGAGGAGGGGCTAGGAGGAGAAGGGACCAGGACAGTGCAGAGGCATGGGGCTCTCTCTGCTAATCCCCACCACACAGCTCTGCACACATTTCCAGTGAAATCACTCATCCCGTTTTCCTGCAGCCCGAAGGCCTCATGCTGACCCATGGGGCACACAGAGCTCGTCTCCAAGTGGAGAAGGCTGCTCTCCCACAGCCTGTCACTTCACTAAGGAGGGGATGAAGACATTGCAAAGAAGCCTGAGGCCTGTGGTGAGGCCCTAAGGCAGAAGTCTCTGTAGCTATTGAGGACCCATTGAGACTGTGTATGTGTGTGTTGGCATGGGGATAGAGCAGTAACGAAGTCCTATAAATGTCCCATTTCTGACCCTGCCCCTTTAAGGCACAGGCACAGCTGGTGGAGTTGGGATGGGAGCTGAGCTGGGGGTCTCTCAAGTCCTCAGTTTGGACCTCCTACCTGTGCCAGGCGAGCTCATTCTCTAAGCTGCATTCCAAACTGTTGTTCCAGAAGAATAAAAGAAAAGCCCAGTGGCAGCAGGTCGAGAAAGACCCGGCTGGTCTTTATGTCAAAGGACTAGGAGTCCACCTCGTGATCTGGCCCTGCCCACTCTCATTTGTGTTTGCAAGGCGGCAAGGGGCAGCATCCCTTAGCCACCACCTCTGCAGCTCTGCTTGACCCGGGAGCTTCCCAAGGCCATCCTGTGGAGAGCTGTGGGCAGCTGCATAGGCCCAGGTCCCTCAGGTGGCTCCAAGAACCTTGGAGACTGCGCTGGGACCAGTGGCCAATGTTGCTAGTGTGGGAGCAGGAAGTGGAGAACCCGCTTTTCCTGGCCCTGGTATTTAATGAACCCTCTGGTATTGCAATCACTTTTCAAACAGCTGCAACTTCTCCCCACCAATGGTAATCCTTCTTGGAGATGACCTGTTGCTCTGGGCTCTCATCTCTGTGGAGATAAGACAGAGGGAAGGCTGGGACAGAGGGAAGGCTGCTGCTGGATGAAGTTTCCAGCTCTGGGCACTGGTTATGGGCAGAAGGCTGCAAGGGATTCTCCTCCAACTAACTTTCATGGAGACTCATAGCACATGGTGAATTTTATCCTCCTTGGTTACTCTCTGGTTCATCAGTCCAGTCTTCTGGGTCCCTGTCCCCCACCTTTCATGTCACTCTGCACACGTGAATAAGCTGATAGGAGCAGAGGCCTGCAGGGAATGGAAGCAAGGGATTCTAGAGCCAGAAATTCCACAGGGGGGCCTACCTATGTGATGGCAGATCCAGATCCAGATGGCGCGGACCCTTTCCAGGTCAGTGTGGGCCTCCTGGAGCAGGTCACTCACCAGTTCGTCTAGGCCACTCTTGGCTGTCACCTGGGGAGCAGGAAGGGTGTGCTGTATTAGGGCCTCGAGGAGGGGCTGTTGGGGGCCCAGCATCTTGCACCTACAGCCAGTGCTGCTCTTCCTCCAGGCAGAGAAGCTGGAGGAGAGGTCCTGAGGGGCAAAGGCTGGCTGAGGACAAATTGGGAGGAGGTGGGGGAAGTTGGACAGGGCAGGTGGTGCTGACCAGCTCAATCACAGGCCCTAGAGCCACCACAGCTTTTCTCTGCAGATCTGGGGGCTAGCCAGGCAGGCATCTGGACAGCTGTAGCAGCCCCTGGTCGTGGTCAATACTAAGGATTTAACATAATCCTTATCAAAATTCCAATAGCTTTTTGTGCTGAAATGGAAAAGTCAGTTCTCAAATTCCTATAAATTCCAAGGGGCTCCAAGCAGCCAAAACAATTTTGAAAAAAGAACACATTTGAAGGACACAAGTTCCCCATTTTCAAAACTTACTGTAGAACTACAGTAATCAAAACAGTTTGATACTGCCATGAAGATTATATAGACAAATGGAATACAACTGAGAGTCCAGAAATGGACCCACATATCTACGGTTAGTGGATCTTTGACAAGGGTGTCAAGTCCATTCAGTGGGGAAAGAATAGTCTCTTTTACAAATGGTGCTGGGACAATTGAGTTTCCACATGCAAAAGAATAAACTTGGATCTCTACCTCATGCCATATACAAAAACAACTCAAAATGGATCAGTGACTCAAATATAAGAGCTTAAACCATAAAACTCTCAGAAGAAAACACTGGGGTTAATCTTCATGACCTTGGATTTGGCAATGAATTCTTAGATATGGCACCAAAAGCACAAGCAACAAAGGAAAAAACAGATAAAAGGGCATTCGTGAAAATAAAAAATTTCTGTGCATTAAAGGATATCATTTAGAAGGCAGAAAGAAAACTTACAAAATGAGAGAAAACATTGCAAATCATATATCCAATAAGGGTTAAATATCCAGAATATAAAAAGAACTCCTACAACTCCACAAAAACAAAACCAACCCAATTCAAAAAGGGGCAAAGGACTTGAACAGATATTTCTCTAAAGAAGATATACAAATGGCCAATAAGCACATAAAAAAAAGCTCAACATCCTTAGTCATGAGAGAAATGTAAATCAAAACCACAATGAGATAGCACTTCAGACTACTAAAATGGCTATTGAAAAATGAAACCAGAAAATAATGTGTTGGCAAGAATATGGAGGAATTGGAACTCTTGTACGATGCTAGTGGGAATGTAAAATTGTGCAGCTGCTGTAGACAAATTTTGACAGTTTCTCAGAAAGTTAAATGTAGAATTATCATATGATCTAGCAATTTCAGTCCAAGGTACGCAACCAAAAAAACCGAAGGCAGAGACTCAAACAGACATTTGTTTCCCCAATGTTCATTGCAGCACTATCCACAATAGCCAAAAGGTTAAAAAACATCCATCCATGAATGAAAGGATAAATAAAATAGAGTATATACCATATATACATGGGAATATTATTCAACTACAAAAAGAAGGAATTAAGTTCTGTATATGCTACGACATGGATGAACCTTGAAAACATGATGCTAAGTGACATAAGCCAGACACAAAAGGACAAATACTGTATGATTCCACTTATATGAAATATCTAGAATAGGAAAGTTCATAGACAGTAAGTAGAGATTACCAGGGGCTGGGGGAGGAGAAATGGGAATTTCATTGCTTAATGGGTAGAGTTTCTGTTTTGGGTGATGAGAATACAACATTGTGAATATAATTAATGCTAGTGAATTGTACACTTAAAAATTATTAAAATGGCAAATTTTATGTTATTTTATGATAAAAAAAGAACAAATTAGCTTTCTTCGTAGGGGCCCTCAGGGAAACAGGGCTGAGGTTGCTGGAAAGATGGCTCTGACCATGTTTAATCTCTGTAGAGAAGCTGGGCCACTAGGTCCTGCAATGGTGCCCACATTCCCCTCAGCTCCCAGCTTGAGGGTACTCCAGGACCTTGTTTTTAGCTGGAAACATCTCACTGCTCACAAGAGATTCCAGGACTCACCTGCTGACCACTGGCCCAGCACACTGGCACTCTGACCTCTGGAGACCTCTGGACCCCTGTTCTACTCTCTCAGCTGCTTTCTGTTTCATTTTCTTCTACGTCCAGCTCCAACACCGCAGACTTTGTCCTTGTCCCTCTCCCAGGGCCCCGAATGGTACTCAGCATTGCAGGCCTGCACTGCAGCCTGGAGTCCTGACTTAGCCTTCTACTTCAGTGCCATGGCTTCTGGTCCTTTGGTCCCCACCTCCTGGCCCCACCTGGGCCTGGCTTGCTCTGGCCACTCCCTGCTCTGTGGCTGGGTCTCTGGCCTCCGCTGGCTTCCTGGCACTGTTCTCTGAGTATGGCCAGCAGCCTGACCCATCCCTTCCGATGGCCATTACAAAAATCTGGGCCCTTTGCAGACTCCAGACCCCACCCACTTTCCTCATTCACAGGTAATGGCCTGGCCTCCACTTCACGGCAGGCCAGGTGGGACTTCCTCACTAAGAGTCTCATCCTCCCCTCCTGCTTCAGCCTTCTCTATGTCTCAGGTCTTCTGCCTTTACAGGGACTTCCCTTCTTCAATCAATGGCCTCCTTCTCGTATGTCCTCACCTCCTCCCTTCCTTTCCTGGCTGCTCCATGCCCCCTTGTTCCCCCACCTTAGGATGCCCCCCTACTCTCCTCAGTTCTGCTCATGTCTAGCCTCCCCGTCTCTGCAGGCTCCTGTGGGATCTTCTCCTCACTCCCCACTACTCACCTCCTGCTTGCTCTTCCACCCACCTGAGGACTGAGGCCTCCAGCCCCTGTGCACTGCCCCTCTGGAGGTAAGGTGCACTTTGATGCTGCAGTAGCCGACATGGCGTCTGTCCTGATCTCACTTGAGCAGATAGCACAGCTCACGCTGTTGACCACGTCTGCCCCAGGGAGCCCCTCCCTGGACCTTCCAGAACTCTGACCCTTCCTGGCCTTGCCCCAGCCCCTTTGATGGCTCCAGGCCCTATGGGCTTCCTCCACCCCTGCAATATGATGCCCGTCCTATGGCTTCAGCTCTTAACGAAATCTGATGACTACCAATCAGTGTCTCCAGCCCAGACCTTTCCAAGCTTGTATATTTGGCTGCCCAGGGGGCATTTCCCCTGGATGTGCCACAGACACTAGAGCCCCTCATATCCCAAACACACTCATCCCCTAAAACTTGCTCCTTCTCCCTTGCTCCTCGTGAGGAGGTACTGATGCACCCTCCAGGAGTCAATCCAGCTATCTGGGAGCCCCTCTCCCCCACCTCCCACCCACTCCACACCCACTGGTGTTAGAGTTCTTCCCCTCTGCCCCTAGCTCAGGATTGGCCTTTCCACTCCTCTGTTTCCTCAATGTCTCCACTTAATCCAGGTCATGTCTTCTGCCAGGACAGAAGGATGTCCTCAACTTATGTCTTTGCTTCTCATCTGGCTTTCTTGATCCATGCACTCACCATCCACTCATTATTTCAACAAACAAGGTTCCTGAGTACCTATAAGGTGGCCTTTTTAAGACCACTTAATGTCCTGACTTCACAAAAGTGTTCAACACCTTGTTCCTCCTATCAGACTCTCTGTGCTGAAGCTCCTGCCTGGCTCCAATGACTTCCATATGTCCCTAGTGTTTCAGCTCTTCATCTGCTCCTCCCACCTGCACCTGAGACATGCTCAGGGCCAGAGGCATGAGAGCATGGCAGCTCATGCACTTCAGAGGTGAGCACAGCTGTGATTATAATGGTCCTGGCCATCTGCATCCACGGTCCTCCCATCCTCTCCTCCCTTCTTCCATGGACTGGAGGCAGGCATAGCTTAGGAGCAGAAATGCCAAAAGGGGCATGGAGAAGGCAGGTCAGGGCTGGCCAGAGGGGCTTGCCAATGAAGAGCTCCAGGGTGTGTTGTATGGGGTGGGAGCAACAGGATCGTGGGTGGGCTGGGGGATGGAATGGCCTCTGGCTCTGGGCAGGGGCTGCTGCCTAGTGCCTTCTGTCCCCACCCATATGCTATGAAAAGGCATTCCAGGGCCATCCAACCAAGCCACTCAGGATATGTTCAGGAGGTGTCTGGGGAGAGGTTTTGCTGCCCTAGAACTCTAAGCCACCTTGAAGGGGCCCATGGTCAGAGCGGCCAGCTGTCCTACCTGTGAGGCGTAGATATCCAATTTCTCAAACTGCTGCAGGTCCAGGGACATGGATTTCAGGCTAGATCGATCCCAGGGGTAGGCTGGAAACACAGGGCACCTTGGTCAGCAGCTGAGACCCACTGAAGAGGGCTGCCTGGCCTAGGCCTTGCTGTCTCTTTGAGGAGCTGTGACTGTCCAACCTTTAACACAATTCTCAAAGCCTGAAACATTGAGCCTAAGAGCTATATGGGAACTTTCCTAGAAGGGTCCCCTGATCAAGTTAGTTTGGGAACCATGGCAACTCCCATAGTCCTCTTAGAGGCCTACAGGGAACATACGCCTATTGTAGACTCTGAGAAGTCAGAAGTAGGAAACGGGCTTAACCTTAGTTAACCCAGTAGTTCCCAGACATATTGATGATGGAATCTTCTTTTTCCCACCATTTGGTTTTCCGTGGATTCCCTGTTATTTTTCCCAGGAATGAATGCTCTTTGGGGAGTGTCCAGGCAGTGCTGCTCGTGCTCACAAGCTCAAGGAGGGAGGTCTGTGCCACAGCCACGGCCCTGGGGTGGAGGTGCCAAAGGACACCTCAGTGGAGGAGGAGGGCATGGAAAGGCCGGGCCATCTGGGTCCTGCAGGGCGAGGTGCGTTTGGCACCCAGACAGGCTTCCTCCTTTGCCCTTGGTCAACTGGAGACCTGAGCATCTCAACCATGTGTGATGGCGTTCTGGTAACAGGGCCCTGAGAAAGGCTGGGCCTCCAAATCACTCATCTATGCTTAGCCTTACTCACAGGGAGCCTGCTGACCAGAGACCAAACCACGAGTCAGGTCTCTGAGACAGAGATACAGGAAGGAGAGAAAACTAGAGACCAGTGCTGATGCAGGGCCAGCAATCATGCAAGCTTCCCACTGGACATAGGAGAGCCATAATCAGCTATTGCTGGGAGGCTGCTGCAAGGCTGCCTGGCCAATGGTTAGACCAACAGGTGCATGGACAGCAGACCCCTGTCCCGGCCCAGAAGAGAGCCTTGGCTCTGGCAGAGCCTTTCTTAACCAAGGGTCCCTGAGTCAGGCAGATCAAAATCAGGAAAGCTGGGTGGGAAGACAGGATGGGGGTGGGAAGAAGTTGGGACCAAAGAGGAACTGAGCCCCTGATCCAGGTGGACCCACCCACCTTCAGCCTCCATGTCGGGAGCCTCTGGGTGCTGGGCAAGTGAGGTGTGCTGGAGAGACCCCAGGGTATGGTAGGGAAGTCTGGGAAGAGTAGGGCTATGTGAGAAAGCACCTGATGGACCTGCACTTCTACCTTGGTTCCAGTCTGGTTCTGACTTCCACCTTGCTGGGAGGGACTGGACCCAGCCCTCTGGCCTCAGGCACACATCTGTGGGATTCCTGGGAGCATATCATGTTGTGATGTTAGCGTCACACTGCTCTCTGGGAGGGTGCAGGCTGTGGGGCTCCTCTGCAGGTACATGCAGGGAGGGACATGTGGCCTCCCTGCCTGGTGGGGGACACTGCAGGTGCATTTGCCCACACGTCGTCAGGGCTGCCACTGTCAGTGAGAGTCCCTTAATCTGGTGCTATTAGACCTGAGAGATGTGGGGAGAAGGTGGGGAGGGGTGTGTGTCACCTCTAGACCTGGCTCCAGCCCCTTCATGACCCTCTTCTGGGCCAGCATGGTTTGAGAGGCAATGCCCACTTATTGGGGAGCTGACCAATATTTGGGCCCAGGGGTTTCTTGCCTGGCCACCATGACTTATGTCATCAACCGCTGTGCTGTGTGGTCCAAATGCAACCAGAGAAGACTGGGGATACTCAGGCAGGCCCCTGCTGAGCCTTGCCTCTTTTCAGTGCCCTCTTGCTCTGCAGAATCTGTTCCTATCATTCTCTCACAAGAGCCATCAGGGCGATCTAAGTGCATTCAAAGTGGACTCACACATCGAACAGATTTCCACTCAGTATAGCTCTGCAAATGAGGTCTCCCTGCACTCCTATTTAGAATAAAGGTGGCATTTCTGAAATGGTATTGAAAATCCTATTACTAGTTTTCCCCTTTCTTGGTTCCATTTTCCAACATCTGAACATTAAAAATGCCCATGATTTATGCCTCATTAAATCTACCTGTGAGGAGATTATATAAGATCTAAGTATGATTCTACATAAATACATTTAAAACATCAGTATCATTAACTAAATTATTCTGATTTTAAAGCAAAACAATAGGAAGAAGTATGGAGCTGCACCCCGCCTTAGATGACATCTGGTCTACTGAGGGGGAAACTGAGGCACAGGGAAGGCAAATGAAGGGCAAAAGCAGGATTCCAACCCAGGCTGTCTATCATCCCTCTCAGTGTTTCTTCCTCTGCTTCACTCTGCTTATTCACATGCCTCCTACCTTACAGACATTTGGCATTCCATTTAAAGTTAACATAATCCTGAATTACGATTTTAATATGTTTCCTATAATGGTCTGCCTTGTTATTGGTGGGGTTTATACTTTAGCTTTAGGATGACATCTGGTGCATGAGCTTTTTCCTTCTCCACCTGTGTCCATGGCAGACATTGCTAATCAATCATGACACTCTTCCCCTCCTGAACCCAAAGGTGGCCCCAGCCTCTCAGCATAGTGGCCCAGGAAGCAACTGTCAATTGGAGATTAGTCTATGAGGCTAAACCCATGTGCTCTCTTGAGAATTGTCCTGGAAGACTCTGGAACTTACCATGGGCATCTTTCCCTCCAGGTTGCCGGGGTCTTGTGTTTCCATTTTTATCACCTTGTAAACCTACAATATTCCAAAGATCAGAAGTATAGATACTTCAGAAGAAACAGAAATGCAAGCACTGATGACTCACCTTCTGGTGGTCCTTGCTTTTGACCCCTCCTCTTTACTCTCCTTTTCACAGTCTCCTTGTTCCCACCCCACTGACCACTGAATTGCTGCTTGAATTGCCAGGAACTTCCTGGTGTGGCAGAAGGAAGACTAAGAACCAGGAAGTGGCTGACAAGAAAGGGAGCTGCATTCTGCAACTGGAGTTAGTATTTGCTCTGACCTAACACTTTGGGTGATTCATTGGGTCCTCCTGGAACCTGGTGTTCCTGCCCTCTTTTGGAGTTTCCTGCTTTCTTGAATCCACTGCCAGATAATGCCGGGATAAGAACTGACCATGGATGGAAACAAAGATGCAGGAAGGGGAAAGCAGTTCGTGTGAAGGTCAAAACCTAGAAAGGTCAGGTCATAATTAAATTATTCCTTGGGAGGATTAAAGGCCAACTGAATCCCATAAATCTAAGACCGTAAAGGCAGAATTGTAGCCAATAGTTATTAGACTCCCTGGGCAAAAGGAAAGGAACTTTCCCTGCCGATCTGGAACCAGGTCAGGAAGATTTGGGTCCCTGATGGGATCAGGGGAGTTGAAGGTGGGGATGCCAAGGCAGGTAGTTTTATGCCCCTGAAGGCCACTTTAGGCTATAAATATAACAAAGAAGATTGCAACCACACATGGGTTATTCTGAGAAACAGTGCTCCATTTATTTCTCACACCTGCATTTTGTATTTCACACCTACATTTTTTTCCCACCTACCTTTTTGATAGAATGATAAAGGTTCGAAATGATAGCTAGCATTTGTTACACACTTACTATGCCTGGCTTGGGCTTTATATTTACTCTCTCATTTAATCTCATAATAATCTTATGAGGCAGATTCGCTTATTTTCCTTCTTTTATAGTTGACAAAACTGAGTTCAAAAGAGGGGTTAGGCCACTTGCCCAAGGTCACACAGCTGAAACATGAACCCAGTCAGTCGACCCTAGAGCCTGCCCTCTTTACAGTAGACTACTTTCTTGAGATCCTGACTGCTGATGACTACAGGACCAGACAGTTTTGGAGGACTTTGGCTCACTGCATGGACCTAAAGAGGACTTGAGCCTCAGTTGTTCTGCAGCCTCTGTTACTTAACCTGCATTCTTCCTGAGGTCCCTGTTTAACCATAAGGTGCACAGATGCAGGGAGAGGACCGAGAAGGGAGTTGGGGAGACATCATCGTCCTGGGCCTGGGCCTATGTGCACTGCACTGAGGGCAGCAAAGTATGGTGGTTAAGACCACAGGCTTCAGAGTCATACCTGGGTTCTGACCCACTTCTTAGCTGGGTGACTTGGGTAGTTACTTCACCTCTCTAAGCCTCACTTTGCTGATCTAAAAAGTGGGGATGATATTAGTATACATCAAAAGGTTAAAAAGTTAATAAATGTTAAAGTACTTAGCATTTTGCATGCCACTTTTCTGGCAGTAAACAAATGGTATCTAAAAGCAACAGCAACAACACTCTTGTGATGCAATGTGTCTTCAGCTAAATGTCTGTGTTACCTATGACTAGTTCCAGAGATGCAAAATCAGCGGTAGCTGGGTGTAGAGAAAAGAGTCTCCCAGGATAAAGCTGTCATGCTTCTGCCTTTTCCCAGTTTGCAGGCCCATGTCACTCTTCTCCTTCCCTCAGAAGATGCTTGGGCTGGGATCTGGCCCAACCAGCTGCCTTCAATCCTCTCTGCCAGCCCTCCACCATGAGTACCTGTGTCATACATACGTTTAGCCAAGGAGAACTTCTTGAGCAGCTGGGGCATGGCATCTCGAGGGTGGACTTCCACAGTCAGTTGTGTCCCTACAAAGGAAAAGGAGATGACATTCTCAACCAGATGCTGCCAGGAAAGGGTGAATGCCTCATGACTGATGATTGAATAAAAAAACAATTAGTTTTAGAACTTTCTTTTGTGTGTACAAATCATCCTTGTTTTTTTCTTTAAATCAAAACAACAACAAACCAAGCAGATAGTTTCCAGATTCAGGCAAGATGGAGTAAAGCACACTCAGCCCTGTCTCTCCCACTGAATGCAATTATAAACAATGTACTGAATGTAAGGGGCAACTACTAGAGGATTCTGCAAAGTAAATAATAGAATAACTGGGGAAGAGTGGGAAGAATTTTTAAAGCATTAGCAAATTGGCAGTGAATTTACCATTCTTCTTTCCCCTCTGGTATCATCTAGACTGGACTTAAAGGCATTCCCAAACCCAGAAGGGTACAGTGGATGCAGAAAAAGAGCACACAAGAGAAATCCTCTCTTTCTGGCTTGCAGAGTGAGAAAGGGAACCCCTAAGAGTCAGAGAGAGTGAAAGAAATCTTTTGTTGTTGTTTTTCCCCCACTTTATTCTGTTATTTCTCAACTCAGCCCCCAGGCAATTCTCTTGGTAGCAATGGCAGCAGTGATGTTGGTGGCCATGCAGCCACCTACAACTCTGGAGCAAGCATAACTATTTTCTTCTACCAGAGAAGTTATAATCCCAAGAATATGAGGGCAAATATTTACTGTTTTTTCTCTCTGTTTTCTGCTGATTTGCCCCAGAGGCAGACACAGTTGTGGGGCCTATATGGCAGAGTGAGGAAACTGAAGCTCCAGCTTTTTGGGTAGAGGAATGAGAAATGGGTCATGAAGAGGAGGGAGCTCAAGAAGGCAATTCCATAAAGTTGTAGATGGACTCCTGTGGTCACCTCTGAACTGTGCATGCATAGATCTCATCCTAAACATCATACCACAGTCTTCAGGAAGTAAACTGTGGGGTAGATTAAGGCCCAGGTTCCAGACTGGCCACTGGGTGGTGCACATGCAGGGCAGATCTGTATAGCATTGCAAAGGCTACAGTTCAAAATTACTCAGCTAGGAAGACTCAGGAAAGTCTTAATTTGAAAAGGAAAAGATAACCAACAGATGCCAACTCCACACACAAAAAACCAGCCACAATAACATGCCCTAACAAGTAATAGCAAACAGTTTTGAGATAAATGGAAAGATATAAAGTATCAGCGATAAAAAAGAAGATATAAAGGAGAAGTAAGTGAAGATTTTAGACTGAAAAATATAGTTAAAAATTCTCTGGATATACTCAATAGCAGAATGAAAATGACAGAGAACACAGTCAGAGAACTTGAAGATAGATCAACAGATATCGTCCAGTTTGAACAATAGAAAATGTAAGTAGTGCGTCAGAGATCTGTAGGTCAATACCCAAAAGTCTAACAGTCACATCATTGAAGTCTCAGAAGGCAAAGAGAAATAATATGATGCAGAAAAAATATTTGAGAAAATAATGAAAACTTCTGAAATCTGGCAAAAGACATAAAACCTTACTGATTCAAGAAACTCAGTGAATTCTAAACAGGATAAATGTAAGAAAATCCAAGTCCAGACACATAACCAAACTATTAAAGAAAAAAATATGGAAAGTAGCCAGTGAAAAGCGATGTAAAGCCAAGAGAATTTGGTACCAACAGACTTGCTCCAAAAGAAATGCTAACGGAAGTTCTTCAGACGGAAGAGAAATTATACCAGAGGAAAACTTGGAAGAGGGAGAGAAATGGTAAATATCTAGATAAATATATTAGTCTGCCCTCCTCTCAAGTTCTTGATAATATGAATAATAATTGAAAGAAATAATTATAACATCTGATAGGTTTTTGATATATTAGATGTAAAATATATGACAACTACAACATAGAGTAGGAGAGTGAATCTACCTATATGGAGGTAAGACTTCCTCATTCTACTTGAAATGTTAATATTCATTGTAATAGATTATGAAAAGTTAAGTACATATAATACATACAAAAATAGCTATTATGGAGATATAGTAAAAAAATAGGCAAATTTAAATGTAATTCTGAAAGGCAAGGAAAGCAGGAAAGGGGAAACAGAGGCACAAACAGAAAACAAATAATAAAGTAGAAAACCTAAATACAAATGTATCAGTAATTACATTAAGTGTAAATGGTCTAAACACACTAATTGAAAAATAGAGATTTTCAGAAAGGGTGAATACATAAGATTAAACTATATTCACTTTCCAAGGATCCAACTTTAACTACTATGATATAGGTTGGTTAAGTGAAAAGATAACAGAAAGCTGGAGTTGCTATGTTAATATCAGATCAGAGAAAGGAAAATATCAGGGATAGAGGAATATTAGCAAGAAGACATAACAACCTTCAATAGGCATACGTCAAACAACAAAGTTTTAAAATACATGAAACAAGAACTGATAGGACTAAAAGGAGGAATAGACAAATCTACAATTATAGTTCGAGATTTTAACACTAATCTTTCAGTCATTGAGAGAATTAATTGAAAGAAAATCAGCAAATATATAGAAGAAATGAACTACACAATGAATAAAATTTATTTGATGTTTATAAAAGATTCCATCTAATAACAGCACAACGCACATTCATGTCAAATGCCCATTGAATAATCACCAAGATGGACTATATCCTTGGTCACAAAACAAACCTAAAAAGTTGAAGAGAACTGAAATCATACAAAACTCCTCTTTGACCAAAATGAACTAAACTAGAAGTAAAAAACAGAAAGCAACTGGAAAATGTCCAAGTATTAAAAATTAACATACTTTCAAATCACACATAGATCAAAGAAGAAGTCTCAAGGAAAATTAGAAAATATTTTGAACTCATTGAAAATGAAAATAAAACATATCAAAATGTGTGAGATGAAGCCAAAGCAGTGCTTCAAGGGGAAATTTGTAGCATTAAATTCTTATTACAGAAAAAAGAAAGGTTTCAAATCAACAATCTAAGCTTCCATTTTAAGAAAGTAGAGAAATGAAGACTAAATCCAAGGCAAGCAGAAGGAAGAAAATCATAAAAATAAGAGAATAAATCACTGAAGTTAAAAACAGCAACAGAGAATAATCAATGAAACTAAATGCTGGTTCTTTTTAAAGATCAGTAAAATTGATGAACTTCTAGCTAGAATGACCAAGAAAAAAAAGAGGCAAGACACAAATCAGGGGTAAATACACCAATATCAGGAATGAAATGAGGGCTATCGCTACAGACCCTCATATGTATTAAAATAATAATAAAGGAATGCTACAAAACTTCTGTGCACATAAATTCTACAACTTAGATGAAATGGGCCAATTCCTTAAAAGTCACTAACTACCACAAAACTCATATAGGAAGCAGATAACCTAAGTATTCCCAATACCTATTTGTTAAATTAAACTTGTAGTTTAAAATCTTCCCCCCAAAAGCCAGGCCCAGATAGCTTCAGTGGTAAATTCTAACAAACATTTAAAGTAAATAACATCAATTCTTCATAGGATCTTTCGTAAAACAGAAGAGAAGTGAATGCTTCATAACTCATTTTATGAGGCTAGCATTAATCTGATATCAACACAAAGACAGCAAAAGAAAAGAACACTACAGACCAATACCCCTTATAAATGTAAACACAAAAATCTTCCACAAAATATTACAACATTAAATCCAACAATATAGTAAAAGAAAAATATACTACAACCATGGGTGGTTTATTTTGGGAATGCAAAGCTGGTTAAATATTTGGAAATCAATGAATGTAATTCACCATATTAACAGGCTAAAGAAGACAAACTACTAGGATCACACCTATTGGTGTAGAAAAATGCATTTGACAAAATTTAACATCCGTTCATGATAAAACCTCTCAACAAACTAGGAATAAAAGGGAACTTTCTTAATCTGAAAAAGGAAACCTACAAAAAGCATACAGCTAACAGCATATTTAATGGTGAAACATGGTTATGCTTTCTTCCTAATATTGGGAACAAGTCATAGATATCCACTCTCACTGATCCTAATAATATTGTACTGGAAGTCCCACCCTGTGTAATAAGACAAGAAAGAGAAATAAAAGGCATACAGATTGGCAAGGAAGAAATAAAACTGTCTTTATTCACAGTTGATATGTCTGTCTACATAGGAAATCCCAAGTAATCTACAAGAAAAAGCTCCTAGAACTAATAAGTTAGTTTAGCATGGTCACGGTATACAAGGTTAACATACAAACATCGATTGTATTTCTGTATATTGGCCATAAGCAATTGGAGATGGCATTTAAAAATAACCATTTCCCATAGTTCCAAAATTAAAATGTTAGTTATAAATCTAAAACAAACAAAAATCCCAAACATGTGCAATAATCGCATACTGAAAACTCCAAAATATGATTACACACATTAAAGATGACTTAAATAGATGGGGAGACATACCATGTTTATGGATTGGAAGACTTAAAATTGTCAAGTGGGCAATTCTCTCAAAATTGATCTACAGATTTAATGCAAGTTCAACCAAACATTTTGGGGGAATTGTGCAAATATATAATTATAAAATATAGACATCAAGGCACAGGAACTGGAATAACTAAACTAATTTTGAAAAAAAAAGATGGGAGGACTCCCACTCTTTGATTTTAAGATGCATTAATGAAAAGCTGTAATCACAACAATGTGATGTTGGTAAGAGGATAGATAAACAGATCAATAAACAGAATAATAAAAAATAGACTCACACAAACATAGCAAAATAAATTTTTACAAAAGTGCAAAGACAATTCAGTTGGAAAAAGGGCAAAAGAATAGATATTTTACTATAAAAGAGATTTTGGATGGAAAATAAGCACATGAAAAGATGTTCAGCATCATCAGCCATTAGGAAAAGGCAAGTTAAAACCAAAATGAGACATCACATCTATTAGAAGAGCAACAATATGCAACTGGCCCTTGAACAACATGGGTTTGAACTGCACGAGTCCACTCATATGGTCCTTTTTTTCTACCAAATGCAGATGGAGAGTACTGTTCATGGAATGCAAAACTCGCATAGAGAGGGCCAACTTTTCCTACATGGGGTTTCTGCAGGGACGACTGTGGGACTTGAGTATGCCCACATTTGGTTATATGTGGGTGGTCCTGGAACCAATCCCCCATGTATACTGAGGGGTGACTGTAATTTAAAAATAGTGATAATATCATATGCTGACAAGGATGCAGAGAAATTGGATCTCATATATTGCTAGTGGGATTGTAAAATAGAACAGTCACTCTGGAAAATAGTTTGGCAGTTTCTTATAAAACAAAACATGTACTTACCATACAACCTAAAAATTGCCCTGTTGGGCATTTATCCCAGAGAAATGAAAACTTATGTTCACACAAAAACCTGTACACAAATGTTTGTATAGCAGCTCTATTCATAATCACCCTGAACTGGAAACAACTTAAACGTCCTTCAATGAGTGAATGGATAAACAACCTGTGGTACATCCATATCAAGAAATAGTTCTCAGCTGGGCATGATGGCTCATGCCTGTAATCCCAGCACTTTGGGAGGCCGAGGTGGGTGGATCACTTGAGGTCAGGAGTTTGAGACAAGCCTGGCCAATATGGTGAAACCCCATCTCTACTAAAAATACAAAGATTAGCTGGGCATGGTGGCAGGCACCTGTAACCCCAGCTACTCGGGAGGCTGAGGCAGGAGAATCGCTTGGACCTGGGAGGCGGAGGTTGCAGTGAGCCGAGATCGTGCCACTGCAGTCCAGCCTGGACAACAGAGCGAGACTCTGTAAAAAAAAAAAAAAAAAAAAAGTACTTCTCAACAATACAAAGGAACTCTTAAGAGTGATGGGAGGATTAGAGTCCACACAAGATAATTTTAAAGAGGGAAATAGAACTGCTGTATATTCCGATGGTGGTGTATTCTGGATATTCTGATGATGGTAACCACCATAGTGGTGGTTTCACAAATCTATGCATGTGTTAGCAATCAGAACTACACACTACAAACATTCGATTTTACTGTATGTTAATTTAAAATAAAAATAAAAGCAAAAATACCAACCACACACAAAAAAACCCAAGCAGAATTAAAACAAAAACTTGGATGATACAGAACGATATAAAGCAGAAAGTGAAACTCCTTTAAGACTTCATTTCCACATTTAAAAATCCAAAGCCGATTATAGTAAACATATTTTTCATAACCTGCTTTCTTCATTTAAATCTTTACATGTCAGTGAGCATAGCCATATGTTATCATTTCAAATGGCTACATAGTATTCTATTTTGTAGATGGTTTATAATCCATATAAGCAATCCCTTTTTGTTGAATATTTAGCTTTTTACAGTTTTGCTATTAGAAATGATGTGATGAACACTCAGATACATACATCTTTGTATGTATGTAAAGTGATTTGCACACTTTGCAAATCAGTTCCTTTGAATAAATTCTGAAGTATGAATCAAATAATATGGATATTTTAAAGGCTTTTGTTAGATATTGGCAAAATTTTCTTATGAATGATTTTATCAATCTATGATCTTATCAGTAGTGCAAGAGAATGCCCATTGTGCACATTCTTGCTGTGCTTGATTGCAAAACTGGTCACAAAGTGCAATTCCTCCCAATGAGAGGTCTTTTGTTCCACCCCTTGAATTTGGGCTGGGCTTTTGACTTGGTTTGGCCAATTAGCACATGCCAGAAGTGATGTTGCACAAATTCTGAGCCTAGGCTTCTAGAAACTTTGAGGCTTCCATTCTCATTCTTGGGATCCCAGCCATAACAGCCATGTGAATGAGCCAGGTTGTAGATGAGAGCCCACATGGAGCACAGCATAGCCTCTCAGGTGAGGCTATCCCAGACCAGCTGGTCTCCAGCCAACCCACCAGCTGACAACAAGCACATGAGCAAGCCCACCCAAGACCCAAGATCAGCTGGGTGTGGCTCCAATGAGAATTTCTAGCTAACCTGCAGATTGGTGAGCTCGTAAATGCTTATTGTCTAAAGCTGCTAAGTTGTGTGGTGGTTTGTAATGCAAAAATAGATCACATATTCACTCACTGATGTTTGGTTTTATCAACCCTTTAAATTTTTATCAGTGAATAATAATACCTGGTTGTGTTGTATATTTCTTTAGTTTTATTGTAGTAGTCTTTGCCTATACTTAGTTACCATTTTAAATTCTTATTTTGTGAATTGGCTATTTTCCTATTGAAGTATTATTTTTTCCTCATTGATTTTGTAAAACCTCCTTTTACTAACCCTTTGCCTGCTAAATGCATTGCAATTATTTTTCATAGAATAACAATACTGTCTTTTTTGTGTAGCTCATAAACTTGTTCTGCATGCCAAAGAGGGTCATTCTCAAACAATTTGAAAAGATACAATGTGGCCTCTGCAAAGCATAGCTTTGAAGGGGTTAACATTCATTTTGAAGTGTAGTTTCCAGCATATTCAATGTTGAGAGAAAATCAGCCTTGTGAGTTTGTAATTAAAACATTAAGCATTTCAGAGTTCAAGGCATAATTCAGTTCTGGTCGTAGGACTGGGTGCTATCGCCATCAGCAGCAAATACTTTCTGTGTGTCTTCCCATCATCAGTGAGGCATGGGCCTGTTCTTTTCCTTTTCACTTTCTCCACCTCAAACCCTCTGAGGTGTCTTTTAAAGTGAGTGCTAAGTGGTACTTGACTTCAAGATGCCTTGTGAAAAATGAATTGAGAAACATGTTCACTCTCTCCCCTCTCATAGGTCACAATACACAATGATCTGAGTAGTCCTGTAGTAAAGAACTCTATTTGACCCAGTACTATTTTGTCAAACACCATTTGGAAAATGCTGGACTGGAACAATCTCCATAAGCTTAGAGAAACTGCAAAAGTGAACAACTTATTGGCATAGGGTTCAACAACAAATCTCTTCCCCAAACTTCTCATAATGCCCAGGTACTTTCACACGCACATCTGACAGTCTTTGTTAATTTATCGCTTCAGGCAGCCACTTCCAATAAGTCACAGTTAATGAAAAACATGAAACTTGTTTGCCATCCTGCGTTACATGCCCTGAGCCATGTCTCTATGGGTATTAGCCATGTCCTACTTCAGCCATGTCTCTTTGTGAAAGAGTGATCAAGGTGAAAAACAAACTGCTGTTAAAGCCCCTCCAGGGCAGGGTGTTGAGGTGGGCTCATGTTCGGAGCACGGCCCTGGCCCAGATGCTCCAGCCATCACTATTCCTAATCCCTTCTCTCCTTTCTGTGATTCCTCTTCCCTCTTGGACAGGGGTCAATGTCCAATATTTTCCTGAATCCCACTTCCCGGTTCTCCCCCAAAGCTGTGCTGCTGCTTAGCATTCCCTCAAGGAAAACAGCCACTTTCTCGTCCTCCCTGATCTGCATGGGAGTGTGATTCCTGCTCTCACTTACTGTTGTGTGAGGGCACCACTGGGAGGCTTTGCTGGCTCCAGGAACTGGGCCTGGGCTGGACACGCTGTTTCAAGGGGAAAAGCATTCACAATATAGCTTTATGCTTCCTTAAGGCATGGAGTGGAGAGAGTTTGCTGGCTATGACGCTACTGGATCAAATAAAACTCTTAATTTAAGAAAAAATATTAGTGTGGCCAATCTCTAACAGAGAGTAGATCATTTGGAGTAAAATTCGCAGTCAGATCTAAACCCTAAGTACAGCCTAAGTACAGTACATTATTCCAATCTTGACTATTAACCACCACAACCAAACCTACAGGAGGCCTTTCCTGGGATTCCAGGCTGCCTGGCTGGCCTCTCTCATGCATCCCTCCCCAGCTCCACCAGTTGTCAACAAAATCACATTTCTGAAGCTGCAGCTTTGACCGTCTTAGTTAAGAGCATGTTAGAGATTATTTTCTGCTAATCTTGAGAACGGGCTCCCTGGCCCCTTTCCTAGACCCCGCCAGCTCTCCTTGCTTTTCCCTGCCTTCTCAGAAACAGAGCATACAGGCAAGCACAAGAATGTCCACATGCTTACTGCCCTGCCTTTCACCCAGTCAGGTTTCTTCCACCTGACAGCTGCTCTCCAGATCTCTTCAGGTTTCAATCAGGATTTATCTAAAGGCCTAATTGGCTCAGAACACCTAACGCAGTATGGCAAACAGGTTTCATGTTTTTCATTAACTCTGACTGATTGGAAGTGGCTGCCTGAAGGGATCAATTAACGAAGACTGTCAGGTGTGTGTGTGTGTGCATGTGCACATGCACACGGGTGTATATGTGTGTGGAGGGGTCATGGGATTCATGTGAAATACTTGCCATCATTGGTTTAAGGTGTTTGTTAACTTTTTCTATAACAGGTTGGCACATTTACAGCCTTTTTTTTTTTTCTACTTTGGAGTTTTTTTTTTTTTTTCCTGCAGTAGCTTAGAGTCAGGAAAACAGCTAAAGCATTGGTAGTTTAAAAAAAAATACCCTTAAAGAGTCCCTGGTTAGATATTCAACAGAGACATGCTGTGATTCCACCCAGGATGCAGTAGTCAGGAAGTGGAAAGCAGTGACATCCCAGGAATGAGCCTGCTAGATGGTGACAGGGACTGTCTAGCTCTGTAGAACATGATGGAACACCACCCTTAGGGGGTACTGCCAAACACAGCATGAAAACCCCACTCAGCAGCTCTCATTATGAGATGACAACCTAGTGTTCCAGAGCTCAGGGCTGTGACTGGGCATCTGCTGGTGTGCATGATGAAGGGCATCACTGGCAGCCCTGCCCATGGCTTCCATTAGGAACGGAAAACAAAGGACCATTCATGATTCCTTCTATGGGTTGGAGCTCCACAGGGAGGTCTGAGGTCTGGAAACATGGCAGTTTGACCCTAGTGCACACATCAAAGAAGACTACTCTACAAAGTGTTTGCATGGGGATAAGGGCTGATGACCTTGAGGACAGAAGCCTCAACAGAAAACTGACTCCTCAAGAATGTCCTTTGGGGTCAGGCATGGTGGCTTATGCCTGTAATCCCAGCACTTTGGGAAACTGAGACAGGGGGATTGCTTGAGCCCAGGGGTTTGAGACCATTCTGAGCAACATAGTGAGACCCCATCTCTACAAAAAACGAAAAAAAAAAAACCAGCCATGTGGTGGCACTCACCTGTGGTCCCAGCTACTCGGGAGGCTGAGGAAGGAGGATTGCTTGAGCCCAGGAGTTTGAGGCTGGAGTGAGCTATGATCGCACCTCTGCACTCCAACCTGGGCCACAGAGTGACACCCTGTCTCAAAAAAAAAAAAAAAAAAAAAAAAAAAAAGAAAGAATGTTCTTTGCAGGGGCTCCTTGTGATTACTCTCCTTACAAATTCATTCAACCCACACACCCACTACAGATCCATCTCCAAAGCCCCTTCCCATGACCCAAGATTCCAATGTTCCTTTGCCACCTGTTGCATAAAGTCTACCATTGAAAGAGAGGCTGAGGAGGAGAGAAAATGTTGAACCATTCCGAGCAATGAGTTCAGACTGAAATCTCAGACTGCACATTGAGGGTGGGGGTTGGGTGGGGGGTACTGCACCCAAATCAACACCACCAGATTGGTCCCTGTCCTGTATGGAAGAGACAGTATGGGGGAGTAGTTAAGCCCACCGCTTTCGAGAGCCCACAGACATGGGTTCAACTTCTGGGTCTGGTATGCGACTTCAGGCAAGTTATTTAAATATCTTTGAGCTTCCCTATCTGTAAAATGAGGATGATAACCTTCCACAAAAGGTGGTTGTGGAGATTAAATGAGGTGAGCCGTGAGAGGGGCTTAGCTTAATATCTGGCACACACCAAGTGTCCCACCTCTGGTCAACGCTATTACTGTGATAGAGCTTCCAAGAAGGCTTCTCTGGGGGCCGGTGTGGTTCGCAGAACAGAGCCCAAAGGTTGTCAAGGCTCATGAGATGAATAAGAAAGTGGCACATGGAGTAACGATTCCCTGGCCACAGCTTTCCAAAATGGCAGGTGCTGGCACCAACCTCAACAAAGCCAAATTTGAATTCATGTTTCTTTCCCAACCTGCTCTTCCTGCATCTCCCTCATCTTCATCCTCCCCATTGCTCAGGTCCCAAGCCTTGACTCCTCTCTTGTATACCCCAAATCCACACCATGGGGGAACCTCTCTTGCTGGATTATCACAATGCCTCTTAAGGGTTGTCTTGCTTCCAACCTTGCCCCCTCTGTTTATTCTCTACGCATTGGATGTCTACAACCATCTAATGGTTTCCAATCACACTCAGATTAGAAGCCTCCCAGGCCCTGCCAACTCTGCCCTGTGTCCTCTCTGGCTCTTCTGCTACCCCCACCTTGCCCATGCCCCTCTCTTCCTCTCCACAGCACAATTTCCTGCTCCTTGAACATGCAGACACGCTCCTGCCTGGGGGCCTTCACGCTCACTGCTCCCTCTGCTGGAAGCTCTTCCCCAGATACCCACATCATTTGCTCTTACCTCTTTCCTTGCTTAGATGTCACTTTCTCAGTGAGGCCTTTCTCACCTACTCCACTTTAAATTGTCCCCTGGGATAGGCTGAAGAATGGCCTTTAGAGATATCCATGCCAGAATCCCTGGAACCTGTGAATGTTACCTAATATGGTAAAGAGGACTATGTGGATGTGATTAAATTAAGGATCTCAAGATAGGGAGACCATCCTGATTATCTGGCTGGGCTCTGAATGCGACCACACATATCCTTAAACAAGGGAGCACAGGGAGAGTCAGCTATTTATAAGCAGAGAAGGCAATGTGACAATGGAAGCAGAGTTTGGAGTGAGGCAGCCACAAGCCATGGTGGGCCTGCAGCCTCTAGCAGCAGGAAGAGGCAAGGAATGAATGCACCCCTAGAGCCTCTAAAAAACGCTGGCCCGGCTGACACTTTGACTTTAGCCCGGTGAAACAGATTTTGGACTTCTGGGCTCCAGAAGTGTAAGAGAATAAATCTGCAGTATTTTAAGCCACCTCATTTGTGGAAATTTCCTGTAGCTGCTATAGGAAATGAATATACAACCCCGCACAGCCCCAGACCCCATACCCGCACACACCCCTTATCATCCTTCCTGCTTTACTTCCCCCTTATACCTTATCTGGCTCAGGGTGTTTGACTTGTCAGGATTGTCTGTGTCTCCTCACTAGGATGTCAGCTCCACAAGGACAGGGGCCTTTGTCTGTCTTCTTCACTAAGTGAGGTAAGTGGTGCTAATCCACTCTCATTATAGCCAGATATCTCTGAGTCCTTTTTTTTGTGTTGAGCCATGTGCAGTTGAGTTCATTTTAGAGAAGCAACAGGACAGAGCATGGGCTTGTCCTTGTAGTTCTCAGGGCTGGTGGCAGGTCCTGCTGGGCCCACAGAGGTCTCTAAGGCTGTCATAGAGCTGCATTCTCAGGAATTCTGGCTTAAAGGGACACTGGCCTGTACTGTGAGGAGAGCCAGCTCCCCCATGCTGGTAATCCCAGTTGGCTGGCCTTTCATCACTACCTGCCAGCGCCTTTCTATAGAGAAGCTTGTCCACCTGTATTTCAGAGAGCAATTCCCTGAGAGGCTCCAATCCTCCGGGGCCTCCAGAGTCCTCCTGTTTCATATGGGGCATGGGGGAAATCACTGCCTCTGAATTTGATCAGATAATTTCCTTATAGGTTAGGACATCAACTCTCAGAGCAAGCGTGATGAACTCTTATGGCTGAGCCTGTGAGAATACTCAGACACCAGGGCCCAGTATTTAATGCACAGCAGTTAACCAAGGTGGGCGTGAGAGTCTCTAACCTGGCCTCCTGTCACCATTGCTGTGGGGCCCTCCTGTCTCTATCTTGTCGTGTGCTCAGATCCAGTCAACTGTAGTCAGTGATGCCCTTGCCTGCCTTCCCCGAGTCCCCAGAGCCTGTCCCCAAAAAGTGAGGACTCCCAATGAAGGTGCCTCTCACTCTGCCTTGCTGTGGCAAACTCACTGGGTGGGATGCCCTGGGAAGGCTCAGTCTCAGCAGGAGAGGCCGAAGAACTGCTATTGGTCAGGACAAGGGAGGGCTT
The DNA here is from genome assembly GCF_000001405.40 of Homo sapiens. Taxonomy (NCBI): domain Eukaryota; kingdom Metazoa; phylum Chordata; class Mammalia; order Primates; family Hominidae; genus Homo; species Homo sapiens. The sequence goes on from NC_000003.12 coordinate 134,642,725, forward strand.
GGATGCCATGAGCCAGAGGGAGGGAGGCTGGTTTCCAGGGGAGATGAGGAAGCAGAGATGTGTGAAGGTTAACAGCTGAGGCCTTGCTGGGGCTCAGACTGCCCAGCTCTGACTCTTGCTGGCCATGTGATCTTGAACACATGACAGCCTTTCCAAGCCTCAGTTTACTCATCTGTAATTTGAGGATGGTAAAGAGGAGTACCTGTCAAACAGGGTTGCTGTGAAGCTTAATTTACATGAGAATAAGTGCATAAGTGGCTTGGCAGGGTGTCTGGCACATAGTTAGCATTCAACAAATGTTGAATGTTGAATAGTGATGACAGTAATAGTGATGATGATGACAGCAGCGTGCTCTGAGGCCCATGGGCTTTATTTCTTGATCTCATGGTGAGGGGAAGACTGAGACTGTGCAGCCTCTTGCTGCTTCCCATGAGACGCAGGGAGAGGAAAAGGGTTTTCCAACACCCATGGGAGCAGAGAGGACCCTGCTCCCCATAGTCTGAGCTCCACATCCTGGGCTGTCGCTGGCCAGAGCATCAGGTCTGGGCACACCTCTGCAGGGGAGGTCACGGCTAGCGGCGAATCACTTACCTTGGCTGTTGTAGGAAGTGATGACCTGGGGCTGCTGAGGGTGCTGCTTCTCCACCAAGTTTTCTATTTAAGGAAGACAGAGAGGCCTGCAGTGACCACTGGGGAATTTTCCCCAGGCAGAGCAAAGAGCTGTATGTGTTTGCGGGAAAGGTGGGCTGGCGGGGGCCAAGCACATCCCCAGGCCTAAATGTGTGCACACCCTCACAGTGTGCACATGTGCAAACCAGCACGACACTGTGCATGGAGACAAATGCCTGGAAGCCCCTGTGCACACACCCCTTGTGCCTCTTAGCAGGTGCCAGCACAGGCTGGGTTTCTTCTGGAACAGGCTACCAGTCTTCCATGGTCTTTGTAGCCATAACTCCCAACTTTGGTGTCACCAGGCACAGTTTCAAAAGCACTGCATACACAGATGCCTCATTGATCTTCACACATTTCTGTGGAGCAGGCTGGGAGGTTCTGACCTGGGACTTGAACCTCAGGTCTTCTGACTCCCAGTTGAGTCTCCTGCTTCTTTTTTTTTTTTTTTGAGACGGAGTCTCGCTCTGTCACCCAGGGTGAAGTGCAGTGGCGCGATCTCTGCTCACTGCAAGCTCCGCCTCCTGGGTTCGTGCCATTCTCCTGCCTCCACCTCCGGAGCAGCTGGGACTACAGGTGCCCGCCACCACACTGGCTAATTTTTTGTATTTTTAGTAGAGACGGGGTTTCACCATGTTAGCCAGGATGGTCTCGATCTCCTGACCTTGTGATTCACCCGCCTCAGCCTCCCAAAGTGCTGGGATTATAGGCGTGAGCCACCGCGCCCGGCCGAGCCTCCTGCTTCTTAATGAGAAGAACAGGGGGCCAGCCTGCCTCCTACCCCAGCCTAGGAGACGGGATGATGTGTAGTTTGGTTCTGTTTCACAAACATTTGCAGGGCATGCACGCTACACACGTTCTCTCCACATGCAGGGATATTTCTGTCCCTGGGACACAGAGTTGTCCTCAGAGCCTAGTGGGGTCAGGCTGCCATGGAGTGATGCCTAGTTCCTGCCATAGGCCAAGAAGCGGGAGCTCACAGGCTTACTTGCCCTCCCAGGGGAAGCATGACCTTTCCTCCCTTCTTTACAGCTGCTGCTGTGGCCTGCTGTTACTGAAGCTGCCCTTGAACCTCTGCTTCAGAGGGGTGGGGGGAAGGCTGGGCAAGGGGAGGATGGTGGCAGCTGGAGGTTCCCCCACCACTACCACTCTGGCCTGCCATCTTCTCTCTATAGCTTCCTGCTGGCTTGCAGTGGGCTTGTCACTGGAAGTGACCAATGGGACCAGTGCCTTAGTCTGGAAACAAGTATGCCTCTGGGGCATTGGCCTGAACAGGTGCATTTAGATGATTCTTCTTGTGCAGATCAGCCGCTCAGTGGTTCCCGTGCCTGGGCCCATGCAGAAGCCAATCAAGGTGGGGGGTGAGGTACTGAGCCAGGCTGGATTTGTGATCCACCTGACAGAGTCCTGCCCTGGAAAGCCTGCCTCCTCCAGCCTTCTCCTATGAACAGGCCCAGCTAGGTCCCTGAGCCCCACACTAGTCAGCCAAGGGCTAGGTCCACTGTGTATTCCAATACAGGGTGATGTGGCATGCGGGGCTGGAGCCCCAGATCAGGCGAGGAAAGGGAGGCCAGGACCGCCTTCTGCAGGCACAGCTGGCAGTGCCTCGGCTGGCTGAGGGAGGAAACAAGATCCGGGAAGGGAATCCTCAAGGAGGGTGATTGGCTGGCATAGCTGCTGTGGGGTATTTATAGTCAAGGCTGCACAATTGGTTTCCCTTTAGCTGTGGGGCGTCTGTCCCTGTGCTACTAGGCAGACTTTGTCCAGGACCAAGGAAAGTAGCCAATCACAGCAGGGGAAGCCCGTTGCTGGGCAAGCTATTGGGGTGGGGTAGGAGGGTGAGGAGGCGGCTGGGCCCAAACACCTGCTGCTTCGAAAAGTTTGGAGCTCTCTAGTCTCAACACCCTGCCAGTGTTCCAGCCCAAGCAGTGCACGGGGTAGCAAGAGGGGGAAAATGTGCCCTTCTGGATCCACCCCATGCTCAGCAGCATCTGTGTGCACTCCACCAGCACATGCCATCAGCCACTTCCTTCTAAGATGGAAGCCATCCAGTTACCAGGGCTGGGCGGCCTGCTGGTTACCAGGGCTGGGTGCCTTGGGCACCAGTAAGGCAGGTATGAGAAAAGGTCAGCTTCAATACCTGCACTCAGAATCTCGACATCAGAAAACACAGAAAGAAACTAATTTTAATTTCTGCATGCATGCAAACGTACCATTTGAAAAATAAATGAAATTTCGCTTTACACATGTTGATGGAGTGGTAGAAGCGTCATTTTTTCTGGGCTCAGGGCCTCTGTGGAGCCTCTGTCCAGCCCTGCATTTACCTGAAACTTCCAGTTCTCATGGTGGTTTTGCAAGAACTATTTTAGTCATCTTCTATCAGCTGACACATAGTGCTAAGACCCACTTCATGTCTTTTACAAGAGTCTTATAATGGTCTTGTAATAGTCAATGTGTCACTTTGTGTTTTGTGATATTTTTCCACTAAACTTCTCCCAAATCAGAAACCCGGAAGATGGTAAAAATAGAATGAATTCAGTGTATTTCAATCCTCTCCTGATGTAATAACATGCCTGAGAAGCCCTAAGATGAGTGTCAGACAACTCAGGCAAGGTATGAGACAGCTGCAACCAACAAGGATGCTGTGCTTCTTTGTTTCCACCTGTGGCTTGCTTGCCCACTCACCAGCTCACACATGGGCTTAGCATGCATACCTTCCATGCCCTGCATGGCCATTTCTGTGGCTAACAGGTCTCTGGGGGTCTGATTCTTATTAAAATTCTCAATAACCCATAGCAGAGTTTTGTTAGCTTTGGCGTCTACTTCAGTAGAGCTAAAGCTGGCATGTCTACCAGCTGATGGCCCCTGTAGCAAGATTACAGGGAAGCCATTGCACCCATGCATGCCTGTCAGGGTGGCTCCCTGGCAGTGGTGGGGTGGGGATGGGGAGTGTGTCTTGAGGACTCTTACCAAAGGCAGGGGACACAGGAAGACTCTTCAACTCCAGGGTGTTGAGACTCCCCTGCAGTGCATTATAATTCCAATCATTTTAATGTAGCTCCCCTGAGGGCAGTGTTCTTGGCTGTCTTTTTCCCTGTTTCATTTCCAATATTTAGAATCATGCCTGGCACAAAGTAAGCACTATAGGCATTTGTGAACAGAATGAGTGAATGAATTCACTTTTAGAACTTCATCTTTCCCTTTCATTATTGTCAGAAGGATGGTAGAACATAGCAGTTTAGTCCTATTCATCTGCAATCCTATTTCCCCATTTGTGTCATGGAGGGTGGTTCCTTTACACTGGCATTTGATAAGCCAGTCATCTGATCCTAGGGCTCACATAGCTGCGGGCTGATGGAGTTCTCTACTGGGGCTCTGGGAGTAGAGGTTTGGTCTCTATTAGAACCTTCACGTGCCCACTGTGCAGTGTCCCTGATGTTTGTCCCTGGAGGCTGGGCTAATGAACCCTAAAGGGAATAGAATAAAGCCCATTATACTTGGCCCCTTAGTGTTACCACAGAGATCCTGGGCCTGGGGTGGCAGATGCCTGGCACTGGAAAAAAGAGGCTTTGGAAGCTGACTTCTTATTGTATTTTGGGTCCCAGGCCAGCAGGGAGCTATAGAACCCTTGAGTGGCATCTTCTCAGGCTTCAAGTCATACTGTCCCAAGGCAGACGACTATCCTCTCTGTTGGGAAACATTTTCAAAAGATAGATGGCTGCCTCTCATAGGAGCACACTCAAACCTCACCATCCCAAGGGATGTTAAGTCCTCCCCTACGGCTCAGCCAGCAAACAAATGGGTGCTCAAGTTCCTGGCACTGCTCTTCAGCCACAGCCTCCAGGAGAGCAGGGGACCTGACTCCAGGGAACACTTCCCACAGTCACAGTGGCCCTTAGAGGCCTGGCTGGGTCAGGAGCAGCCACTTTCCGTTCAGTGGTTAGATGTCTAGGGCTAGTCTTCAAATGAGTGAAACCCAATTCTTCCAGTTATTATTCAATGTATTAAATCCTATAGGTTGAAAGGAAAAAGAGAATTTACCGTGAAAGTCATTTCCTTCTAATTTCTGCCATCTTCGGACTCCATTTCCAACACCTTGGAATCCTGCAAAATAACAAGCTTCTCTGAGGTGGGAGACTCAGGGCAAAAGAGTGATGTACCAGTTGCAGACTTATCTAGGTTATGGTAGAGCAGGTGGATCTTGGCTCTCTTGGAATCTGAGAGAGGCTACCCATGAATAAGATGCCCTTGAGGGAATGAATGCAACTCTCAAAATTCAAAACATTTAAAAACTGTTAAAACAGTTTTCAAGGGCAGCAGGGTTGGTTATCAGGGTCATTTAGGGAGAATTTTTGTAGTACAGATGCCCATTTTCCACTTCCACCTCTCCACTGCATACATATGAAAGCATTATTTTAGAAGTCATTTGCTATCCACATTGCCTGCCTATTTCTGTATGTGGTGAATCACCCACTTTTAGAGTCTTGATATAGAGTGGGGGGAGTGGGCTAAGACCGTCAATCCCAATGGGAATGGAAAATGACAGTTGCCAGTTCTCTTGGCCTCCCTTGCAGCTAGAGGGTAAACACGTATGGCCTAGCCATGGCCAATCTGATGTACCTGTGTTTCACTCTGCCTTGGGACCTGGTGATGCAACAGGGAAGGGAAGGAAAGCTCTCGCTCTGGCTGCGGCTGCAAGTGGTAGCCGCAAGGTCGAGTTCCTGGCACAGCATGGGGATACGTTCTGGCAGCGGGAGCTGCTGCAATAAAATTGAGATCCTGGCGCGGAAGGAGTATTCAGTGCTCCTTGGTGGCCGAGGAGGTTTCCTCACTAGACCAGCTCGTTGGTGCTGCTTACGGTACTGTTCCTGGAAGCTCAGCCTTGAGTCTTATTCTCCAGCCCTCTCAACCACTCAGGGGCCGCCACTCTCTTCTTAACACCCTTCTTTTCTGCAGAGCCCCCCATAGCCAGTGCCAGTGACTTACCACTTGGAACCCTCATGACACACCTATGGAGTAGAATACACAAACCACATAGACTTTTGGGATAAGACCTAAGACTTCAAAGCTCATTGGGTCTTGCCCCAGGCAGCTATAGGCTATATCCTCTACTGCTGCAGGAGTATATGCACTCTACTTTCTGATAGGAGTTGAGGGCTTTCAGGCACGTTTTGGAGAAGCACTGTTCTAGGGAAATGACTGGGAGGCTGCTAGGGCCTTACAGAAATGGGAGAGAACATCTGCTGGCTCTGCAGCCCAAATTCCTAGTGACCTAGCCTGTCCACACTCTCCTTGCCTTCTTGTCCCCCTGACTCTTTTCTTCCAGCAGAAGGGCCACTTCCAGCAGAAGGCCCTTCCAGCAGAAGGGCCACTCGTTACGGATTACTCCATCCTCTGCATTGCAACAATAATTGAGCTTTGATCTTTTCTGACATGGAGCCTAGGCCCTCTTTTATATAACCAAGGAAGATCCACTCTCCAGTGGAGGATCTGGAGTGTGGAGGAGAAAGGAGGAGATACCTGGAAGTGAGCAAGAGTTTGTTTTATATCTTGCACCCATGGGAGGCTTTGGAACAAGCTGGTCTTATTGGGCATTTTCCTCCCTTAGGCTGTTTTTCGAGGAAAGGGTCTGCAGGCTGGCTTTGCCTGGGGTCTCCTGAATATCATCTCTGCCCACCAGGCATCAAAAGCCATGCACTTTTCCTCTTCTCTGCTCTGGTTGTGAATAAGTGACACAGATCTCTACACTGTCATTCATAGCATCGGTGAGAAACGGCCATCAGAAAAATATTTGGAGAAAAAGTTCAGCAGAAAGGGCCCAGCCATTAGGGGTCTTTTTTTCTCTGTCATAGTCACTAGTGTGCATACATGAGTCTGGAGCCATGGCGAGTTTGTGCTAGGTGTTGGGCACCTCTCAGGGCAGTCCTGATGCCTGGTGTTTCCTGGGCTTCTCTGCATTCTTTGCCCTTTCTAGTGTCAGAGCCTTTAGAAGTGATGTGATCAGAGAGGATTGGGAGTAGGGGACTCGTGGGCTGACCTGGAACTAGGCCTCGCCACACACTGGAGAAGGCATTCTGGACTGTGGTACATGTATTCAGAGCAGTCTCATTTCTATCAAGAAGTTGATGCCCTCTGTTGACTTTCTAACTACAAATACCCTGGGCAGGCCATTTCCCCTTCTCCCAAGAGTAGGTCTGATAACTAAAGAGCCAACGAATCCAAACAACTCCTGCTTCAGTCAGGAATCAGCCCTGAGACTAGAGCGCCTGTCAACATACTCAGCCCTCTAGATTCTGTTTCTTTCCCCTGCCTGCCTTCCCAAGAGGTTCCCAGGGCTCTGGAGGCAGCTCCAGCCTATGTGGCTGGTAGTGGCAAGGCCATCCACAGCAGCATTACTTAAGCAAGGCAGGTGGAAGGTGGATGTTCAATGAGCACAGAGGCTCTGGGGACAGAAGAACCAAGGGCAGAGCAGCAGCAGGAATTCCAAGGAGCTCCAGAGCTGGAGGGGAGGAGAGAGGCAGAAGTCATTCTCCTGCATGGGCTGTCAGGCCTAACTCCTAAAGAACTGGCCCGCAGTCCGCCTAGTGCATCCTCACACCAGCCTCGGAGACAGCTTGCCATCCAGGACCCTGAGGTTCTCTGGCTTTTCAGGGGCTTATTTAACCTCCATTATCATCCCTCTGTACTCCATTCACATTGTGTTCTGTCGTCTGGAGAACAGAGAGGCCCGGATCCTGCTTTCCACAATCACTCTATAAACAGTCACTTTATTTTACCAATCTACAACTTACAAATTTACCCAGAAAGTGTGTAGGACAAGTAAAATTGATGGATAAGTTCAAGTGGAGACAGCAGGTTTCAAATCTTACCCTATCCAAACCTGCGTTCCTTTTACGCCTTTCATGCCTTCCATCTATAGGAGGCTGGGAGAAAGTCTCAAGAAAGGAGAAACTGAGGCTGTAAATTGTGCAAGGCCACACAGGGAGCTCCCCATCTAAAAGTCTGACTCAGCCCAAAGGTTTCCCAGCGTCCCCTGTGCCCTGCAGTGTGCTGTGGGGGGGAGCAGGCCTCTGCTACCCATGAGTCAGCCCTGAGGCTCTGGCCGCCTTCCTCCAGGGTATCTTCCAATCTTGCTCTACACCCGTTAGGGAGTGGCTGGGAGGAAAAAGACTCCCAGGGGTGACGGAAGCACCCACAGGCCTGCACAGGGAGTGAAACTGGGGCAATCACGGGGCTGCGCGTTGCCACGGGACTGCGCGTTGCCACGGGACGCCGGTGCCACTGCGGGGAAGCGACGGCAGCCATGGGGGAGAGGGTCGGGTTCGCTGACCTCGTTCGGGGGAGCAATGGGCGCCCCCCGGCGGGCAGGCCCTTGTGGCAAGGAGGCCAAGGTGCCGGGGGACCCGGGGACCCGGGTCGGGCGCGCGTTACCTCCTCCGCGCTGCAGCAGCGAGCTCGGGTTCGCCTGCTGGTCTGAGAGCGTACCCTGTGCGGCGCGCCGCTTCTCCGAGTGCACGATCAGCAGCATGTCGATAGATACAGCGTTGATGTCCTTCTTCAGCTCCATGATGCCGCCTCCTTTCCGACCTGGGCGCCGCGGCCGCACGCTAGGCTGCTTGCGCTGCAAATGGCCCCGTGCGCGCAGCTGCCCCACACGGGAGAGGGCGAGGGCGCGGAAGAGGGCGCTCCCCCGCCGCTGGAGCCGCAGGGCGCTGCTTTTCGCTGACTCTGCCAAACACGCCATTAGGGCCCGCCTGGGAGGGCGCTACCCTAATGAAGCGGCTCTAAGTCACCTTTGAAAGGAAATCCCCGGGCCCAAGCCTTGACCTGCACCGGGGCCATAGTCAGCAGGGGCGGCCGGTCCAGAGCCTCCCTCCCTGCGCCCCTGCCTCCCGCCCGGTGCACTTGAAGCGCTGGTCCTGGGCTCCAGGGCTTCTCTGGCTGAGCGCTGCCTCATCCCCACGGTCTCCGGAGGGTTCTCGAGAGGGCTGGAGCCGACCTCCCACGAGAAGCCCCTGGCAAATACAGAAATCGCACAGTGCTGTCAACATTGAGAGTAGATTCAGGAAAAGGAAAGACAGCAAAGGGGCTCCAGATTGAATTGCAAGATGTGCAGAGATTGTCCAAGTTTTGGCCTCGACCTCACTCCTTCCCTGGGTTGGTTTTGGAGGTTGACAGCTCTCTCTCCCTAGGAGGGAGTTGGGTGGGGTGTTGGAGTCAGGAGCTCCCCCCAGTTACGGCCCCTGTAGAACTTGGAACATGCCCATTGAGTATCAAGCTAACGATCCTCTTTGATCTGAAACGAAAGTCTTAAAGTCTCGGTTCGTTCTAGAAGCCTGGCTCCTGCCCTGTGGGGAAGGAGGGAGGGGGAGAGGAGGAGGCTGGGGCACAGGGAGCTGGACCTGAGAAGCCTTCTATTTTTAGCCCGGCCTGGCCTGCCCAGCCAACAGCAGCAGGGGTTTGGCTGTAGGTCTCAGGAGTGTTTACATAGGCTTCTGCCTGGTACCCCTGGGCACTACGGGCCCACCCTGCTGGGGGCGTTCCCCTAATTCGAGTTTCTACTGTTAATAAATGCACCCCCACATGGAGGCCTTTGCTCTGGGAGCCCTCCCCGCATTGGAGTGTATGGACCCCACCTTGTAGCATGGTCCTGAGAGTTCCCAGATCCTCCTTGGAGCAGCCTGTGTCACACAGACTGCATTCCAGTACCAGCTCCATCACTTCCTGGCTGTGTGACCTTGGACCAGCCATTTTCCCTCCACCTTCTCACCCTTATCACTGGGTTGATAAAAATTTCTCACATGGCTGTTGTGAGAATGGCATGAATGTAAGGCGCCTGGTGTATAGAAAGTGGTCTTCATATGGTAGCTGTCATTCTTACTTCATTTTAAGGGTGAGGAAAGGGAAAGATGGAGTGACAAGTGACTGATGGAGCAGAGAAGCAGGAGAGATGTCACAGCCACACTCTGAGATTCTGAAGGTCTTCCTCCAATAACAGTGGCTCAGAGTTTGGTTCCGTGTAAAGGCTGTTGTCTTATTGCATTACCAGCGCCCCCCCCCACCACCCCACCCCCTGACTCACCCACTGGGCATCTGATGGAAGGAGAGGTTGTTGGCTTCCAGTAATGTTGAACTGGAGTCCCTAGAGAGCTGAGGCCATAGACAGGCAAGTGGAGATGGCTGACTTCCAAGGCAGGTTTCCTTCTGCTAAAGTGAGTCTTGTCCTGTCTGTATGTGTGCAGGTACACACACACACACACACACGCGCGCGCGCACACCTGGGAGGCTGGCTAACACTTACTCTCTATGTGGCTGGGGAAGTAAGAACTATGCATTATGCAAAGCTCTTGGGGTGTTGGAGATTGCTGAGGCAGATCTCAGGTCCCAGAGTCCCCCCAACTACCCTGGGCCAGTCAGTGTTGTCTAACTCCTTCAAGTGTCAGGTTGTCTGAAGTGCTGAAATCAACTAGAAGCCTGTGTACAGCACCCTTGGTTGCCGGATGGGTCTGAGTGTTGGTGATGGTGGGGGGAGCTGAAGTCCCCTTTCCTTACACTTGCATTCCCATCTCCCAACCCTTGCTCTCCTGCTGGAAAGTGTCATTGCTAGGAACTCGCAAACTCTGGTGCCCCCTCCCAGAACTGCCTCTGGAGAAGGATATTCTGACCTGGGAATGTGCTGCCAGGGGTCTGGGGAAATGGTGTGGAGGCCTCCTGTCTCTCTGCTATGTCTGAAGACAGCTTCGGAGCAGGGCCTCTCATCCTTGGCGCTATTGACATTTTGAGCCAGATAATTCTCTTTGGTGGGGCTTTCCTGTACACTGTGGGATGTCTAGCAGCATCCCTGGCCTCTACGCATTAGATGCCAATCACATTCACTTCCCTATTGTGAGAACTTAGAATGTCTCCAGACATTGACCAATGTTTCCTTTGGAAAGAATTGCAGTGTGAACACCGCTTTGGAGCAAACTCCTGAAATTGGAGTCACCTCGACTGCTCTGGGAGATGCTGCTGCCCCTGGATCCTGATGGTGCCTGACACCTAGACCCTCTTCTCAGAGGTTTACCCATGGCCATCAGTCCAACAGCCTAGCTTCTGGGGCCTGCCAGGAGCATAGATGAGATGCTCTTCTTAATGCCAACTCTATTCCCATCCTTGGCCTGGGTTGACTTAGCTGCTTCCCCTCTTCCCCACTATCCATTCTTGGGCTGAGAGGGAGACACCATGGGGAAGGTGATGTGGCTGAAGGCATTTGGATGTATCAGGAAAGGGGAAGGAGAGACAAGAGAACACTGAGGTGGCTGGGATATCATTCAAGTAGAGGCTGTATCCCTTCTGCTCAAATCCTCCCTCCAGCTGCTCACACAATCAACGGGACAAATAACAGAACGCTCAGCCTGCAAATCTCCAGACCCATCTCTTCCTTTTTCCCTACCAAACCCACACATGCTTCAACAGAAACCATGTCCTCTACACCCCAAACACACCATACTAGCCCCTCCATCCTGCTACCATCTTGAATAAAAAAGATGCAAGGCTCTCTGTATTCCGACCTAAATAATTAATCTGCATCCTTGTCTTAGTAGCTGACAAACCAGGGGCTTTCTCCATTCTTGAGCAAAACTTTATTTTAATCAAAATGAGTGGGAATTCCAGGATACAGAAAGACAAAGGACAGTCAAAATAGTTGTATTGTCACCTTTGTCAAATTCAACACTTAGACACATCCAGCTGTCAGCAGCCCTGCATCCGATACTCCTCTGCTAGAAGGTGAGATTTGTCAGTTGTCTGAATGGTTCTGGGCCCTGAGTTGGTTCTGCTGTCTTGGAGATAAGGAGGGTTCACCAGGGGCAGGGCTTGCTCCTGGCAGTTGAAGCTGTCACCAGAGAGGAGTGTGTTTTGACCCCCACTGTTTTCCCTCAGAAATGGTAGTTTTGCTGGGACCATCAGTCATAGCTGTTTTTACCACTCTTGGGATTCCAAGAGGCAAGTTTCTCTCTTCTCTATAGAGATAGAGTAAGTAAGCCAATGCAATAAAGGCTTTTGGCAGGGAATTTTCTCCATTGATGACGTGGGGAAGAGGCACACAGAGAGTTCTGTGAGTTGGTGAAGAGTAACAGACCAAGTTCCAGTCTCCTAACTCCCTCAGCCTACCCTGAGATGAGTGAATCCTTACATGGGATACTGGATACCTTTCCCAGAAACCTTTCCTCAGCCAGTGTAGGCTTCCCATGGCCTCTTGACTGGCCTGGCTTAGCTTGATTCTGCTTCTGAGCCTTTGCTATTGCTATGATTTCTGCCTGGAAAACCCCTTTGGACTTCCCTGGCAAGTACAGTTTAAGCATCCTTCAAGACCCTGTGGGGAGGGTCTCATGAATGTGGTTTCACAGTTGGAGGGCGGGTATAGAAGGAACTGGAGCCATTCCCTCCCCTCTACTTTGAAGCCTTCCTGGGTACCCCAGTCCTTGGAGCTTCTGGGGAATGCCAGTTCTCTGTGGTGCCTCTTTTTACAATCCCAATAGTTAATTTGGAAGCTCACCCCTGCTCTTGTCCCACACCCACCAAATTTGGAAATCATATCAATCCCCTCTGGAGCAGTTATGCCAGGCAAACCTGTTTCCAGACACTGTCTCCCAGTAGGGTGATAGTGAACAATGTACTTAACCTCTCCGAGCCTCAGTTTTCCTCATCTGTCAAGTGGGTGAGGGTGTTGCTGGGATTAAATGAGATAAAGTACTTAGCTATGGGTAGTTATAGCTATGGCAACTTCCTGTATTCCAGCCAGACCCCCTGCTGGGTCCTGCTCTGGGGAAGGTCTCATGGATGTGGTTTCACAGTTGGAGATGGAGTATAGAAGGAACCAGAGCCATCTCTGACCTCCGTGTTGCCTTCCTTCTCATATCACTGCTCTGTGGCCACTGTTCTCAAACACAGAAAACCTCAGTGAGCCACAGAATCCATTCCTTGAAGAACTGATGTCAGATCTGTGCGGCTGCAGCCTGTTTGGCAGGAGTTACGGCACAGCACAGTTCTGCTTCCTTCCCACCCTGATGGCACTTGTGAACTCTCTGTGTGCATTCAGTAGGATAAACCTTTGCATTATCTCCATTTTATAGATGAGAAAACAGAGGTTTAGAAACCTAATGTGACCTACCCAAGGTCTCACATGTGTCTTACAGGTAGCAGGGGACACCCAACCCTTGACACCCCACCCAACTCTGTATGCTCCAAAGCTCATGTGCTGAACAACACCTGCCCCCCTACCCTATATGGCCATAACATGCCCATGAGCTGAGGCTGCATAGTGCCCGAGCCAAGGAAAAGATCAGCTGTCAGCCTATGGGGAAGATGGTCTTAACAATCACGATGAACACACCTTGACTCGGGGTTTCAAGACCTCTGTTGAGGTTCTTGGAAAAATTCTTTGAGCTCAAGCCCTGAGCTGGGCCTTTGGGGACAGATTTTACAGGCTCTGTGGCATCAGTTGTTTTGGGTGGAGAGAGAACTGGTGGCAGTGGCAGTAGTAAAAAGTTGGTGGCTGGGAGCATTCAGCAGTCTTCAGGAGCAGTAGCCCTGCCAGGGATGGAGAGGAAGTGTGTTGTGATAGTTCCATACCATTCTGGGGTGAGGATGGTTACACTGTAAAGAGAGCTTTCCACCTCTGCTAGGTTTGCCATGAAGACGTTTCCCAGCACAGATGACGGCTTGTTCTTGAGACCTCACTATGTGCAATGCCATAGGATGAAATGAAAGAGTAAGGACAGGGGAGAGGCATCTGTCCTCCCAGAGAGGAGGGGCCAGGAAGGCTACATCCCCAAACAGTGTCCTCAGGGATGAATGAGTAGGAGAGAGGGACAGGCTTTCCAGGCAAGAAGGAGCCTGAGCAGGAAATAGGAGGAGCTGGAAGGAGTGATGGAGGTGAAAGAGAAAAACGCGTGTCTCAGGAAGTGAAAGCAGGCCAGTCTGGTTGGTGCTATGGTGCAGGGGAAGAGCACTGAGAGGAGCAGAAGAGCAGCCAAAGCCAGTCTGCTGTGGGTGAAGCTTCAGCTGCCCATCTGAGTGGCGATGCTGATCCTGGTCAGCAGGGATGGAAGAGCAGGGACTGTTCACAAGTGTGAGGGTGCAGGTCCCACGGTTGCCTTAGACATGATCAAAACCACTGTCACCCGAAACTGGCCTTCTGGAGAAGATGCTAGGCAAGGGTGGTGATGATAGGAAGAGACAGTCAAGCACCACATACAGATGCTGTGTAAGAAAAGGAGGATATTTTGGGGTAGTGTGGGGCAGAGTGCCTGGGTGAAGTGGGGAACTGGGCTCAGATGGAGAGGACAGGCAGGGGAGACACAGAGCCTCCACCTAAGCTGAAGGGCCACGCCCCAGCTCAGTTGTCAGACTCAGGCGACCCATCTGGGTGAGCTGGGTCATAAAGTCCCATCAGGAGACAAGATGCTCTGTCAAATTCAGGCTCATTACTAACAATTTAGAAAGTGCAAGAACTATATAAAGAAGAAAATAAAGCCACCTAAATCCCGTCATCCCACCATCTAGAGATAATCACTTCTAAACATTTTGTTATTTAGTATTTCCTTTCATTATGACTACAACATAGAGTATAATAAGTGAACATTTATTATATATAGGTGTGTTAGTCTGTTTTTATGCTGCTGACAAAGACATACCTGAAACTGGGAAGAAAAAGAGGTTTAATTGGACTTACAGTTCTATGTAGTTGGGGAGCCCTCAGAATCATGATGGGAGGCAAAAGACTCTTACATGGCGGCAGCGAAAGGCAATGAGGAAGAAGCAAAAGCGGAAACCCCTGATAAACTCATCAGATCTTGTGAGACTTATTCACTATCAGGAGAACAGTATGGGAAAGACTGGCCCCCATGATTCAATTGCCTTCCTCTGGGTCCCTCCCACAACACACAGGAATTCTGGGAGATACAATTCAACTTGAGATTTTGGCGGAGACACAGCCAAACCATATCAATAGGTGTGAAATAAAAATGAATATTTTTATTTAAAAAGTATAATTGGTATTGCACCATATATAGTTTGGTATCATGATTTTTTTTCACTCAACCTGTAATGAATAGTTTACTAAAAACTCTTCAAAAGCTAATTTAAAAGATTGCTTAGTCACTTTTTATACTGACGTGCCACAATCCATTTTTCTATTTTCTCATTGTTGGACTTTTAGTTTGTTTTGCATTGTCTACTTTTATAAATAATGTGATAATAAATATCTTTGACTACATTTCTGGTTATTTCCTTAGAATAGATTCTTGGAAGTGGAATTACTGAGTCAAAGACTATGACTATTTTAAACATTGAGATATATATATATGAAATGTCAAATTGCCTTCCAGAAAGACTGTGCCTATTTACACTCATTAGCTGTGTATGTCAACCTCTCCATACACTATCACAAGCATTGAAAACTATTGGTACATCAACCTTTGCCATTATGATAATTGATATATGGTAACCTTTTCTTTTTATTTTATTTATTTATTTTTTTGAGATGAAGTCTCGTTCTGTCACCCAGGCTGGAGTGCAGTGGCGCGATCTTGGCTCACTGCAACCTCTGCCTCCCAGGTTCAAGCGATTTTCCTGACTCAGCCTCCGGAGTAGCTGGGGCTACAGGTGTGTGCCACCACGCCCGGCTAATTTTTTGTATTTTTAGTAGAGACGGGGTTTCACTGTGTTAGCCAGGATAGTCTCGATCTCCTGACCTTGTGATCTGCCCGCCTCAGCCTCCCAAAGTGCTGGGATTACAGGCATGAGCCACTGCGCCCGGCTGATACATGGTAACCCTTTCTAATTTTCATTTTTATTACCATGGAGATTGAACAATTTTTAAGCATAAATTTACCTTGTGTGTGTGTATTGTGTGTGCATGTGTGTGTTTAAAAAATTCATATCCTTAGTTCCTTTTTCCTAGTTTAGTGGCACAAATATTTAAATATTGGTTGGAAAAAAAATACTCTTCCAACCTACCTCAGATCTGTTGTATTTCGTAGCAAAGTCTGTGGCAGAGTCATGGTCATAGCTTTGATTACTTGAAGCTCTTTGAGGGCCAGGGGGCCAGGTCATGGTCTTACTCATTCCTGAATCCCCCAACACTTTGTGCCTATGTTTGTTGAACACAGAAAGTGCTCAACAAATGTTTGAATCAAATTGGACAGAATTAATGCTGCCAGCAAGCTGAGACTTCTTCCTTTAGCCTGGAGGTAGAACTGAGCTTTCCAGAGATGTGTAGCATTTGCTCTTCTGTGTCTGTCTCACAGACCTACAGGGAACGAAGAAGAAGGTTAAACGAGGACAAGAAGCTCTGAAGGCACCATCCTCCACATTGACAGAACCATCTGGAGCATGAATTTGGGGAGAGCTTGGTTCTGAGACAGCGCTGCTCAGTCCCATGCAGACACCAGCCCTGCTCCCTGCTCCGATCAGAGTCATAAGCCACGATTCATGCTGTTAAGAGCAATTTTCATTCTTAACCTTTCTGGTATGTCTCTTCCTGATCAGTTTGTCAGCCACTCCCTTTCTCAAAGTATTTCTGTTCATGACACCTTAATTGATTTTCCATATTTTTCTGTCCAGAGCTCATTAAAATCTCATCTTCTTGCATATAATAATGTGCAAGTGTGGGAAGCACTGCTTTCCAAATTTCGGGTACTTTGAATTTTGGAGTCTTTACACTCCATGGCATTCTTGGCCCTTTGCTGGGGAGGGAGATGATGAAGATCAATCTGTCTTTCACCACCACTTCCAAAATATCCTGGGCAATGCCAAGAGAGGTATCCAGTGGCACATGAGAGCGCATGGAGAGATTACCTCTTTAACCTAGCCAAGTGTTGATTACCCAGCTATTGAAATGCCCCTTGCATATTCCTCGATCCGCCCCTCTCTCTGACGTAAACAAGGTGTCCTCTGCAGGTGAGGCTTCAGTGTCTGCTCCATACCAGTCACCTCCTTCTGTGCAGAATTCTGCATTTCCATTTCCATGAACTCACATAGTCTTCACAATAGCCCAAAGGTGGGCTGATGCCTTTAAACCCATTTTACTGACAGAGAAAGAAAGGATTGAGAAATCGGTGCACACAGTTCCCCAGTAGCTTCTGGATGGGCCCAGTCCTCCCCTCAAGCCTAATGTGCTTGCCATTCTGCACGTTTCAGTGAAAAGGCATTTTTCCAGGAGCAGGCTGAAATGTGGGCCAGCCACTCGCAGGGCTTAGGCAGTGAGTGCTCCTAGTGGTGGGAGCCCCGAGAGAGGACCTCTCCTGGTGGTTCAAGATTGTCTGATCAGGTGGTGAGGAGGAACACAGAAAAGGGCTTTGGAGGATCTGAACAAAACCACGAATGAGCTAAGAGCAGCCTTTTGATTATTACTGTCGACCCCCAGGGGCCTGGCGGGAGGATGTTGGTGTTCATCGTCCCAAGCAGGAGTTGCCCAGTGGCCTGGATCCCAGGGGGCATGCGGGAGATTTTTCAGTGTCAGTGCAGACTCCAGCCTTGCCTGTCCCCGGGGCAGAGCTTCTAATAGGAGCCACGGGTATTTTTAGTCTCACGTGTGCAGGCACAGGACAAGGCGAGCTGGACAGGAACAGCTAATAAGCCGCGGTCCTTATTAAGTTGGAAAGGATGAAATGAGGGGATGAGGGGGAGCCTGGTGGAACTTTTCACACGTCTCATTTTCAGAGAACTCTCTTTCCATAATTCACAGAGAAATATTGAGGTCAGGGTGATTATGCACAGGCCCAGTGGCAGAAGCCTGAAAGTGGGGCATGTTCAATTCCTGTGGCCTGCCGGTCCCCTCCCCACAGGGCTCTGCTCTGCCCTCCGGGCAAGGAGGTTGCGATGGAGGGATGAGCGGCTTTGGGGCTTGGCTGTCAAGGCTCCTGGGGTGGTGTGGGGGCTTTGAAAAGGACTAAATTAGAAACTGGTTCCTAATATGATATGCAAAGCCACAGGGGATAGTTGAGTGGTATCAACTATTATCCTGAGTTCATAGATGAGGAAATAGAGGCTCAGGGAGGTGTGGGACTTGGTAAGGTCACGTAGTTCAGAAGTGGCAGAGCTAGGATTCACACTCAGTGTCCTAGACCAAGGTCTATCATTATTTGCCCCCAAGGATAGGCAGTTGTGTGTAAGACCCATTGTTCATTTTACTTAACTCACAAACATCTTTTTTTTCTATGCCAACTCTGTATCAGGAACTTTATCACTGGAATGGGGCAGTGAGGATGATACAATTCCTGCTCTCAAGGAGCTCTCGATTTAGTGAGGGCAACATAGCATCAACTCCCAGCTGGACTTTGGTGCAGTGAGTGTGCAAGCTTGTCCTGTGGGCAAAGCAGACTGGGAAGTGAAATTGGCAGATTTCCAATCTTTGGTGTTGAGTGTGAGGACAGTCAGGTCTCCACTAGTACAGTCCATTTTCCTTCTGTATGGCCTCTTCTGAGGTTGAGACTGGAGAGTGGGCTAGGAAGGGGCAAGTAAGTCCTCAGCCCCTTTCTGGGCCCTGCGGCTCTAAGCATTGTGATGCTTGGAGTCTGTGGCAGGAGTCCCTTAGTGAGGATATGGGCAAGGCTGGAATGCAGGTAGCACACGGGACTGGCTGTTGTCAGCTACCCACTTCCTCACCACCCCCATCTTTATGGTTTGAGAGCAATGGGAGAGAGAATGAAAATTGTGATTTGGGAGTGAAAACATTTTAGTGAGTTTCTTGCAGCCTTCCTGCCCAGCCCAAAGCCAGCCATGGCATATGTGCTTCTGTCCATCTATTTATCCCTCCACTCCACCGCATACTTGAGCACCATGCTCTTTCATATCCATCCATCCACTCCATCTATCCGATCCATCCCACTTAGCTATTCCTTCCATTGAAACCTAGACACCACTGTGCAAACCATCAGCCAACCCCACCTTTCTGTTCCTTCCGCCTAATATGCTTTGTCCATTCACCCATTCTTTATTCATTCAGTTACCCCCCTCCCCCATTCCCATCCAATTACGATTCCTTCATTCCATCTGTAATCAACACTATGTTCTAGGACTGTGTCTGATGTTGTGGGGACACACAGATGAACGAATCTCTCTCATGTAGTTGACCTAGAAGATAGTGTGTAGATCCACTTATGAAGATAACAATGGAATTGAAGAGGGTCCCAAGAGAAGAAACACAAAGAATCTGGATGAAGGGGAAGAGACAGAGCTGAATGACGAGCAATTGAAATGCTTGGCACTCTCCTTTCTGGGAAGATATTATGAAAAGAGAGAGAAAGAGGATAAAGGGGAAAAAGGGAAGGAAGACAGGAAGGCTGGAAGGCTGGAAGGCAGGAGGCAGGAAGGAAGAGGGGAAGGAAGGAAGGAGTAGGGAAAGAAGGTGCTATGGGATGAATATTTGTGCCCCCCCCCTCAAATTCATATGTTGAGATCCTAACTTCTAAGGTGATAATATCAAGAGGTGGAGGCTTTGGGAAGTGATTAAGTCATAAGGCTGGATCCCTCACAGATAGAATTAGTGCCCTTGTAAAAGCAGTTCGAAAAACCTTCTTTGATCCTTCCGCCATGTGAGAACATAGCAAGAAGGTGCCGGCTGGGCATGGTGGCTCATGCCTGTAATCCCAGCACTGCGGAGGCCGAGGTGGGTAGATCACCTGAGGTCAGGAGTTCGAGACCAGCTGGGCCAACAGGGTGAAACCCTGTCTCTACTACAAATACAAAAATTAGCTGGGTGTGGTGATGCATGCTGGTAATCCCAGCTACCCAGGAGGCTGAGGTAGGAGAATTGCTTGAACTCAGGAGGCAGAGCTTGCAGTGAGCCAAGATCACGCCATTGCTCTCTAGCCTGGGAGACAGAGTGAGACTTCATCTCAAAAAAGAAAAAAAAAAAAAGAAGGTGCTGTCTTTGAACCAGGAAGTGTGCTCTCAACAAACACAGAATTTGCTGCCACCTTCATCTTGGATTTCCCATTGTCTAGAGCTGTAAGAAATAAATTTCTGTTGTCTATAAGCCACCCAGTTAATGGTATTTTGTAATAGCAGCCCAAATGAACTAAGACAGTGGTAAAGAAGGAAGAAAAAATATGTATTGGATGCCCACTCTATGCTGGGCCCTATGCTAGATGCCTTCACAATCTTAATCATCCCAACAACCTTTTGAGGTGGTTAGTTGCCTGCATTTTAGAGATGAGGAACTGGGCTCCGAGAAGGCAGCTATTCAGCATGAATAAAACACAAAGAACAGGGCTAGTTCAAATATGTTTGCTAATACAGAGCATCAGAGTGGAGTTTGAAGCAAACATGTCTAGGACAATTGAAAAGCATGCCACTTGACAGATAGCGTCTGGGCTGTGCTGCCTGAAGGTGTACGTGGATAGCAACCACAAAGTCTATCACTCAGTGAGAAGGAGGTGGTGGGCATGCACAGCTATTGGAGTCTGATGCCAGGTTGTGCCTGTTTGACAGGGAACTAAACCATCCCTTGGCAGCTGTATCAGATCCAGGGTCCTACTGGAGGATTCCTGACCCTGGGCTCTCTGGCCAGAATTTGCCAGGTACCCTCAGTCCAGATCTGTGGGCATTCACACAGCCAGTTTAATGTCCAGCTTCGCTTTTCTGATCCAGGATCTCCTCTTGGGGATGGGGATGGAGGTAGAGCAGAACCCCAGAGAGGAGAGGTCAGCTTTGCCTCTCACTGCTAATGCTTCAGCCAGGGCTCCATGTGCCCCAGATACAGGCCCCTCTGGCACCCAGGATGTGCACAGTTTTCTGCGGGTACATCATTCCTGGCACTTTCTAGGTCCACCCCGTGCTCATTGCTTGGTACCACCAAACTGTCCCCTGACTGTTCTGATGAGTCTCTGAGGACTATTGATTGACAGTCGCTGTCCCATGGCTGAAGTATTCACAAATGTTTAGGTAGGTGGCTCAAGTAACCAAGAGCTCTAGTAACATCCCAGGGTGAAGGGCTTGGTTGGGGTGAGGCAGATCAGCAGATCACTAGACAGATGCCTTCTCACTGCTGCAGAGCCTGTGGAGTAAGGATAAGGCAGAGGCTGGGGGAGAGTGTCAGTGTTAATTAGATATTCTAGAATCATAGAGCTCTCATTCACGTGAGCCCTGCTGCTGCCCACAAACCCCGGGGGCCTTCTATTCTCTGAAGTCAGTCTGTCCGTCTGCTCAGAAACCTACTTGGCTTTGTCTTTGCCAATTCCAGAGAGCAGCATTTGGGGGAAAGGGAGTGCAGGTTCTCAAGTCCTGGTGCTGGGTCCAGTGGATCATTCCCTGGCATGCGGGGCCCCAGAGGGGCCAGGAAGGAGGGATATGGGGATGGGGAGAGTGGCTGCACCAGGCCTGAGTTACCTCAGCTGTCCTTCCTCTCCAGCTTTCCTCTTGGCATGGCGGGGCTGCCCACTGGCCAGCTCAGCTGTCCTCCTTGCTCACCATGTAATCCCTGCCAGGAAGAGAGGAGGGAAATCTGAGCCAGGCCTTCTCCCACTGCATCCTGCCATCCTGTCCTCCCTACAGCCAGAAGGGAGGGTAGGATGGGGTGGGGACAGGGAAGAGCAGGGCTTGGGGAGAGCTTCTAGGCCTAGCTGCTGCTGGGCTGCTGCAGGGGTGGGCGGACTGTGGGGTGTGTGGGAACCACAAGACTCGGGCCTTCCCTCTGGAGCCTGCACCTAGGGGCTGCTCTGGCCTCCTCCGGCATCTGGACACCTGTTAGGCTGATTCAATTTACCGCCTGCTCTTTGCTTCCCTGTGTCTTGGAGAGCCCCTACTGGGTATTTTTATTTTCATCCTAAAAAGGCCGTCTAGGAACCAGGGAGTTGAAGTCCCAGCATTCCCAAGTGAGTCACAGCTTCAGCCTCCTTATCTGTAACCCAGCAGCAATCACACCCTCTGTCCAAGGTGGAAGGCAAAATGAGGCAATGCAGAGTGTGCCCTCAGCACACAGCCAGGCACACAGTAGTGACTGCTCACAAGCAGCACCAGCCCAAACCTGAACCTAGGACACAAGCGCAGACATGCAGCCCTGTGGCTGACCTCACACTCGGGGCTTCTCTGGCATTTGGGATGGGAAGAGCAAGGACAGAGACAGCCCTCTGTGCATGTACCTCACTCTGGGATCTCAGATACATCAGGGTGGTGATGTGCGCACAGGTGTTTGTGTGGGGTGGCTCTCTATGGCAAGGATGGGGCCATTTGTTTGCGTTTTCCTAGAACAGCCTACCTCCTGGCACATGACAGGTGTTTCTTTAAGCAGTTTTGTGTGTGTGTGTGTGTGTGTTTGTGTGTGTAAACAAGCCATTCGAACTTTAGCTACCCTACTAGTACCATGGAATGTTGGAAGAGTCTTTTCATTTTTTTGGGCCCTGGTTTTCTCATCTGAGTAATGGGTATATTGATTCCTGCCTGAAGCTGCTGCTCTGAATTCAGCACTGGCTTGCTGCATGGCCTGCAGTAAATAAAGGGTTCCTTGACATCTGTTTCCCCTATCCCCCAGTGAAGATATTTTTCTCAGGTTGCTTTGGAGTCTGACCCAGGAAGAAGAGAAGGAAATGGTGGGAGCAACAGGGGCAGGGGAGGGAGCTCTGGCTTCTCAGCAGACACTCGCATGCTCTGTAGACTGAGGTGGGCAGAGCCACCCTCAGGTCAGGTGCACAAGGCCACTTCTGGTCCCACCCTGTAGGTCTGGGAGAAGTCCGGCAGGGGCTTCAGGGCACTCCAGACTGGCTTCTTCTCCCCATCTCCTGATATGAAGGGGATTGGGCTGGGGGAATGGGTCCAGGGCATCTACACTGCTGTGACCACTTCCTCTCAGTGAGAAAGGTCAGGGCTGGCCTGGTGTCCATGGGGGACTCCTACCTCCTGGTGCTGCCCCTGGATCTGGGGAAAGGCTACTGCATGCAAGGCTCCTCCCACCCCATCCAGTTCCCTGAGGCCAGGCTTCTGGCCCCTGGAGTGGCTGTTGCACAAGCAAGGTGGGAGCCTGGCCTGTTTCAAGGTTACCCAAGGCAGGCGGGCCCAGGGCTGGGCTTGGACCTGGATCACAGTGGTGACAGCAACCTGTTTGTGACAGTACAGTTTGCACTCCCCAGGTGGTCGCTGAAAAGCCACCACTGAGGGAGGGGCCTCCGTGATGAAAAGGGGCCTCTGGCCAAGGCCTGACAGCCATCTGTTCCCGGCCGCCAGCCCGGAGTCCTCCAGGAAGGGTGAAGACAGGGGAAGAGAGAGAGGGGAAACAGAGGACACACACACACACACACACACACACACACACACACACACACACACACACAGAGAGAGAGAGAGAGAGAGAGACAGGGACAGAGCGAGACAGACAGAGACATTGAGAGACAGACAAACAGACACAGAGACATAGGGACAGACAGAGGAAGAAAGAACAGCAGAAAGGCAGAGAGACAAATATGGAGGAAAGATAGCCAGAGGAAGGGAACAAAGACACTAAGAATGAGGATGAGAGAAGTCGAGGGGCAGAAAGAGACAGAGACCGAGACATAGGGAAAGAAACAGAAGGACAGGAAAGTCAGAGAGAGACAAAGAAAGACAGAGAGAACAACAGAAACAGAATGAAGGGAACCAAAGGGATCAAGAGACAGAGAGAGTGAGACAGGGAGAGATGAGAGAGAGACAGAGAGACAAGGAAATTCCCTGAGACAGATTGAGAGGGTGCTTGTGCGCTGGCTGGCATCAAAGTGAGGGTAGAGAGACAAAGTCCTGGGCAAGCTCTCTGATGGAAGGAGGACCCTCATGAGCCAAATCCCTTCCAGCCTCAGCACGTTCAGAAGGAAGAAGCCACACGGGATCACAGCCTCTGGGCCCAGGGTCCTGACAGTGGTTTTCAGACCTTAGTAGTCAGCAGACTCACCTGCGGGGCATGTGCAAATGCAGGTGCCTGGGACCAACCCAGAGTCTGATTCACAGGTCGGGGAGACGAGAAATCTGTATTTCTAACCTGTTCCCAAAAAAGTCTTTCGTAGGGATTGTACCAATCACAATGAGAAATGCTGCACCAGGATATGCCAAGCATTGGTCCCCCATCTCCCTCTCATCTCTCCCCAGACTGTGGAGCCCCTGAGTGGGCAGGGGGCAGGCAGGAGCCAGGGCACGAGGTGCTCTGAGGGTACTTTCTCCACAGTTGCTGGAGGCTTCCTATACCTTTTGCTTCACCAGCTAACAATCCCCCAGGAAGGGGTGGAGGCCCTTCATCAACCCCTGGAAGGGCAGCCTGGGAGGCACCTCGGAGGTCATGACTCAGTCCCAGCCACTCTGCACTGTTGGAGGAGTCTCTGTGGCCGGGCCAAGGCAAAAAAGACACATGACTCATTCATTTATCCAGCTCTGCTACGTGCCAGGCTCTGTCCTATCAGTTCATTTCATTCTCTTAAATAGATGAGGGATCCTCATTGATGCCACCTTAGGGATGAAGAAATGAGGTCTAGCGATGGCAAGTAACACACCCAAGGTCACAAAGCGAGTCAGTGGCACAGCCTGCACTAGAATCTGGGTCTGTTTTACCGGAAAGCCCATGCTCACTCCCAACATCCCCTGTCCCCTGTGTCTTTTAATGACTCTATTGCCTCTCAGGCTGAGATCCCAAACTCAGCTCTGGGCTCCTCCCCCGCGTCCTCCCCATCCAATCGGTGTCCGAGGCTACCAGTGCCAGATCCACAACAGCTCTCATTCATCACCATCTTTTTCCATGGTATGCCTCTTCCCAGATTCAACCTTCATACCGCTGGCCCAGACCTCGGCAGTCATCTTCCAGCTCACTTCCCCCCGACTAATGTTGTTACATAAAGCACTGGAAGTGAGTGAGATGATTTTAAGTGGCTATCTTTCCAGGTACTCTAACAAAACAGAGCCTAAGGTAAATTTCCATGCTAACATTTTACAGGAGAGGAAGGGTGGGGGTGAAATTTCAGGGCAGCAAGCTTGAGGGGAATGCTGTGAGGTGGTGGCGGGAGAGGCAAATTCAGGGGGTGCATTACTGAGTTGGTCACAGTCTTCAGAACAAAGCTTCTTTCTTTGGGCACCTGGGTTGTTTCCAGAAAAAGAATCATGAAAACAGTATGTGTGCATGGGTGAAAGGACAAGGAATTTATCCCCTCCTTCTCATCTCTTAACTGGCACTGGTGAAAGTTCACCCGGGGGAAGACATTAATTTCCCTGCACTTCTAGGTTGTTGCTTGGGCAGCCATGAGACACACTGACTGGGTGTTCAGCTGTGGCCGCTCCCACAGTGGTGGGCATGATGGTGGCTGTGCCATGCCCAGCCCTCACCCCTTGAGAAGGCAGAGATGGCTGGTCTGTTGGGAGTTAAAGTGAGGAAGCCAGTGGCCAGGTTCTCTTCTGGGTAGGTGACCAAGACCCCGGGGCAAAGAGAGCCAAGCAGCTCTGCTGGGGATCATCAACTGGGTATGATACAGGAGGGCATCTTTTATTGGTGAGTAAGATGATACAGAGCAAAGTAGGCAACAAATATAAATCAGTTTGGTCAAGTTCAAATTGTATTAAAAGATATATAGACTTGATAACAGGGAAACAACAGGGTCAATGGAACACTCACAGGTCTGCCTCCAGATGTATCTGCCCTGGTGACACGTCCTGGGAGGGGACTCCTTGGCTCCAGGTGTGGTGGCCAGCATGCCTCATGCTCCGACCAGCATTGGGGTTCTGACTGAGGACAGACTTGCAGGAACCGCCTCACATCAGACCTCAGGTCTCTGCTAAAATCCTACTGATGGAAATACTTGGAACTGGAAGTGTGGACCAGTCTGGGTTGGTCTGGGGGCTACACTGTGATGCTGCCCTGGAAGGAGGAGTTGGCTGCCTGTAGAACTGTGTAAACCCAAGTCTGCACTTGGAGAACTCTTGAGTCTCTCTGACCTACTGTTTCTTGTGCAACCCTGGCCAGGTCAGGGAGGGAGGAAGCCATGAAGCCTATGGTCATGAGAACTTCTTATCTGCCAAGCTGTCTACCTCGGCCTGAAGAGGAAGCTGAGGATAGAGAAAGGCTGTCCAGGTGTGAGCTGCTCAGGAGGGGAGCTTGCCAGCAGCCCTTAGCCCCCAGGAATTGAGCCCACCTAGAGTGGAGAGCAGAACTAGGAGGTGGCATTATAAAGTAATCACTTCCTTGACCATCAAGACAAGCCAAGAACATATCATGGAGCTGCTTTTAGCAAAGCAGATTTTCAGTATCTTCTAAGTCACTTTCTGTCTGAGTGGTGTCCAGTTCACCCTCATGATAAAATCACTTATATTTTTTCTTTTAACTGAACTCTATGGTTCTTCAGGTTGACTACCACTCACATCTTGTAGATTTCCACATTTCCATTTTTCACTTTCCATTTTTCCCTTGGATTGGTTTCTTAATAAAGCATATCTTATTGTCACATTTCCATCAAAGACCACCATGTCCATCTCTGCCACCTCCACTACCTCCACCACCTTCACTCCCAACCCCAACCCTCAAAGAACTCGTCTTATATTTCAGAGACCCTCAATTTTCAAATTAGCAAGCAATGAAAGGGAAGCTGACTGGTGCGGTCTAAGGAGCACAGACCATGTATTTAGGGCAGTATGCTTCCTTCTTCTTCCTTTTTTTTTTGAGACAGGGTCTTACTCTGTTACCTGAGCCTGGCTGGAATTCAGTGGCATGGTGGTCACTGCTCACGGCAGCCTTGACCTCCTGGGCTCAAACAATCATCTCACCTCAGCCTCTCGAGTAGCTGGGACTGCAGGCATGTGCCCCTACACGCGGCTTAATTTTTTAAATGTTTTTTGTAGAGAGAGGGTTTTGCCATGTTGCTGGCTGATTTTAAACTCCTAGGCTCAAGTGATCTGCCCACCTCGGCCTCCAAAGGTGCTGAGATTACAGGCGTGAGCCACCACACCTGGCCCTACTCTTTGTGAGCCTGTTCTTGGGGTTCTGGTCAGATACTGTGTTGGGGTGATGTCCTGCCTTCATCCTCTACCCACTCCCTCCGCCCTGATACTTGTGGCCCACGTAATCCAGAAGTCTGGCAGTGCAGTAATGAGGAGGGGGGTCTTGGGCCCAAGTTGCTTTTCAGCTGGTTGGCATAGTATGGCTGCCCCAGGCTGCCCCAGGTACTATCAATTCTGATTGATCAGCTTCCGCATGGTGTGGATCATTAAATATTTTGCACAACACCAGTGCTACCCCATGAGAACTGTGACTCAGTTTATTTTACTTATTGAGGAGGCTAATGGTGATTTCAGTGATGACAAAGCTCTTTAGCTCCATGGTTTCTGTAGGACTAAAGTGTCTGGTTAATTGAATCAAGATTTTAAATAAAAATAGAGCCAGTACATGTTAAAAAGATGGAATCTGGGGTATGGCAAATAATTTCTGTGCACAAGAAAAGGTTTTAATGGTTACCAACTAGATTATTGCTATAGACTGAATGTTTATATCCCCTCAAAATTCATATGTTGAAACCTAATCCCCAATGTGATGATATTTGGAGATGGAGCCTTTGGGAAGTGATTGGGTCATAAGGACAGAGCCCTTCTGAATGGGATTAGTGCCCTTTTAAAAGAGACCCTGAGAGCTCCCTTGCCCTTTCTGCAATGAGAGGTTATGGTGAAAAGTCTACAGCAACCTGGAAGAGGGCCCTCATCAGAACCCCACCATGCTGGGACCCTGATCTCAGACTTTCAGCCTCTAGAACTATGAGAAATAAATTTCTGTTGTTTATATGCCGATCAATAATAATTTACTATAGCAGCCTAAATTAAGATAATAATCCAAATCAAATATGATTTTTGAGGCTCTCTGAGCTATTTTCACAGAAAGTTTTACAAGCTATTTGCCTCCAATATGAACACACTCTTCCCCAAACCACACACAGTCCCTTTGCATATAAAATTTAAATTTTGTTAAAAAAAGAGTTGCTAGCTATGGGGGTCCCTGATTTGATGAAAACACTTGAGGAAATGCTCTGGGGGAATCTTAGATGGTCATAGTCAGAGCCTCCAGTGTGAAGAGAACAGAGTGGGGATCAATGGAGAAAATAAGGCAGTGTCCCATCATTGCAAGGAAGTTCCTTATGGAGTCAGCCAGCCATGGAACAAGAGATGATGCTGTTGAGAATAAATGGTAAATTCCTAACTCTCACATTAGCAGGACAGTGAAGTCTGATGACACCATGGCTGGCTGTGGATGAATGGACTACTTAGAAACTGAATATAAACTGTTACCGTAATTTTGGAGAGCTATTTGGCAACATCTGATAAAACTGAAAAGTGTATACCTCATGAACCAGGTCAGATCATGTACATGGTTGCTTATCACAGCAGAGTTCATAAAGCTTAAAAATGGGGAAATGTCTATGGCAGGAGGTATTGTATAAATCATGGAGTCCTCCCATACTGTATACTGTAGAGCAGTTACAATGCACTAGATCTACATGGAAACGTGTGGATGAACATCTACAACACAAAACTGAATGAATTAACTACAGTTAGAAGGATATTATAGTATGACATCATTTAGCTATAGTTTTAAAACATGCAAAACAATATATATTGTCTACAGATACATACATTTGTGGTAAAAGTCTAAAAAATGAATAGAATGCACCACAACTTCAGAATAGTGTTTCCTCTGGGGCGGAAGGGAGAAGAAGGCATTGGAGAGGGATTCATAGAGATCATCAATACATGTGTCATATTTACTTTTTAAAAAAGATCTGACTACACAGCCATAAAAAAGAATGAAATCATGTCCTTTGCAGCAACATGGATGCAGCTGGAGTCCATTATCCTACGCGATCTAACTCAGAAACAGAAAAGCAAATACTGCATATTCTCACTTATAAGTGGGAGCTAAACAATGGCACACATGGACATAAAGAGGGGAACAATAGACACTGGGGCCTCCAAAAGAGGGCAGGGTGGAAGCGGGCTGAGGGTTGAATGATCACCTATTGGGTACGATGTTCATTATTTGGGTAATGGGTGCATTAGAAGTTCAATCCCCACCAGTACTGCAATATACCCATGTAACAAATGTGCACATGTATGCCTTATCTAAAATGAAATAAAATTAAAAGAAAATCTGAAGCAAACATAGAAGAAAAATGTTGACCTTTGTTCACTTCCAGTGGCGAGCATGTGGGTATTTGTGATATTACCAACTGTACTTTTCTGTATGCTTGAAACATTTCATAAGGAAAATAATAAATGTGCAAAGACATAGGAAAATCCAGAGTCCTGCTTTTAAGGAAGTGTTTAAACAAAAAGCTGCAGGAGTGTCTGCTGCTGGGTACAGTGAACAAATGCTTTCTACACAGGGGTGGCAGAGTGGTGGGGGTGGCCTGAATGAATGAAAAATCAGAAAAAGGGTTTGAGCCCTTGCCCTGACTCTCATGGCTTTTGGGACATTTTAGTTGGTGGCGATGTCCACCAACTGAGCTGTTTTCTCATCTGTGAAATGGGTTGCTGTGAGCCAAGGGAGGCAATGTGTGTGGATGTAGGTGGGGAGCAGTGAGTCACACACAGTGAGGGTGAGGACCTGGGCTGGCCAGAGCTGTCCTCCAGAAACCTGCAGTGATAGATGGTTGTCAAGTAATACCTCAACAAGTGTGTAGGGTGGAGTGTTGAAACCAATTTCAAAAATGACTCTCCTACCTCTCCAAGGACCGCCAAACCCCATCTGTAAAAAATGGGGTACACTGATTATATCATTGGCCACCAGAGTCAGATTGAATTCATACTATCACCCAGTCACTGCCATGTGTTCATGTGTCACCTCTCTGAGTTTTTTCTTGCAGCTAAAAATGAGTAATAATAGTAGCATCTGCCTCGTTAGGTTATTCTGAGGAATAAATGAGATTTCACATATAAAGTGCTTAGCACAGACCTCAGCACTTAGTAAGCTGTCAGAAAATGTTAACTGGTTATTGTGACCATTGTTACTTCTGGGTCTGAGCCTAAAAACAACTACCAAGAAACATTTTGCTAGCTTAGATTCAGTGATATTTATGACTTGAAAATAAGGCCAAGGAGAATATGGTTGCTAAATTCAAAATTGTCATGATTCTGGTTTATTTTCTTCCTAATTAGATATTCTGTAGCTTTTATAATTATGCCTCTGAAAAAGGGGGAAAGGCAAATAATCAGAAATCTGGCAAAAGGCAGCTGATTTTGCACCTCTTTCTTGAACACTCTCATTCCGGGGGCTCCCAGTTTCGTCATAAATGGCTTCTCTTCCCAATCTCTCCCTTGCCTTCTCTCCATGCTGGCTCTTGTCTTCCTCTTACTGTTGGTCCCTTCTGTCCTGGCTCTCTACGTACTCATTCTGTCTTCTGGCTTCAGCTCCAATTATGTGTTGGATACCTGGCCCCTTGCCCCAGCCCAAGCCTCCATCAACCATTGCCTGGACCATGTGGTAGCTCCCTCCCCATCTCGCTCCACAGCACAGCAGAGTGAGTGTTTAGCAATGCAGCTCTAATCATGTCATGTCCTGGCTTACGTTGTTTCAATAGTTTCCCTTTACTTATAGGATGAAGCTCCAATCCTTGGTAGGACCTGTAAGGCCCTGCATGGGTGGTCTTAGCATCAAGCCTGAGCTCTCCCACCCTTCATAGTACTTCCACCCCTCCGTGAAAACTCCAGGATTCAACTGCCCTGAATGAGGTGGATCACATTCTCTTTTACTCTTCATCAGGTCTTCAGGAGTAAATTTTGTGCCTTTGTTCATACCTAAAGACTGTAATCATTAAGGAGATACCACCATCCATCAAGAACCTCGTCCCAGAACCCCTGACCTCTGTTAACTCCAGTGCTTTTCACTCATCCTGTCCTAGAACTACCTCCTCTCTGAGATCTTCTCCAACCACAACCTGACGTCCCCCCTCCAACTGTCTCATGGCCTCATATAGAAGCCATTGGACTTCCTGGAGACCTCCAGTCCTGAAGTCCCACCCTCCTCCCTGGCCATCAGCTCCTTTTGGCCTCTCTTCCTTCCCTGCAATGCGTGGTGCCTTCAGTGGTCCATCAAAATGGCTCTCTCACTACCTCCCAGGATTCTCTCATATCCCTCCTTCTGCCACACACGCCTGACAAAACATCAACCCTGGCTCAGTGTGGCAGCCAGCCTGGAGAACAGAACATGGCCCGCCCTGAGGGTCAGGACCTCCAGTAGCAGCTGGGCCCTTGGTGCTGCCCTTTGTCCTTTTGTGTACCCTGGATTGTCTCATCTCCATTCTTCTCTGGAACACCTGAAACCTTCATCCCTTTCCTTCTGAGTCCTCAATTTAATCCCTTCCCCATCCCCTCCACCAGCAGATGACCTCATCTCCTACTACTCCTGCAGACCACCTACAGACTTATGCACAGGCACACCATTCTCTCCCTTCTGCAGGACAACCCCAAATCTGGGCTCATTGGCCACATTCTGTGGTGAGCACCCGTATTTTTGCTACCTGTGGTCTATCAATCACTCTTCCGGTAAAACAGAGCCCCAAGGTTTATTTGGGGGCCCACCATCTCTTACTCTGATCCCAGGTTTTCCTGAGGTTAATCCTATGTCCAGGTCCATGTCTAAACTAATCAGCAAAATTCATTCCATTGGACACAGTGATTAGCTTGTGGTTGTGCACATGAACCAATTTGGATCAATGAGAACCTGACCCTGACTTTTAGTGTACTGTTGGGGTGAGGTGTACTGTCTTTCCTACAGAACACAAACTTCCAGCTGTAGAAAGTCATCTCATAGTGTCAAGAAGTGAGTCTGTCATCAACAAAATATAGGCAAACCAAATCTGGGAACATATAAAAAGATAATACATCATGAAGAAGTGGGATTTATTCTAGGAATGCAAGGTTGGCTCAACATAAGAAAAGCAACAACTGAAATATACCATATTAATAGAATAAGGACAAAAACCACATGATCATCTTAACTGTTAGGAAAAAGCATTTGACAAAATCTAACATTATTTCATATTAAAAACACTCGACAAACTAGGAATATAAGGGAACTTTTTTAATTTGATGAAAAAAATCCATGAATATCACACAGCCAACATAAACTTAATGGTAAAAGACTGAAAGCCTTCCCCCTAACATTTGGAACAGGACATGCATATCTGCTCTTACCATTGCTACTTTAAGAAGGTTCTTTTCAGGGAAATTAAACAAGAAAAAGAAACAAAAGGCATCCAAATTGGAAAGCAAGAAGCAGAACTAATTGAAGATGATATGATCTTATATAATAAAAATCCCAAGGAATCCATGAAAAATCATTAAATCTAATGAGTTTAATAAGGTAGCAGGAAACAAGATCAATATATAAAAATTAATCATTTTTCTTTACCTTAGCAGTGAACATTCCAAGAATGAAATCAAGAAAGTAGTTCCATTCACAATGGCATCAAAATGAATAAAATACTTAAGAATATATTCAACAGAAGAAGTACAAGGCTTGATACTTCAAAAGATCTTCAAAAGAAAAGGCCTTTAAAAATGAAAAACATTCTATATTCATGGATTGAAAGATTTCATATTAAGATCCCCAAACTGATCTACAGATTCAACACAATCCCAATCAAAACCAGCTGCCTTTTATTGTAGAAACTGGAAAATGCTGAGCATAAAATTCATATGGAAATGTAAGGGACCCAGAACAGCCAAAACAATGAAAAACAACACAATTGGAGAACTCATACTTTACAGTTCAAAACTTACCACAAAACTTCAGTAACCAATACTGTGTAGTCTGGCATATGAATAGACAGATAGATAAATGGAATAGAATCAAGAGTCCAGAAATAAACCCATACATCTATGGTCAATTGATTTTAAACAAGGGTGTCAAGACAAACAGGGAAAGAGTAATATTTTCAACAGACGATTCTGAGACAACTGGATATCCACATGGAAAAAAAATGAAGTTGAACAACTGTCTCATACCATAACAAACATTAACTGAAAATGTATGATAGACTTAAATGTAAAAGTTAAAACTATAAAACTCTTAGAAGAAAACATAGGTGTAAATCTTCATGATCTTGGATAAACAACCATTTCCCAGATATAACACAAAAAAGCATGAGCAATCAAATAAAAAATAAATGAATTGGACTTTCTAAAAACAAAATGTGTTTGTGCTGCAAAGGACACTATCAAGAAAGTGAAAAGTTCACTCACAGAATGGAAGAAAATATTTTAAAGTCATATGCCTCATCAATGACTCATATCTACACTATATAAACAACTAATACAACTCAATACTAAAAGACAATCTGATTAAATAATGGCCAAAGGCTTTGAATATACATTTCTCCAAAGATGGTATACTAATGACCGGTAAGCACATGAAAAGATTCTCAGCATCATTAGTCATTAGGAAAATGCAAATTAAAATCACAATGAGGTATCACTTCATGACCACTGAAAAGGTATACGTAATAAAAAAGATAGATGATAACAAGTGTTGGCAAAGATGCAGAGAAATTTGATCCCTCAAACATTGCTGGTGGGAATGTAAAATGATACAGCCACATTGGAGTGCTTCTGGCTGTTCCTCAAAAATTGTAACACAGTTACCATATGTACTACTCAGCAATTCCACTCCTAGGTATACACCCAAGAGAAGTGAAAATGTATTACTCAGCAATTCTGCTCCTAGGTATATACCCAAGAGAATTGAAAATGTAAGTTCACCCTAAAATGTATACGTAAATAGCAGCATTATTCTTAACAGCTTTAAAGTGGAAACAACCTAGATGCCCATCAACTGATGAATGAATAAACAAGCTATGGTATACCCATACAATGGAATATATTTAGGCATGGAGAAGAATGGAGCAGTGATACATGCCACAACATGGATGAACCTTGAAAAAAATCATGCTGTGTGAAAAGAACCAATCACAAAAGATGACATATCATATGACTCCATTTGTATGAAATGTACAGAATGGGCAAGTTCAAAGAGATAAAAAGTAGATTCTGGTTGCCAGGGGTTTGGGGTAGGGAAAAATGGCGGAGTGACTGTCAATGTGTGCAGGTTTTCTGGGAGGTGACAAAAATGTTCTGAAGTTAGACAGTGGTGATAGTTACACAAACTTGTTAATATAACAAATAGTGATTGTAAAGAAAAACAAATTGTAAGGGTGAATTTTATGGTATGTGAACCGCATCTCAATTTTTAAAAAGAGAATATTAAAAGTGAGTCTGTCTGAGAACGGGGTCAACAGTGAGGAATTGAGGACAGGAGATGGAGAAGGAGAAACAGGATCCCATGATATCACTTGAGCCCCTATAATCAGTTGTGCCAGAAGTCAGACTACCTTGGAATGTGTCAGTTATGTGAGCCAACACATTCCCTGCTTCCTAGGTTGGGGTGGGTCGGATTTTCTATCGCTTACCCCCAGAGGAACCTAGCCTGGCAGACATGTCCTGTGCCTTCCTCTGGGCAACGCTGTTTCCTTCTGCATTTCCATCTCCACGTATTGGCTCCTCGCTCATGCTTCTTCCACTAGAAAAATAGTTCTCCCGGCCAGGTGCAGTGGTTCACGCCTGTAATCCCAGCACTTTGGGAGGCCGAGGCAGGTGGTTCACGAAGTCAGGAGTTTGAGACCAGCCTGACCAACATGGTGAAACCCCGTCTCTATTAAAAATACCAAAAAAATTAGCTGGGCGTGGTGGTGCGTGCCTGTAATCCCAGCTACTGAGGAAGCTGAGGCAGGAGAATTGCTTGAACCCGGCAGGAGAATTGCTTGAACCCGGCAGGCGGAGGTTGCAGTGAGCGCAGATGGCGCCATTGCACTCCAGCCTGGGCAACAGAGAGAGACTCCATCTCAAAAAAAAGTTCTCCCTTGACTTTACTTCGCACCCTTTTCTCTTCCTCATTTCACTCAAATCTCCCAAAGAGTGGTCATCCACACTTGCTGTTTCCGTTTCCATGTGTTTACCTCTGAACCCTCTTCTTCTGGGTCCTGCCCCACACTGCGCGGGCACTCTACTGCTCCCCTGTGGCCACATGCAGCAGGTGCACCTTCATGGTCCTCTTGTGCTTGTCCCACAGGGTTGGTGCCCACCTACCTCCATCTGGGGGAGCTCTGAGTTCTCTGGGCTTCCCTTTGACCTTGCTCCTCAGCTTCCTCGATGGCCCCTGATTTCTCTGCTCATTCCTGGACATTTGTGCCTCACTGACTCTGGCTAGGGCTAGGGTTAGGGTGAGGGTTAACCCTAACTGCTCTCATCTTCTCCTCCTTCTCCCTGGGCTGCTGCCTCCATGCTCAGGACTTTGAGCTCCATTCCTCATGACTGAATCCCTTGCCTGAGATTCAGATTAGCCCTCCCCTGTTCCCCACTTGTTTGGAAGCACCCCCATGGACGCAGTCACTCATGCTGGCAACATTCCTCCTCCCTCTCCTTCCCTTCACATAGTCATGCAGTCACCAAGTCACGCCGTGTCCCAAGTATTCCTGGCATGCTTTCTCTCTCCACGTCCCTATCACTACCACCCTCTGTGCCAGTCTGCTTGCTGGTCTCTTTGTCTCCAGTCTTCTCCCCTCCAGTTCCCCTTCTTGCACTTGATTTTAAAACACAAATCTCAGTATGCCACTCCCTGCTCAAACCCACAGGGGTTCAAGTGCAAGCCTTTGGCAGGGCACCTGGGCCACCTGGTGCTGGGCTCCCACCTGCTTCTCAGATGCC
Source organism: Homo sapiens (assembly GCF_000001405.40). Taxonomy (NCBI): domain Eukaryota; kingdom Metazoa; phylum Chordata; class Mammalia; order Primates; family Hominidae; genus Homo; species Homo sapiens. The sequence goes on from NC_000003.12 coordinate 134,678,119, forward strand.
CTCCCGCTGCCTCTGCTCATGCTGTGCTCCTCCAGCCCAGAGCTGCTTGTTGGTAGCCACAGGGAACATGCTGCCCTGTTTCTCTCTGTGATGTGTTGCTCTCCTGCCCTCCGCTCCTTCCTGACACATTCCTATTTCCCTTAAGACTGGGCCAGGTGACAACTTCTTGGAAATACTTTTCTGGACACCCCACTCCAAGTCCATCCTCTCTGTACCCCCACCCAGGCCAGGTCATGTGCTCTTCCTCTGGTTTCCACAACCCTCTGGACTTGTCTCTATGAGTCTATTACATTGTTTAAATAGGCTTCACATCTATGCTGTGTGCTTCTGGAAGGAAAGGCTGTGCATGTTCCTGGTGCCTAGTGTAATGCCCAGCCCTCACCAGCTGCTCAATGAGTGTTTAATGAATGCTGGAGTGAACCATAACAGCTAACACTCTCCAGCCACTCACTGTGTTTCAGGTACTGCTCCAAAACCTCTTTATATATTAACTCATTTAAATCCCTCAACACTTATGAAGTGGGTTCTATAAGTGTCCTCATTTTACAGATGAGGATACCAAGGCACAAGGAGGCTAAGCAACTTACCCAAGGTAGTGCAGCTAGATTCAAGCCTAGCTCTAGGGACTTGACCCATACCCACCTCACTGTGCTGCTGCTACAGCTCTGCCTGCATCCCATGCTGACTTCTGCTCATGCACCCCCTCCACTTGGAATGTTAGTGGCTGATCACCTTCTCCACCTGGTTCAAGACCCAGCTGAGGCCCTGAGCTTGCTGGCACAGTGCAAATGGGCCCCTAACATATGACATTCATTGTAACAAAGAATAGTTCCCCCAGAGCTCATTCAGGTCTCAGTACAAATTGTCTTGTAGCCTGACAAAGAAAGCTGGTGATGTATAGACCCATTGTATACTGGGTGTTAAGAGATATCACCATTGACATCCATGCTTTTGGAAATGTCATCTTTTTTGTTGGAGGATGGTAGTTTACTCAAAAGGAAAAAGAAACATATATTTTAATATTTTTCATTTATTTGATATAATTATAGTTTATATAATGCTGCCATTTATTTGCTTTATCTTATTTAATCTTCTATATTTTCCTGTGCAGTGCTCAAGACAGGTTAAACCCATTTTATTGAAGAGAAAACTGAATATTAATGACACTAAGTAACTTGCTCAAGGCCCCACGGCTCATTTGGACCCAGGTTCGTCCACTTCTAATACTTGTGCATATTCCTTGCTTGATGTAAGCATCTGAACAATATCTGGCCACAGAGCAGAGCTGCAGTGGAGCATCATGCAGGCAGTGGGTGGCAGAAGCAGTCCTTAGGAGTCTCGGGAGCAGTCCAGCAGCACATCTCACTGCAGAACAGCATGGAGGGCTTCTTACCACACTCTTACTTCACCAAGTTAATTAGGTTTTTCTCTTTAAGAACATATAAACTATTATGGACTGGCTTGTATCTCCCTGCAATTTCATATGTTGTAGTCTTAACCTCCAGTACCTCAGACTTGACTGTATTTGGAGATATGGTCTTTAAAGATCTAATTAAGTTAAAATGAAGTCATCAGGGTGGGCTCTAATCCAACATGACTGGCAATTTTGTTTGTTTGTTTTTGAGACAGAGTCTGGCTCTGTTACCCAGGCTGGAGTGCAGTGGTGCAACCTCGGCTCACTGCAACCTCTGCCTCCCAGGCTCAAGCTATCCTCCCACCTCAGCCTCCAGAGTAGCTGGGACTACAGGAGTGCGCCACCACATCCAGCTAATTTTTGTATTTTTTGTAGACACGAGGTGTTGCCATGTTGCCCAGGCTGGTCTTGGAACTCCTGGGCTCATGCCAGCCACCTGCCTTGGCCTCTCAAAGTGCTGGGGATTACAAGTGTGAGCCACCATACCTGGCCAACTGGTGTTCTTATAATAAAAGGAGATTAAGACACAGACACACACACACACAGAAGGAAGATCATGTGAAGACACAGGGAGAAGACAGCCATGTGCAAGCCAAGGCGAGAGGCTTCTGGAGAAACCCACCCCACCAACGTCTTGATCTTGGACTTTTAGCCTCCAGAGCTATGAGAAAACAAATTTCTGTTCTTGAAGCCACTCAGCCTGTGATACTGGCAGCCCTAGCAAACTCATACACACATACATTTTAAACTCGGTTTAATCCTGTGACCATTCACTTATGTTCAGTTTTTAAATAGTCCTAGTCTTATGACCACTGTTAAGTTCACCAAAACAAAGGCCATTGGGGAAAGGGGCCTGTAACTCTTGATTGAAACAGCCATTGAGGAGACTGTGCGCTGTGAAGCACATTGATGAGGCAAGAATTCTGTACAACCATGTGCACATCCAGCTGGGCCCATCACTCCCCGAGGGGTCTGGGGCAATAAGTAGACTTTACTGAGCCTCAGTTTCCTCAACTTCAAGTCAAGACATATGACTTTAAGATCTCTTCCAACCATTCTCTGATGGAAGAGGGTGTAAAATATCTGGCTTAGTGATGCTTGAAGCATACAGGTTTTAGTTTGGGGAAGTCTAAAGCCCCCACCAACCTCTTCCTATTGAAAAACTTAAATACAAAAGGCTCTTTGTTTCCTTTGCAAGATAGTTCCTTATCGAGCTAGTGGCTCGAAAAGAAGAGAGCTCAAAGAGATCTGAAAGAGCCTGGAACTGCCAGCTGATGGAGCGGGTAGCAGTTTTACAAGGACTTCAACGAGGGCCTTTGAAACTTTCTGCTATTCAAGTCTGTTTAGAACTTGCTTCTGAAGCCTGATATCTTTCAACTGTGGTGTCTTAATTCTTGCCTCCTGCCCTGGCAGCTGAGCCCAGAGGAGCTTTGCAGGACAGTGGCACTTGTTAGTGAAGCCACAAGACAGGTGGCACTCGGGACAGGAGCCTCTGAACACCCCAGGCAGGCCTCGGAGCAGGACAAGGTTCAAGGGCTGGGGAGAGCCAAGGGGGAGGGGCAGACCCCTCACAGGGCCCTGTTCCTATAAGGGGTCCTCTGATTTTGAGGAGAGAGCCAGGAAAGCAGACACCATGAAAAGAGAGCTGGGGGTCGGGGGGTGGTGGAATTAGCCTTCTGTGGCTATTCAGGTGGGAACATGTCACTTTACTCGGTGGCATATTGTAAACTGTGAAGTGAGGGACGGTTGCCTGGCACCTTCAGAGACGATCTGTGAACACGTGGCCCACAGGAGCCTGGCCCAAGCACAGACAGGAAGGACAAGAGCTGCTGAAGGTCAATTAAGGCAGAGAATCATAATCTCAGGGTACATGGTGCTCCAGGAGGCCCATAAGGAGGCATCGTGCAGTCTATGAGGCCCTGAACCCACATGCAATGTGTGGTCATGTTGACCTAGCATGTTAAGAAGCTGTGATTGGTAGTAAAATACAGTGAAGGTTAAACCAGAGCCTGCTCGACTGTTTGTTAGTGGAAGGACTACTGTGAAGCTATGGCAGGAGATGGAGGAGCCTGGCAAAAGGGGTTTAGTATGAAAACTGTTTGGAGTTTATCCATTCCTGCGGAGGCATGGGGGCGGGAAAGAGCGAGTAGATCCAGGGGCTGGTGCCAGCTCCTAACACAGAAACACTTCCAAGAGGAGGAAAGAAGTTCAAAACAAAACAGATGTTGCCATTTGTTGTTGTGGCAGGCATTTCACGTGGATGATCTCATGCGGTCCTCACAACCACTCTATGATGTGAGTATCACTGCCCCATCTTATAATATTTGAAGAAACTGAGGCTCAGAGAAGTTAAAAATGTGCCCAAAGTCAACCAGCTAACAAACAAATCTTGCTGGAGCAGCAACCCAGCCCCGCTGGCCCCCTTGGCTGCTCTAGTTACACTCTGCAAGCCATCTGAAGAGTTTGTGCCTCTGGATCACCCAGCTCCCCTTATTCTAGTTCTGCAGGCAGAGAGCAACCATTTGAGAGCTCAGAGGGTGAGTTTTCTGAGTGGCTAAGCCTCTGGGAGGGAGTTCTTTGAGCAATGCCATGAACTGGGGCTCTGGTCTAATGTATCTCCCATTACACCTGATAAATGGTCTTTCTGAGCCATCAATTGGTTTCATTTAGGAGCGGGTCAGGAGAATTAGTTCCTAAAGCCTGTTACTTCTGAGTGCCCTGGAGGATTGACTTCTGGGGTTATCCAGTCACTCTGGGTACCTTTTTAGCTAAAACAAATATAATTGAGAAATGAGTCTGCAATCGTACTGAGAGATGTTCACATCGGTTACCAAGAAGAGCAAATTACTAAGAGTTGCAAATCATTAACTAGACATCCTAGTTCCTAGGGCCCTGTAAGCCAATAGCAAAAGCTCTAAAAGAAGGAATTTGTTGGGGACTAGGGAATGGGCAGGAATGCAGGAGGGGGAGCCCGCTGTGTGATTTGTTCTTTCTGAATCGCTACTTCTGTATCTCTGGAACACTATTATTAATAAGTATAACCTGTGGGATATGAAATATTTTTGAATACTTTCTGCTTTAATCCATTTGTTCATCCACCCACACAAGCAACCATTCAGCCTGCATTGAGGAGTCTATTAGGAATGTTACTGATGAAGATGAGAGCTGGCATTCGTCCCATGCTTACTCCATGCTCGGCACTATTTTGAGTGCTTTACTCATTCAGTGCTCACACCACTACTCAGAGGAAGGTACTATTATCCTCATTTTACTGCTAAAGAAACTGAGGCACAAATAAATTAAGTGATGCACCTATCATGCTCAAGGCAGCAGGAATGGGAGAATGGATGGGAACTTGTGGGCAAGCATCAGACTTGGAGTCTTGAGTGACAGAGTGTCATTAAAGGGCGTTTAGTAGGGACCCTAGATTCTATGAACAAAGCAACCACAGTTCTGCTTTTAAACTTTTTCTGAAGATTATTGAACTGTTATGCCTCCCCTACCTCTGAAAGAGTTTGTGGAAATGATGAGATAGACTAGCTGCAGCTACCACTGGGCTTTACCCATTGGAAGTGGGAATGGAAGTTTTTAGGCACCAGAAGAAATTAGCAAATGACATATCTGCACCATGAATGCCATTATATGCTTTGCTAAAGCAAAGAGGCCTTGCATGGTTTTCATCATCTGACACATGATTAAACTTTGTAAAGTTATATTTTAATGTTTTGAATCCATGATCTTGAAGAAAATAGTTTTGTATCTAATTCTGTGAGTGTGAAGGTTGCTAAGAGACTATTCATAGAAGTATACAACTTCAGAGCTGGAAGGGACCTAGGAGATTGGGTCCAACATCCTCATTTTACTGAAAAGGACCTGGATGTGACTTGTTCAAGGTCAAACAGCATGATTTGGTGTACATTAGGAATGATTTAAGTATTTTATAAAGGGCCAAGAACTAAGTAATAAGGGACATCATTCTTCTCTAAGGTTGAGATTTGTTATCAACATAAACTCCATCAGTTACTAGTGATAGAAAAACCATCTACAGTGGTTAAGTCAAAAATCAAGACTATATTCCTCATTCATGTAAATGAAAACTCCAGGACACTTGTTTCAGACATGGGGTTTGAATGATGTAATCAGGACTCAGTCTGCCTCTCATTCTGCTTGCTTCTTTCCATGTTTGCTTCCTTTTCCAGCAAGTTCTTCTCACAAGCCACCAAAATGGCCCTAGCTGCTCTGAGATGGTTCCCATCTTTATAGGTTTAGCAGACAAAAGATCCTCCCCCTTCCCACCTCTACCAGTTCCATTTCATTAGCTTCCATTGACTGGGTTGGGGTCACCTGCCCACTCTTGAAGTAAGCACTGTTAGTGGTGAGATGTGGTATTCTCATGGGTTAGACCCCAGCCACATGCTCACCTGTGGATCTGGGTGGGGTCAGGCCCACTGTAAATCATAGACCCCAGGGAAAAATGGGGTGCATAGTAACAATCCCAGGAGAAGTGGATGCCTGGGAGGTAAAACCACAGATGTGTACTACAAGGTTTCATGAGAGCAAATGGTCCTAAGACTTTTTTGTTCTTCTTTGGCTTTTGCAATGGAAAGAGATGTAGTGTTGACTGAGGCTGTGAGGAAGAGTTGAGAACATCTTTTGGGTTGAGGATAAAGAACTTTTCCCTGACTAAGGAGGGGACTAAGCTGTTCTGGGCTGAGTGTATGGTTCCAACTGCAGGGAACTATCTCTCTATTTCAACGTTCCTTCTTTTCCGCTGAGATCATGCCGCCCAGATAAAGTCTTCCTTTCCATCTTTTCTATGGTTCTCTGGTCAAATAATTCCACATGGGGACATGTATTTCTTGCTTAAGCACAGGCTCCTTCCTTAATCTTTTGTCTTCTTCCACTGTCTCTTTTGACTTTCGCCTAGCTATCTCAAGAGAACCTTTCTCATTCAATTCATCTATGGACATACTTCCTGCCATCGCAAGGACGCTTTCCTGCTACAAATAATAGAAAACTCCCTCTAATTCAACAAAGGAATTCACCATCCTGCAAAGCAGGAAGTGCAAAGGTAGGGCCGACTGGGCCGGGCACATTGAAGTCAGGCTTGGTTTCCCCATGGTCTTCCTGGTTTGTGCCCATCTGTTGCAACTTTGTCCCCAGGCAGACCTCAGCTGTGCTTGCAAGGTGGTCTTCTGCAGCAACAGGGACAATATACCTTTGGGTTTGTATTTGGCAACACAGCAAGGAAACTTCACTTTCACTCCCAGTTCACTTTCAGTCCAACTGGACCAATTTAGGCCTCATATCCCTCTCTGGACCCTGACAGTTGTCAGAAGGATCCCTGAACCCAGCATTGGCATGAGATATGCTTATTGTGATGGCTTCCCTAATCTGGATCCTCGCTGGGGCTAGGGAGAATCCAGGGTCCCTAGGGTCACATGGCCTGATTGGAGGAAGGAAGAAGGATTACATGGATGCTGGGTAGACATTATAGTGTGTTTAGTTAGGCTGCACGTGTTTCATATGTTCTAACATAAATATTTTTTTCATTAAAAGACAGTATTTCTGAATTTATGGTTTAAACAGAGCTTTATGGATTAAACTTATAACCTAAACATCATGTATAAAATTGTTTGTGTGGAGAAAATGCATATCTTCATGCCAAACATCTTATTCATAAGTGTATTTATACCAATTTAAACTACGTTGAGATGAAGCAATGATGAAAATAATTAAGACTTTGGGGGAACTCTGACCACCTAGACCCCTTGCAGAGCTTTGGGCAGCACTCTGTTGACCCGTAGCATCCAGGTAAGTGCAACGTGAACACAAACATACTGAAGCCTTCTCTCTGGGGATGCCCATCTCACCCCTTGTATGGGATTCTTATGTGTTTTTATCCTTTGCCTTTTGTTCTAGAGTCTGGGCATAAACATGTGGCTGGTAGCTCTGTGTGTATGGGTTATAGTCAGTGGTTGGAACAAAACAACTTGCGGTTTCATCTCTGTGTGCCCATCTTTATCCCTTTCTGAAGAATGTCCTGGTTTGGGGACAGAAGAGCTTGGGCAATAAGAAGCCACAGATGATGCCACCCTTTTCTTAGCTGGTGCTTTTCACCTTCTTCTGGCTGGTGATTTATGTGATTCTCTGGAAAATGTATGGAGAAACTCTAACTTTAACTACTGAACCCAGGAATTCCCCTCTGTCTAGTCTCTCCATCAGAACAGTTACCAGGGCTGGGAACACAACCCAAGGTGATGTCGTGTACACAAAGGATGAGAACAGGAGCTCGTCAGATCCACTTTTGGGTCTGGCCAAATGGGCTTCAGTGCCCTCCTGTATAAAGTGGGGGCACCTCTCCCAGAATTTGTCTGCCACGTGTTTAGGGCCTACTCCATGCCAGGCTCTGGGCTACCAATGTTACCTACATTTCCTCTTCTAATTCTCAAACACTGACTTGCTCCAAGTCAATCAGCCTGTGGCAGGGCTGGGGTCCAAGCCCTGGTCTGTCTGACTCCGATGTCTGTGCTGTAAGCAACTCCTCTCCTCACAGGGCTGCACAAGGGAAGAAGTGGGAAAGAGCATGGAAAGAACCTGGCACAGTACCTGGCACTGGGTGATCAACAAATGGTGGTGGCGGCTGCTGCTGCTGCTATGAAAAGCAAAAGTCCTAGATAATCCCCCAAACTGACAGCCGGCCCTGCACAACCTACAGCTGGCCATGGTCTCCCTGAAGACTTGTTTATTGGCCTTGTGGTTGTCCAGAGAAAGAGTTATCTGTCCTCTCTCAATTTCCCAGGCCTTCAGAAGGTAGGCTCAAGTTACTGAGCATGCACACCTGTTTTTCTGGGCCGGGAGGGGCTGGAGAGCTCAGGTGACCAAGCACACTTCTGACCTGGGCTAGGGTCAGCAGGCTGAGGTACTGGCCAAGAGTCTTCTAGCCAGGGGCAGTAGCCAGGATCCCACAGTCAGAAGCCTTGCAGGGGAAGTGGGTGTTGCTCTGGGCCTTGAAGCTTTGCTTATTTTATCCTGATCCTCCACTGTCCACAGCGGACATAAGCTTGACTCATCCCCAAGTCAGCTCCACATCAGCAGTGGTAAGAAGGGCTGCTCCCAACTCAGGGAAAGGTCACAAAGACGCAAGTAACTGCAACTACAAACACAGTGAATGCTAATGGGTGCTTCTTGAGTACCAGCAACGGTGCTTAGTGCTTTGTTTGTAGTCTCATGTGAGCCTCACAAACACTCTATGGAGTAAAGCAATATCATTGACACCATTTTAGGGACGGAGAAACTGAGGCCCAAAGAGATGGGATAACTTGCCTGACTGCACACAGCATGTACAATATGACTTGCACTAAATACATCTAGCATGGAAGTTTGTTTTCTGCACCATGATGCAGAAAACTCCCTCCTCCATGCAGAGTCTGAAGGGCCTTCCCCCAGAGCAAAATACTGGGAGAGTACTATTTTATTTCATTTTCTTTCAGTAAACTTTAGCACAATGACAATGCTGGGAAAGGTAGTCAACCATGCTGGTGCTCACTTCATCTACAAGACCCACAATGGTCCTACAAGCTATAGCTCAGAGAGGTCAAGCAGCTCACTCCAGATCACACAGCTCTCTGTGCTTTCATTGTACCAACTTTGGTCACCAGGAAAAATGCATCATGGAGAAATTCTCAATACACATTAGAACACACATTTTCTGATACTCAGCAAGTGTGCCTTTATCTTCATCAAATTTCTCAAAGGTTACTACTACCCCCTCTCACAACTTTATGTGATTCTCTGGAAAACATATGGAGAAACTCTAACTTTAACTTGACTCAGACTGCAGCAAACACAGAGCGGTGAGCTTCAGCCTGGATGAACGTGCAGCTTATTGCCTAGGTGCCTGAAGAGCTGGGAGATAGCACCATTCTTATTGCTGTGGGGTTTTCTCCAGTGGTTATCTCTGTTAAGAACAAATCCTCACCCCCAGGGTGCCTGCTGGTGCATCCCTGGTAGGCAATGCTCAGATGAGACCTTGGATGTGTTAGCTCCAGCAGAGATCAGGATGGAGGGCTGTGGGAAGTGTGTTACTCAAATGCAAGTGGCTGTGACAGAACCCCACTCTGCTTAACTTAAATTTTTAGAAAATGGTTTTACTGGCAGGATGTAGGGTAATCTACAGACTCCACAGAGAGTAGAATAATCAGGCCTCAAAAAAGTTAGGAATCCAGGTGGCCCCACACCTGTGGCAGGATGGAGGCAGCCTCCTCAGGGCACTGCCCCCAGGATGGGTCAGCCACAGCTGTGGACTGTCCTTGTGTTGCTTGGCTCAGGATTCAAATTCACAACCCACAAATAGCTCAAATGAAACAGGAAGACAATATCAAGTGTTGAAAAGGCTGTGGAGCAAATGGATTCCTCACGCATCACTGACGGGGAAGTAAAATAGTACAGCTATTTTGGAAAAACATTTTGTAGTTTCTGAAAAATTAAACATTAATTTACCATATGATATAGAAATCCCACTTCTGTGTATCTATCCAAGAGAAATGAAAACCTAAACTTACATAAAATCTTGTATGAGAATGTTCATAGCAGTATTATTCATGATCGCCACAAGGTGAAAGCAATCCAAATGCCCGTCACCTGGTGAATGTAGAAACAAAATGTGGTATATCCATACAATAGATTACTATTTTGCAACAAAGAGGAATGAAGTATGGATCAACATACTATAATATGGATGGAATTTTAAGACATTATGTATATTGTACGATTCCATCTACATGAAATGCCCAGAAAAGACAAATCTGTAGAGACAGAAAGTAGATTAGTGGTTGCCTTGAGCATAGGCAGTACCTGCAAATGGACACAAAGCTACTTTTTGGGGTGAGAGAAATATTCTAAGATTAGATTGTGGTGACGGTTGTACAGTGCCATAAATTTACTAAAAATCATTGAATTGCCTGTTTAAAACAAGTGAACTTTATGGTACATAAACTGTAGCTCAATGAAGCTATTTTTTAAAAGCTTTGAATTTGCAGTGGCGAGTCAGAGTAGACTCGTGTGTTGTCCCTGCTGTGGTGCCTTATTTGACAGGTGCACCAAGTTGATCACAGGGAACTGAGATAATCTGGGTGCTGTTCCATCAGGAGCAAAAGTGGGAAGAAGGGTTTCTGCACAAGACAGGAACCTCAGAGACTCCTCCACCCACTTCCCCACCAAGCACCAGGATGGCAAGGCAAATGGCTGAGACCATCATTTTGGCTTCCACAAATGTCAGGGTCCCTGGCCACTGGATGCTCTCCTCTGCAGCTGAAGTCTCAGCCTTCATGGAAACCTCCCCAGCATCTGGATCCTCATGACAAAGGTCTTCTTCCACCAAGGGTTAGCTCCTGGGGCTGGGGTTAGCTTCTGGCTTGGAGACCCTGGTGATCTCTTCTAATGATGAGCATTGAGCCATTGATTTCATATAGGTGTGGTTTTGTTCACCAAAACAATAAAAGGTGTTTAGTGATGGTTGGGCACAACACAGTTATCTCCAGCTTGTGTATGAAATGATTCCTCTGTAGTCCCCAGCTCTTGAATCTCCTGTTGGCCTCATTTTCTCTCTCTCTCCCTCTCTCTCTCTCATTTTCATAAAGCATCTAACACAGTGCTTTCTCTTCGGCTTATGATGACTTCTTGTGGCCTCTTTTCTGTGCCATAGCCAAAATGATGAGGAAGCCTAAACTAGGAGAAAAGAAAAAAAAACTATGAGACAGAAAAAAATGTACGTAGCTGAATACAGATGTCAGCAGGTAGCAAGATGAGAATTGAAGGACTTCCAGAAGGCAATTGAGTCACATCAATGGTGGAGTCCAAAAACAGAGCTTCACAAACTATGGTTTGTAAATAATGTAAAGGACCTTATTTATTATTATTATTATTATTATTATTTGAGACAGGGTCTTGTTCTGTCACCCAGGCTGGAGTACAGTGGCATGAGCTCGGCTCACTGCAACCTCTGCCTCCTGAGTTCAAGCAATTCTCTCACCTCAGCCTCCCAAATAGCTGGGACTACAGGAGCCTGCCACCACGCTCAAGTAATTTTTGTCATTTTTTGGTAGAGACAGGGTTTTGCAATGTTGGTTAGGCTGGTCTTGAACTCCTGACATCAAGTGATCCACCCACCTCAGCCTCCCAAAGTGCTAGGATTACAAGCATGAGCCACTGTGCCAAGCCCCATATTATTTTTTAATGAACCTGTACTAATGATTTTATTTAATGCATTAATGGAGAAACCAGTAAGATGTTACAACTAAGTCAATGGAGAATCCAAAATCATGTGTAATTATAGATCAGGAACACTGAAAGAGTGGGCAAGTGGGGGCAAAGCTGGCCCCTTCCATAGCGAGGAAGGGAAGTCAATTGCCTGACAGAATTTTTGCATATCTACAGGCAGAAATTATTTTTCATTGCTATTAGTTATTTACAATTTATAAACTGCAGAATAGCTCAATAAAAGGTTAGAATCAGGTAATAAGGAAAGATGTACTCTAGACAATGCATAGTTTTCTCGTGAAGCACAAATCTTTCTATGTAATACTTTGTTCCCCCCTTTGCTTGGATAATTAGTATTTATCCTTTATATTAATCTTAAACTTGAAAAGGCCATATTTAAAAAATTTATAATGCACCATGGAATACTTTTATAAAACATAGTAAAAATAAATTGCTGGGAAGATAAAATGATAGAAGATATACAAAATACAAGCCTAACTTTTCTTATTATTAGTTTCAACAGACATAAAGTTACTCTGTCAAGTTGTTATGGAAGTTTCTAAAAGCTTCCTGTATTTCCGTACTTCCTTCAACAGTAACTTGTGGTGAAGAGTTTGCAGCCTGGTCCTGGTCCACAAACCACTTTCTAAGCTGCACTGCAATAGAGTGTTTATTCACACACATTGTTGCTGAGGCTCATAGGATGCTGCCTCTGATGCCAGTTTCCACAAGGTCCAGCCTTCCTCTTGTTTCCATTCTTTAACTGACTGGAGATTTATCTTGTAACTCTCCACTCTATATCCTTCCAAGTTTAGTCTGGGACAATAGATCTCAAACTCTTTGGTCTCAGCATCCCTTTAAACTCTTAAAAATTAGTGAGAATGCCAAAGAACTTTTTAAAAATGTAGGTTACAGCTATCAACTTAATCATATTAGAAAGGAAGACCAAGATTTTTTTTTTTTTTTTTTTTTTTGAGATAGAGTCTCGCTCTGTCACCCAGGCTGGAGTGCAACAGTGCAATCTTGGCTCACTGCAACCTCCACCTCCTGGGTTCAAGCGATTCTCCTGCCTCAGCCTCCCAAGTAGCTGGGATTACAGGCTCCCGCCACCATGCCCAGCTAATTTTTGTATTTTTGGTAGAGACGGGGTTTTGCCATGTTGGTCAGGCTGGTCTCAAACTCCTGACCTCAGGTAATCTGCCCGCCTTGGCCTCCCAAAGTGCTGGAATTACAGATGTGAGCCACCGTGCCTGGCCAAGATATTTTTTAAATTATTTCTTGGCTAAGCATGGTGACTCATGCCTGTAATTCCAGCACTTTGGGAAGCTGAGGTGGGCAGATGGCTTGAGCCTAGGCGTTTGAGACCAGCCTGGGTAACACGACAAAACCCTGTCTCTACAAAAAATACCAAAAATTTTAGCTGGGTGTCGTGCTGTATGCCTGTAGTCCCAGCTACTCAGGAGGCTGAGCTGGGAGGATCTTTTGAACCCAAGAGGCAGAGGTTGCAGTGAGCTGAGATCGTGCCATTGCACTCTAGCCTGGGTGACAGAGAGAGATCCTGTCTGTAATCCCAGCACTTTAGGAAGCTGAGGTGGGCAGGTAGCTTGAGCCTAGGAGTTCGAGACCAGCCTGGGTAACATGACAAGACCCTGTCTCTACAAAAATAGCAAAAAAATTTAGCTGGGTGTGGTGGTGTGTGCCTGTAGTCACAGCTGCTCAGGAGACTGAGCTGGGAGGATCTTTTGAACCCAGGAGGCAGAGGTTGCAGTGAGCTGAGATCACACCACTGCTCTTCAGCCTGGGTGACAGAGAGAGATCTTGTCTCAAAAAAAAAATATTTCTCAGTTCATTAAAAACAGGCATAACAAATCATTACATGCTAATATATTTCATGAAAACAAATCTATTTTCCCAAACAAAAGTAAATAGTAAAGAGAATGGCATTCTTTTTTTATTTTTCTCTGTTGCCCAGGCTGTAGTGCAGTGGTATGATCTCGGCTCACTGCAACCTCTGCCTCCCGGGTTCAAGCGATTCTCCTGCCTCAGCCTCCTGAGTACCTGGAATTACAGTCATGTGCCACCACATCCAGCTAATTTTTAGTAGAGATGAGGTTTCACCATGTTGGTCATGCTGCTCTTAAACTCCTGACCTTGTGATCTGCTCGTCTTGATCTCCCAAAGTGCTGGGATTACAGGCGTGAGCCACCATGCCCAGCCGGCATTCTTTTACATGTACTGAATATCCCTTTGGTGTTTGGTGCCTTGATTTCCTTTTTCTAACAGAATAGAAGGCAGCTAGATTTTTTTTTTAATTAATTAATTAATTTTTTATTATACTTAAAGTTCTAGGGTACATGTGCACAACGTGCAGGTTTGTTACATATGTATACATGTGCCATGTTGGTGTACTGCACCCATTAACTCGTCATTTACATTAGGTATATCTCCTAATGCTATCCCTTCCCCCTCCCCCAACCCCATGACAGGCCCTGGTGTGTGATGTTCCCCTTCCTGTGTCGAAGTGTTCTCATTGTTCAATTCCCACCTATGAGTGGGAACATGCGGTGTTTGTTTTTTTTTTGTCCTTGCAATAGTTTGCTAAGAATGATGGTTTCCAGCTTCATTCATGTCCCTACAAAGGATATGAACTCATCCTTTTTTATGGCTGCATAGTATTCCATGGTGTATAGGGAAGGCAGCTAGATTCTTATATCTGCTTTTGTATCCAATCTTTGCAATATCATGCCATATAACTTCTGCAAAACTCCTTTGTTTACTCACGAGAGAAAAGAGAGTAAAATAGGCAAATAATACCTTAGTTTATTAGAAAAGTAGTCTAACATCACAGGTCCCCTGAAAGTCTCTTGTCCAGGGGTCCTTGAACAACAACTTGAGAAGCACCAGTTCAAGATATCTAGTCTCAAAAGACCCCCTTCACACAGACGTGTGCACATTCAGGGTGGCCAGCTGTCCCTGTTTGCCTGGGACTGCCCTGGTTCCAACACTGACAGTCCTATGTCCTTAGCACACTATGGCTGTTGGTCACCGTTGGTCACCCTAACACTCTTCTGGGTACATACTTTATTTGGGTTAGCCTGGCATTCCCGCTCTGCTTCTTTCCCTTCTCTTCCACCTCTTTCTTCCTTCTCTTTCTCGCTTGAATCCATTTTCCATACCCTTCAATAACTGGTTGAAGCCAGAGCTGTTATACAGGTGCCTGGTGGAGACTTCCAGTTGCCCACCCCATATCTTTTCTCCCCCTTTTCTTAATTAACAGAGACCCTATTCTGTTGGGACAGTGTTCAGGAAAAGAAAGGTGTTTCCAAGCGTCCCTTGTAGATGGGATGGTCATATAACACAGTTCTGGACAATAAGATATTCAAGAAAGCTGTTGGGTGGGGCTCCTAGGGAAGCTCATTTAGAATAGAATGCATTCATAGCACACACAGTTTGCCCTTTTCGCTTTTACACTGTCCTGCCTAGAACTCACCTATGATGGATGGAGTTCCAGAGTCATCTTGCAGACATGAGGACAAGAGCCATACCTGGAGATAGGACAGCAAAGCTGAGGGCCAGAAACTGACTGGTTCCCTAATGGTTTTGTGGAGCTGCCAAAAAAGTTTTGGGTTATTTCCAGATTTCTTCTGTAAGCAAAAAAAAGAAAAGTAAAAAAGCCCATTGTGTTTAAGTCACTGCCTTTCAGATTTCTGTTGCCAAACACAATTCGTAATCAATGCAAGACGTTTTTTGTTTTCTTCATTGGATAGAAAGATTCTTTATATAAAATGGAGGGAAACAGAAAAATATGCGCTCATTTATGGCAGATGTTTAGCTGCAATTGAGGCTCAGATGTTCCCAGAAGACGGGATCCTCTGTAGAGAAACTTCTTGTTTGGGCTGGCTTCGGAGGCTACTGATTTCAGCCCATGGTCACCAAACTCTTGGAAGCCTCATGGCTAAAGAACGTAGAGAACCTGAGTGCAAGGGCTTGCAGGGGCAGGGCTGTCCTTTGGCTGCTCTCCACAGGAGTTTTTTGCCTCACGTGCATGGACCGATTACCGGGGGCCTGGTATTGAGTTCAGGGTCCATGTCTTCCTGGCGGTGCGTGAGAAGCAGCCCCTATGTGTTACCACTCACTCTTCACGTTCTGGGCTCAGGGATCTGAGTGGAAGGCAATGGCATCCTGCAGGAATGTTGGCAGCCATCCCACGGGCATGTGGGCAATGCTCCTGGCCAAGGCCCTGATGCTAACCTTCTCCACCAGTTCACTGTCCTCTGGCCCCATTTCAGAAAGGAAAGCCTCCAGCCTCCAGGCCCCTGAGCATAGCTGTCATTCAATGTGAAGGGCAGGGGGCTCTCAATGGCCCCTTGAGGTTACTGGAGGTAAGGTGGACTCCATGCTAATGACAACCCTGCAGACAGGCAGGTGTAGGCACCCCCATGCTCAATGCTGCAGCTGCACGCCTGCTCTCCTGGTCCAGAATAGGCCTGTGAGCACTGTGGAGCCAGGCACCCTCCCTCCTAGCCCTCTGTCCAGGCTCCTCATCTGGCTGCAGAAGATGCCTAATTTCAGTTGACATCCTGCTCAGCAAAGTCACTGTTGTTCCCCAAACCCTTCCCCAAGTTAAGTAAAAGAGCAGCCTGGAGTCCCTGAGCGGAGCTGATCTACCCTGCTCATCTTCACTCTTCTTCATTCCAGCATCAACAAGGATGTTTGTCTGTGCCTGTTTGTCTGGAATGTTTGTCTGTGCCTGGGCCTGTGCTGGGTGTGAGGGACATAACAAGTGTGTCACTGTCCTCCAGGGCTCCAGCCTAGGACAAGGAACAGGCTCACAAGCCAGATGCCAGGGGCTGCTGCTTCACTGCATTCTTTCTCACAGAGCCCTTTTCAAGGATTCAGTATTGAGTGTGGTCTCATTTTGCTCTTCTTTTCAGCATTCAGCTCCCCCTTCATTTCTTTCACTGAGGCTCCACAGGGTTCTGACACCCTGCAACCTAGACAATAAACAAGTTTTTCTTTCTCAGCATGTCAGGCAAATTAGCACTTCACAAGGTTTGGTTGCCACAGATAGAGAACCAAGCGTTTGCTGTGTGGGTGTGTGCACATGTGTGGGCACGTGTGTTTGTATTTGTGTGTGTGCATGTAAGGGTTTCCAGCACATTGTGGTGTGGAAGATGGCTGGACAAGACCAGGGTCTTGAGGGAAAGTGATGTAAATAGCAATTGTGAAGCAGGTTCTTGCAAAGATGAGTTAGTCAAGCTCCTGACCAGATAGCACAGGGATCTGAAATACCAAAAAGTTCCAGGTCAGCCGGCCGGGACCTGCCTGAGCTGTGCGGGGTAGGAGGTGGGAGGGACTGGGCTCTCTGTGCTGCGGGTGTCATTGCAAAGTCAAGAGCCACTAATGGAAATAACCACTGGGGCATGATTTTTCATGTCCTGATTCCAATCACAGACCTGTCATCCAAGAAGAATATTGAAGGGGAAATCCCATTTCCTTTGAAACCAAATGTTCCCCACAGAAGCCAAAGGCTTGTAGAAACAACTCTGATTGGAAAGACTTGAGCATACATTGCCTGGCTTCTCGAGTAAGAGGTGGCAACACTCATCATTTATTGAGAGATGAGTTTACAGAGAGATGGGGCCTGCCCATACATGGTGATGACCTTTCTTGCTTCCTTGCATCAGAGACCCGACTCACAGGAGGACACTGTGGCCCATCTGGTCTCTGTGAGCAGACGGAGATGGATCCTGGCAGGTGACGGCTATGCCACATGTGCTGGCTGTGGTGGTGAAGCTGGGCAGAGGCACAGCAGTAAGGTCTTATAGACTCCCGGAAGGAAAGAAGGGGCTCTGGACCGTACCCAGAGAAAGGCGTAATGGCTGGTGCACATGCCTCTCTACTTCTGTAACTCACCTGCGCCTAGGAAACTGATTAGAGGGCAGTGGGCATGATGGCCCGAGCACTGGAGGTAGGGCCAAGCAACCGAGGTCTCCTTCCTGGTCTGCCTGTGTGGCTTGTGAACACAGATGGCTGATAGCTATGGTTCAAAGTGCTTATGTGTACTAACTCAGTGAATCCTCACTACAATCTGGGGACATAGTCCCAGTGGTATCTCCATTTTACACTGGTGAAAACTGAGGCTCAGACAGGTTAAGTAGAACAACTTGCCTAAGGACACATAGCTAGTGAGTGCCCCCGGGCTTTTCACCACCCTGGTGTACTTCTCCCTTGCCCATCAGACATTGCTTTCCACCTTGTCTGCCTAATAAGACAAACACCTGGTTAGGCTCTTTTAGAGACACAGAGGAGCGTGTCATGTGGCTGAAGTTAGTCTACCTTGCCACCCTTAATATATGAAAATGGCCTGGCAATGTCTGGTTCCAAGGGGAATATGTGAAAGGCAGACATGTCGCTGTGGGCAGTGTTTTACTCACTCTCTAAGCGTGACTTGCCCTTGAATTGCCGCCTTCATCTTCTTTTGCTTGTGCATTCTCTGCCTGGGACAAGCTCTGTACTATGGCAAAAATCATCACTCACATGGTGTCACCAGCAGGGAGTGCTGGGTTAAGGGCAGCTCCTGCAAAATGTCTCAGGGCTGTTGGTTGACAGTGAGTGTAACAGGAGCCAACAGTGCCTGTTGTACTTCTGGACAAGACCAAGCCTTGTGCTGCTCAGACTACATGCGGCATCCTGAGTCTGATTCTGGGTATCATGTTTTTAAACAATAACTTTTCTTTGTGTGAATTAGAAGTAGTATATGATCACTGTGGAATATTGAAGAAATGCAGACAAAATGAGAAAGAATGATTGCCCATAGTACCATCAACTAAGCATTGGTGGTATTATGGTGGGAACTGTTCACCTTTAAGGGTGTTTCCATGCCCACGTGTGTGTGTGTATATGTGTAAGTGTGTGCAAGAGGGTATGCGTGTGTATAATATTGAGTATTCAAACATGTATATTGCTTTTTTCCTTACTTGTCAAAAAGATAGTGTTTTATGATTATACAATATTCCATCATGATATGGATGTGACATACTTTATGTGTCCACTTTCCCATTATTGCATAATAAATGCTAATAATTCAGGAGGGAATTGTAAGAGCAAAACTTGGCTCTTCCAGATATTTATGTGATCATTTCCTTAGGATACATTTCAGGAAGTCAGATCATGGAAGTAAAACTATGAACGTTGTTAAGTTACTTGACATACATTGCTAAAGCACCAGCCCTTCTTCAAGGAGCTTTGACACAATAGAACCTGTCCAGGGGTGAGTGATTGGTCTGGTCAAGATACCAACTCCCTTGAGGAATTATTGAGAGTGGGAAAAGGGAGGTGGTGTGAACACAGCAGCTATCTTCAAATGTTTGAAGGGCTCTCCTGTGAGACAGGGAATGGATTTCTTAAGAATGCCACATACAGTAAAACTAGCATCAAGGACAGATGTGTAGAGGGAGTAGCATCTCAGCCTAACATAAAGAAGAACTTTTTTTTTGAAGAGATAAGCTTAGTGTTGGGTGGAGGCTTTGTCATAACACTGTGGGATAAAACTTGACAGGGTGTTTTCGATGGCAAGACATACACACACTGCCCTCTCAAGCAGGGGCAGACCCTCTGGCATTTAGTTTTGGGCACGTGGCTTTCTGAAAACATGCATGTAGATGGGCTGTGTACAGGTCCTACAACAGAATCCCACTTTAGAAAGAGGTATGGGGAGATGGAAGTGTTTGGAGGACTACACCTTCCATGGCATTCCTATGAGACACAGTCTTCAAAGGTGCTGGAGTGTTCCCAGCACTCATGCTCTTTGCTCGGCCCTCTTCCCTCATGATTGTACCCACACCTGCACACACACTGCTCACAGGCCTAAGCTAATGGGCCTCAGCTTATGGGCGGCAGATTTGCTTCTTTCAGTAATGCCTGCTGATTCCCACGTTCGTGTCAACTGTGTTGAGCTTTTGAGGCCTGTTCTTATCATTAGCACTTAGCTTTTTCTTCTCATTTCCCAGTCATTTTTGTAAAATGACAAGAGTAACCGACAGTAAACTATTCAACCACTTGGGAAAATCAAGGAGTATGAAACTGATGGGCTGGGAGTGGAGCTCCAGCTGGCTGGCAGGCGGGGCCTGGAGCAGAATGTGGGTTGTCCTCTGATGCACACATGTCCCTCCGTTAGGACACGAGTGTCAGATGCACAGCATGAACATACAGGTTGTCCAGACATGGAAGACTGCGTGCACAGTCTTGCCATTCTGCTCAGGGTGTCTGATGGGATGGTGGAGACATGGGCAGATACCCCGCCAACCTGACACCCCACGGCACAGCATGGATGGCACACTTTCCAACTGCTTCACCTTCAGCAGCTCTTATCAGTATTTGTTTTCAAACCAGCAAGTTGTGTATCCGTGCAGAGATTCCCAAAGCAGCTAGGCTGCAGTGGAGATCAGCTCTAGGGCTTGGTAGGATAGCCAAATATAGGTACCTGGACAGCTGACTCTGGAAAGTTCTACAGAGCTGGCAAAGGGGCATGCCAAGCAGCACTTCAGTAGAGCCAGAGACCAATAAATGGGATCTTTCATCAGATAGGCTAGATTCTCTGGCTTCTGAGTGAAGGGGGGCGGGATGTGAGCAAAAGCAAAGGCTGCCAGTGAGGGCATGGAGGGGCTGCCGTCTCCATCCTCCACCTCCAGGGCCAATTTCCATAGAGATGGGATTGGGAGGCCAGGAATGACCTGCCAAGAATGCAGTCTCTTGCTGGAAGTTTGCAGCTGCTGCCTGTCAGGCAGAGATTATTGAGAGGTGGCTCCAAACTGCTGCTAAAGCCTCACGCTCTGGAGAATAGGGTGCTGAGCTAACTCCAGGGTGGAGTGGGGAGCAGGTACATGACCTCAGGCTGCCCTCGCCCACACCTTGTCTCCAGGTAGTCTGATACTGCTCTCTCCTTTCTCAGGCTACCTCCATCAATGTCTCCCATGAAAAGACTTTCTATGTCTTTGTATTTTAACACAGGGTGAGCACTTCATTCATCCATCGTTTCACACACCACTGGGATGTATACAGTATTCCAGGCACTGTATGAGGTTCTGAGCTGGATGGGCACATCACCAGCTAGCTCTTCTTCAGCACGTCCTGAATAGATCTTTTTCCAAAGTGGATGGTTCTTTGCTCCAATGAGGCTGTACTTCATTGGAGAGGAAATACTGAGGCCTCTCACTACTTGGAGAGGGCTGAGTGGGCTTGCTTGGGGCTCTAGCCAGTGGGCTGGGGCCAAATTCAGACTCAGGTAGATGAGGTATTTTATCTGAAGGGGGCCCAGAGCAGGAAATGTCTCAGGAGAGTGTGGACTGCCCTGGATAAACATATCTGTCCTAATCACCTCTGTATCCCCTGTGCCTAGCACCATTTTAACACATTATGTGCTTAAACAGTTGTTAAATGAATGACTAAAGTCCAGTCCTTAGAAAGCAGCAGGGTCAAACCCGGAGTCACCAAGCTGGATGGATCGGTCCTGGGATGAGAGGAGCTGCAAACTGTAGGGCACGCTGTGGCCTGGAAGTTGGGAGGGGACAGGATTGACAGAAAGGTGCCACCATAGGTGGAAAAGAGAGTGCGCTATCCAAGCCCCAGGTGAACACACAAGCGGCTAGCCTTGGGCAAGACAGAAGCAGGAAGCATTTTGCTCCTCCTCACAGTACAATTTCTGTCAGGAGAGGCAGGGCTGAAGCATACAGGACAGACTGTCTCTTGGCAAACACTTTGTTCTTGGCTTCTGAAACACCAGCTTTTCCTGGCCTCCCTACACTCTGATGGCTGCTCCTTGTCTGTCTGCCTTGTCGTCCTCACGGTTCTATGTGGGAATGTCTCTGACCTGGTCCCTCCTGTACACATCACAATCACTCTCTCGGCTATCCAATCTCAGCTCATAATTTCAAGCTTTCAAGGATGGATTTCTATCTCCAACCTTGACTGTCATCCTGGGCTGCAGACTTGTCATGCTTGACAACTTCATGTGGATCATTAACAGATGTCTTAATCATGACTTGTCCAGAAGAACACTTTTTCCTTCTTTGTCCTCCCTGGTGAACCCCATGCTTTGCCACTAATTGTTCCCAGCCCTGATGCTCAGTAAATAGCTCCAGAACTGACTGAGTCAAGGCTGGGCTCGTGGTGAGGCCATGAGATGCCAAGGGCACATGTCAAGAGGCTCTCACTTTCAGGGGTCCGCTCTGAACTTGCATGATGCCAAGAGTGAGCGCCTCCTTACATGTTGTGCCCTTGGTGGCTGGCTTGTGCCACCCTAGTGCTCACTCTGCCTGTACTGAGTTCCTCCAACCCAATGCCTAGAAACTATATTTTGATTCTTCTGATTTTTTTCACTGCCAATATTCAGTCCTTCAGGAAGTTCTGCTGACTCTGTCTTCCAAACATTGCGAACATATCCTGTCCTCTCCACTTCCATTCCTGCCGCGCTGGCCCTGGCGCTCAACAGCTCTCCCCTGAACCACTTAATGGGTTCCCAGTGCTACCCATGTCCTCCTCCAATCTATTCTTCACACAGCAGCCAGAAATTCAATTTTTATTTTTATAAAAGTAATACATGGGCATAGTTTAAAAAGACAAATAGTCCTATAAGGCTTATAATGAAAAACAGCAGGTTCCTATCCCACCCCTCCTCAGTCACAATTCACACTTCCCAGAGGTGAACGCTTTCAATAATTTTGGCAGTTTCTACCACCCTTATACTGTTAGCATTTGATTTTTAGGTTTTTAGTTATTTTTTTTTTACTGAATTCCAACCACGGAATAAGAAGATTTATCTTCCTTATCATCCTCCTCCATCACACAGACATTTCCCAGTAACATCTTTCCAATACAGTCATATCACAGATTAGATCAAACCCCTAGTCCAGGTGCAGTTGCTTGTTTGTGTGGGATGGGGAGGGAGATGAAGGTCTCACTGTCTCTTAGGTTGATCTTCACCCCACTCCCCTGTTTTCAGCCCCACTTGCCCCCTGCCTTCAGAGCCTTCCATTCTTACAGTTACAGGTTTGCAGCAGAAACCAGCTCCTTCTTGGCTCCCCTCCCATCAGAGGTGTGTTGCTCTCCCTTGGCTGGTCTGCCAGTTTGCTTGTCCTTGTCTGCCTGCTTTCCATAGTACATTTCGCTCATGCATCTTGTTTGCTGTCATCTTCCTCCATTGTTTTTCTCCCTATGAGTTAGTTCTGCTTTTATATGTTTTTTTGTGTGTGTCATTTTGTTGGGGTTTGAAGAGGACACATGTGTTCAATCCACCATGAGCAACTGGAAGCCCAGGTAGAGCATTTGTGCTTGGCATACAGTGCCCCAACATATACATACATACATTATATACATACATACATACATTATATATATATACACACACATATATACGTATATATGTGTGTATATATACGTATATATACACACATATATACATATACACATATATACATATACACACATATATACGTATATATGTGTATATATACGTATATATGTGTATATATACATATACACACACATATACGTATATATGTGTATATATACATATACACACACATATATACGTATATATGTGTATATATACATATACACACATATATATACGTATATATGTGTATATATACATATATATGTGTATATATACATACACACACACACATATATATATACATACACATTATATATATTTAAAAAACTTCTTTCTTTCTTGAATGATTGAGTAAAATACTATGGACATCAAGGGTATTCAAGAGTGACAAGAATAATAAGAGCCATATATAACAAACCCATGGCCAGTATCATACTGAATGGGCAAAAGCTGGAAGCATTCCCCTTGAAAAATGGCACAAGACAAGGATGCCCTTTCTCACCACTCCTATTCAACATAGTATTGGAAGTCCTGGCCAGGGCAATCAGGCAAGAGAAAGAAATAAGGGGTGTTCAAATAGCAAGAGAGGAAATCAAACTATCTTTGTTTGCAGATGACATAATCCTATATCTAGAAAACCCCATCATCTCAGCCCAAAAGCTTCTTAAGCTGATAAGCAACTTCATTCAGCAAAGTTTCAGGATAAGAGACAGTGAGACCCTACATCCCTCCCCATCCCACAAAAACAAGCTACTGAATCTGGGCTAGGGCTTTGATCTAATCTTTGATATGACTGTATTGGAAAGATGTTATTGGGAAATGTCTCTGTGATGGAGGGACAAATCAATGTGCAAAAATTGCTAGCATTCCTAGACACCAACAACAGGCAAGCCAAAAGCCAAATCACGAATGAACTTCCATTCACAATTGCCACAAAAAGAAAAAAATGCTTAGGAACACAGTTAACAGGGGAAGTGAAGGACCTCTTCTGGGAGAACTACAAACCACTGCTCAAAAAAATCAGAGATGACACAAAAAAATGGAAAAACATTCCATGCTCATTGATGGGAAGAATCAATATCAGGAAAATAGCCATACTGCTCAAAGCAAGGTATAGATTAAATGCTATACCCATTAAACTACCACTAACATTCTTCACAGAATTATAAGAAAAACTATTTTGAAATTTATGTGGAACCAAAAAAAAAAAAACAGCCCGAATAGCCAAGGTAATCCTAAGCAAAAAGAACAAAGCTGGAGGCATCACGCTACCTGACTTCAAACTATACTACAGGGCTACAGTAATCAAAACAACATGGTACTGGTACAAGAGCAGACACATAGACTAATGGAACAGATTAGAGAACCCAGAAATCAGACCACACACCTACAACCATCTGACCTACAACCATCTTGTAAATTTGTTTAAGAAAAAAATTTACAAGAAAAAAACATTAAAAAGTGGGCAAAGGACATGAACAGACACTTCTCAAAGGAAGACATACATGCAGCCAACAAACATTAAATAAAGCTCAACATCACTGCTCATTAGAGAAATGCAAGTCAAAACCACAAAAAGACACCGTCTCACACCAGTCAGAATGGCCATTATCAAAAAGTCAAAAAACAATAGATGAAGGCGAGGTTGTGGGGAAAAAGGAATGCTTTTACACTGTTGGTGAGAGTGTAAATTAGTTCAACCATTGTGGACAACAGTGTGGCAATTCCTCAAAGACCTAGAGGCAGAAATATCATTTGACCCAGCAATCTCATTAATGGGTATATACCCAAAGGAATATAAAACAGTCTATTAAAAAGATACATGTGGCCGAGTGCGGTCACTCATGCCTGTAATCCCAGCACTTTGGGAGGCTGAGATGGGTGGATCATGAGGTCAGGAGATCGAGATCATCCTGGCTAACACAGTGAAACCCCATCTCTACTAAAAATACAAAAAAATTAGCCAGGCGTGGTGGTGGGTGCCTGTAGTCCCAGCTACTTGGGAGGCTGAGGCAGGAGAATGGCATGAACCTGGAAGGCGAAGCTTGCACTGAGCCGAGATAGCGCCACTGCACTCCAGCCTGGGTGACAGAGTGAGACTCCGTCTCAAAAAAAAAAAAAAAAAAAAAGATACATACATGTGTTTATTGCAGCACTATTCACAATAGCAAAGACATGGAATCAACCTAAGTGCCCATCAATGATAGACTGGATAAGGGAAATGTGGTACATGTACACCATGGGATATCACACAGCTGCAAAAAGGAATGAGATCATGTCCTTTGCAGGAACATGGATGGAGCTGGAGGCCATTATCCTTAGTAAACTAATGCAGGAATAGAAAACCAAATACCGTATGTTCTCACTTATAAGTGGGAGCTGAGTGATGAGATGCATGGACACATGGCCGGGGGGAACAGTACACACGGGGGCCTGTTAAAAGATCAGGGGTGGGAGGAGGGAGAAGATCAAGAAGAATAGCTAATGGATGCTGGGCTTAATGCCTAGGTGATGGGATGATCTGTGCAGGAAACCACCATGGCACATGTTTACCTATGCAACAAATCCACACATCCTGCACATGAACCCCTGAACTTAAAAGTTGGAAAAAAGTTTAAAAATAGAAAAATATATATATTTTAAATGCATCCGTTTACTTCTACATGTTGTGGCAGAAGTATTTGCCTGCCAAAGGCTTCTAAATCCTACTTGAATGCTGAAGTCTCTCTTAGATAAAGCTGGTTAGGCTGCTCTCCTGCTCAAATTATACTTTCCCATTGGCTTCTGGATTAATCTTACCTTAGCACTCATGGCTCTTTGTGATCTCTATTTACCTGTTCAGCTTAACCCCATGCTTTTATCCTGTAACTGACTCTGGCAATACCATGTTTCCCATACTTTCCCAACCGCTGCATATTCTCCCAGGCCAGGAAGATTTTGTCTTCTAGAGTGTTTTAGTCTGAAATGCCTTTCCCTGGTTTCACACCTTACAAACATCTATTAATCCTTCAAATTCCAACTCAAATGTTACGTTCTTTGAAGCAGGCTTGGGTATCCCATTTCTTGTGCTTCCCCACTGCCATGTACTTCTGTATATGCAAATTTATGACTTCTCTTTCCAGTCTGTGAGCTCCCTGAGGAAGAATTGGGCCTCATTCATGTCTGCATCATCAGCACCCAGGGCCACACCTAACATCCAGTAGACATTTAGTAGGGGAGGGAAAGAGGGAGAGAGAGAGAGAACGAAAGCAGGAAGAGAGAAGGAAGAAGAGAAGGCAGACAGAGTCAGATAAAGAAGGAAAAACAGAAAAAGAGAGAGAGAGAAAATGATGGAAGCCATTCTTAGAAGTTTGTTCCACTTAAATCCAGAGGTCATTATGATTAGGAATGGTTCCAGCCCCAGCCCTGTCCATGGGGAGACATTTCCAGCAGTCTTTCTCCTCTGGAGCCAGGGCTTGCCCATGCCTGCTATTTGCAGAGGGAGTCTGCTCCCAGACACTGGGCAGTGCACCTCTCTTGTGAGCCTGTGAGCCAATCTGCCATCATGGTCCCTATGTGCTTTATTTGGACTAGCTGGACAAGCTGGGACTTGCTCTTGGGCTGGGAACTTCTGCAAATAGTGTGTGAATCCCAGAATGGAAGAGCTATGGCTTGTTGAAGAGGTGGGGCGTGGCAGGGGTTTCTGAGCTCTCCTTGAAGAGAGAAACTAGACCTACAGAAGCAGAGCAGAATCAGCTTGATTCTCTTCTAACAGCTTAGGTCTTATAACCAGTTTCCAAGAACCATAGGTCCCAAATAGCATCCCCAGAGTCTACCTTCCTTTTTATATAGAATGCTTTAGGAGGAATATCTGCAGTCCTAGAAAAGCAAACAAAATTAAACAAAAATAACCTGCAAGAGGCTAAGGGTCCCCAACCCTTTTGGATTCTGTCTTAGTTCATTTTGAGTTGTTATAACAAAATACAAAAGGCTGTGTAATTTATAAGGAAAAGAGGTTTCTTAGCTCACAGTTCTGTGGGCTGGGAATTTCAAGGGGCATGGCACTGGCATCTGCTCAGCTTCTAGGGAGGGTTTTTGTGCTGTGTCATAACATGGTGGAGAAAGTCAAAGGGGATGCAGACACATGAGAAGGAGCAAAACCTGAGTGGGGGGTCTTACGGGAGACTCCTGTAGGAACTCATCCATTCCCTGAGAACTAATCCAGTCTCACCAGAGCAAGAACTCACTACTGCCAGAATGGCACCATGCCATTCATAAAGGACCTGCCCCCATGACCCAAACATCTCCCATCAGGCCTCACCTCCCAATATGTTTCCATTGAGAATCAAATTTCAATATGAGTTTTGGTGGGGATGAACCTTCTCCAAACCATAGTAGATCCACTGTGAGATCTAAATGTGCAGGGTCTCAATACAGCCAGGGTTTATGTTTGAGGATGATTCTCTTTCTTGTCACCTTGGTGAGTACCTGACCAGACTCCAACCCTTCTTATGGGGAGCTGAGTCCTCAGAGCTGTTGGTGGCTGCTCACCTGTACTTGGGCCTGAATGCCAGTGGGGAGCTCACACTTACCACATTTGGTTCGCTCTCATTGTCCTGGAGGCTGTTGGTGGGACAAGCTCAGGATATAGATGGGAAGAGGTATGAATTTCTTCTTTTCTTCAATTATGATTTTGATTGTGTTGAAGTCTTCTGATTCAGGACCTTACATAACTTTCTGTGTGTTAAGTGACTTTTTCAGTGACAAATTCATAGAATTGATTATAAACCAGGAATATTTGAACTGGAAAAACCAGAGGCCACCAGCACTAACCCATCATTTTACAGAAACTCAGAGAGGTTTGGTGGTGGTGGAGGGGGGCACTAACTCAAAGTCACAAGGTAAGTGGAAGTAGGGCTTAGTGGGTAGAGGGGAGAGGACAGAACTAAGTGGTAGAAATTTTAACATGTTGATTAGAAGTCCCTTAACTTTCCTAACCCATTTCTTTCCACCCTGTCACGAAAAATTTGGTGTGGTAGTGGGAGGCCTTAGGCAAGCTATTGACTGTTTTCTCAGGAATTGAGGGTGTGGGAGTTTTGATCTTTAGGGTTCTTGGTCGATCTGTAGGCTTAAAATCAGCTTGTAGTCTCAGATCTTCTATTAACTGGTTTCATTACTTAGGGCAAGTCATTTTACTTATACAGGTCTCAGTTTCCTCTCCTACAAAATGGGTATGTTTGGACTTGAAGGCTCTCCAGCTATGAGATGCTAAGATGAGAAAGAACATCTTGGCAGGGGACTGTTAACTCTAGGACTGAGACTAGGAGGAGGTACCTGTAAGACCCTGAGAATGACTGTCTCCTTAAAGGTTGCTCCTAGGGACCTATCCTGCCTCACCCTATTCCAGTCTCATCAACTCTCCCCTTGATGGTTGACATTCTCAAGGTTCACCTCTAAGTCTCTCTATGAGTTTCCTAGGGCCGCCTTAACAAATTATGCAAACATGGTGGCTTAAAACAAGAGAAATTAATTTTCTCACAGTTCTGTAGGTTAGAAGTCTGAAATCAAGATATTGGCAGGGTTGGTTCCTGCTGGATGCTCTGAAGGAGAATCTGTTCCAAGCCTCCTTCCCAGCTTCTGGTGGCTCCAGCAATCCATGGTGTTTTTTGGCTCGTAGATGCATCCTGCATTCTCTACCTGTCTCTTCACATTGCTTTCCCTTCTGTGTATCTCTGCATGTCAAATCTCTCTCTACTTTCTCTTATAAAGACACCAATCTTTGGATTTAAGTCCCACTCTAAATCTAAGATGATCTCATCCTAAGATCTTTAACTTAGTTTTATCTGCAAAAACCCTATTTCCAAAAAAGTCACAATAACAGGTACTGGGGGTTAGGACTTGAACATATCTTTTTAGGGGACACTATTCAACCACTACGGTCTCAAATTCCACCATTCATTCAACAAAACTTATTGAATGCTCACAGCATACCAGGATCTGCACTAGGTTCTGTCCTAGAGTGGTAAGTCCTACTCAGTCTCTTTCCTATAGAGGATAAAAGGAGACACATACATATGCAACTACAGAACTGCATGTTAAGTGCAATGGTTGAGAGATACAGAGATTTTTTTTCAGGAGCTCAGAGGCAAGACAACCAGCCCAGTGCAGATAAATAAGGAAGGCCTGATACATAGCTGAGTAAGATTTAGGCTACCAGGAGTACAAGGTACAGGGGCCAGAGGGCTACACAATCCTAACTGAATGGATAGCACAAGCAATTGGATGATCAAAAGCAAGAGGAGATAAGGGATCTCTGTGTCTTTCCCCTTGGCTTCAGATGTCTTCCTGTTCCTTGATATTTCATTGGAATCAGCTCTACTCCTAGTTCCACTACTACTGTCTCCTCTTGCTCTTCCCCCTGCTGTGAGAGAGTAGAGTTTGCAACAGCTGTTAGGCACAGACTTGACTTTCAGGTTGTACAACGGTGATGTTGAACAGTGCAGGCTTCTCCTCAGTAGCAGGATAAATGCACCCCTGGTAAAGAAGATGTATTTGTGCACTTTGATTCTTTTCTTTTTTTTTTTTTTTTTGGAGAACACAATTAATGATGCTCATTGAGGTGAACTGGAATTGATGGATGATCAGTCCTCCTCTCACTCTGGGTTGAAGCCCTATTGAAGGCCCCAGAGACACTGCTGGTGAGCTCAAGTCTTCCCAATGCATGGAAAGGGCTGTCCCCAAAAGAGCTGGGAGGGTTCATCTGGCCACACATATCCTCAAGGGCTCACGGTCTTTCACTGATTGGGGTAAGACCTCTTTCCTCCAAGGACCATGCCAAAATGCACATGTGTATGCAAGGGAGGGACAGGATAACCTAGGGCAGTCACTAATCCTAGGATGGCAAACAAGCAGCACTTATAATGCCATTGTCCCTGGAGGGCTCAGGGCAGACATTGTGAATCAATCCTTGCACCCTTGCTTGCTGAGCTAAGCTCTGGCCACAGTCCTTCTCAAATGAGCATTCTAAGAACCCCCTGCCAATCAATCACAGTTGGCAGCAGAAATGAAATCCATTTGCCATCTTTGCATTAATCTTTTATCAGAGATTAATTTGTTCAATTAGTCATAGATTTTCAACAACAATAATGCTTTGCCTGGCAGAGACCAGGGTCCCAGGGGAATGGGTTGCAGAGGGGAATTTTTCATTATCTTGATGTGTCATTGAGGAAATGAGCAAGAAGTCTGGAAATTTATAAGCTGTGTGTGATAGAATTGGTCATGAAGGGCCCTGTCAGGCCTCTCCAGGCTTGGAGTGGCCCTCATATTTCCCCTGTTCTGCAGTTCTGTCTAGCTGTTGAAAAGTTTATATACTTTTTATTCCATCACAGCACAAACACAGTTCTGGCATTTTTCTCCATATTGTACTTCGTGTTCCCAGACTACGGTGTTTTATGTTCTGTTGCCATCAATTATTAAATACTCGTATCCTTTGAAATTTCAGGGCTTTCTCTGAGATGTAACAAGAGAGGATATGGGGAGAAGCACATGCCTTCCTGCCCCCTTTTGCCCCCAAATGATAAAGTTTAAGAGTGCTGGACCTTGATCATGGAGGGATGACCAAGCAAGATGATTCAGGATGCGGTGGCGACCACCTTGTGAATGTGTCTGTGTGTGTTGTGGGGGCAGCCAATCACAGTCACTCAGCCCTGTGAGTGTGTGTCTGGAAGGCTAGTGGGGGTGGGGGAAGATTATTTTTATGAGAGATTAAGGAGTTTCCTGGGAAGAGGGAGTCAGACAGGACTTAGGCTCAGGAAAAAAACCACTGTCTTCATAGGGGTTGTCACTTGGACTTGCCCACAGCTCAGTGTCCTGTGGACACATATAAGACCCAGGGTACAGATGAAAGGTACAGATGAAAGGATATTTTTTAATGAAGACCTTGATAGACCTTTGGCGTAGGAGCCACCTCATTTTGGCACCAGATGATAGAGCTTCCCATGAGAGAGGAGGCCGAGGAAGAGGAACATTTCCTCCCTCTAGGCACAGAATGCAGTGTGGCTTCAGTTCTCATAGGCTCCAGATGCTCTAGTCCCAGTTTGGCAACTTCAGGATTCCAGAGTATTGGACATTGCTGTGGGGGTGGAGGTAGGAAATGATGAGGGTGATTGCACCTGGATGCCACTGTGCTTGGAGATAGCCAAGTTGATAGTCCTAGAAAATAAAGAATAGCAGAGGAGGGGAATGACTGCTGCTATATGATCAGTCATAGGACATGTTCACAAACACATGTGAGACACATCTGAGGACTCCCAGAAATAACTGGGGGGTGGGGGTGGGGGTTGGTCAGAGACAGTTATCAGGGAGCGACATCTATTTATTCTGATGTCTTCTTCCCACACTGGACTTGCCCTCTTTGAGGACATAAACTTCACCTACCATAGGTTTTGCATAAACAATTCTTACATGAATAAATGGACACTTGTGCAGTGCAGCACTTGCTCATAAATATTCTCCCAGTGCAACTTTGCATCCCTTCTGGGAATCAGATATGTCCCTCTCCATTTATAGAGACAGTCTGGAATGGTGGAAAGAATCCAGACTTGGGGCCAACAGAGCTGAGTTAGCAGTTATTATGAGTCACTTGACATCTTGATTAAGAAAGGTAAGATATTTAGAGTGCACCCGGCATTAATAGAATAGGATGGTGATCCGTTAATGGCAGAAAAATGAACAATCTGTGATTATTCATCTAGTTAGATTGGGCACAGATTTGAACAGAGTCTTTTCACTCTAAATTCAGTTTTGTCTTCTCCCCACTCCTCCCACCCTTCACTGCATTGGCAAGAAGCAGTGGCAATGTGGAAACTGTTGTGGCCATTGGGTGTTCAGAGGTCTGGGGCCAGATGGAGGGGTGGGGACCCACGCTTCAGTTCCCAGCTGGCCTGGGACCTCAGCCACAGGCAAGTATCTTTCAAGAGAGTCTGAAGGTCTAAGGCTGCCTCTAAATCCTGGGGCTGGACTCACCAGCTCTTAGACCCAGCACAACGGGTCGGCTGCTGGAGGTGTCAGAGACCAGGGAAGGTCAAGCTGGAAGTTTGAGGCCAACCAGGAAAAAGGCTGGCTGGCCTCTCCCTGGGGTTTTCAAAAGCTCCAGTAGTGTCATTTGTTAGAATGAAGAGTTCTGCAGCAAGTGAAGGGAGGCTGTGTGCTGTTTGCAATGAGAACACGTCCACCCTGACCCAGCACTCCACAGGCTCACTGCAAGAAGCCCAGGTTCCGGTGGAATCTCTTGGAACAAGCGAAAATCATTTTTACAATTTTCAAAAACATGTTTTTACAGAAATAACACGAGCATAGTTGAACAATTCAAACAGTGTGGCCTGGCTTTGGCTTATGATGAACAACAGCCATCCCCTCCTTCCCACCCCAGGCACCACGCCCTAAAGAGCTGCCACTGCTTTTTCAGTTCATCTTTGTATTTCTAAATTACACAATCGTACTTTGGTTTCTTTGTCTTCCAGTTTTAGATTTATCCATTCCTTTTTTTTTCTTTTTCTTTCTTTTTTTTTTTTTTGAGATGAAGTCTTGCTCTGTTGCCAGGCTGGAGTGCAGTGGCATGATCTCAGCTCACTGCAACCTCAGTCTCCTGGGTTCAGGTGATTGCCCTGCCTCAGCCTCCCAAGTAGCTAGCAGTACAGGCGCGCACCACCATGCCAGGCTAATTTTTTGTATTTTAGTAGAGACGGGGTTTCACCATGTTGGCCAGGATAGTCTCGATCTCCTGATCTTGTGATCTGCCCGCCTCAGCCTCTCAAAGTGCTGGGATTACAGGCTTGAGCCACTGTGCCCGGCCTATCCATTGACTTTTATTTCAAGATTAGGATTTAGCCCAAAATTTTATGTACACACATGACCCTCCACTCTTCTCTTCCCCCAGTCTTTTTATTTCACCAAATTTGATTAAATAAATATTCAGTATTTACGTTAGTATGACTATAAATATAATTGACAACTAAACAGATTACTGTTCTACAGTTACATTTCTTTTCTCCAAAACTTATTGCTTATTCTTTTCCAGGAGAGTTGGGAAGTGGGGATTATTGTCTCATTTTTAATTTGCTTTATCTTCATGTCTTTATCACTAAATTTACCAAGTCTCCTTCCTAATGTGGCAGGCAATCTATCAGTTTCACAGCTTCCTTGGGGACATCCACCCTGGATTCCTCTATGTTTCCTGGTTTCCCTTCAGGCCTTCTGCATACTTGTGACTGTCATCCTGTGACCTCTCTTCACTGTGGTTACAAGAGGTCCCTGTGCCCTCTATTTGATTTATTCCACTTTCTTAGGTTATTCCCTTGTTTGATGACTCATGACCTCCTGTGGCTTCCTGAGAAAGGGTGCACCACTTTGAGACTCTGAATGTTTGAAAATGTCTTTATTGGTAACTGATAATTAATATTTTGACTATGGAGTGCCCATTTAAATATCGTATTTCCTTCTTATTTTGAAGGCTTTGCACCATTGTCTTCTAACTAGCTGTTAGAAGCTTCTGTTTAGAGAGGTCTGATGCCACTCACTATTATTTTTTTCTTTTCTTTTCTTTTTTTTTTTTTTGAGACAGAGTCTTACTCTGTTGCCCAGGCTGGAGTGCAGTGGTGCAATCTTGGCTCACTGTAACCTCTGCCCCCTGGGTTCAAGTGATTCTCCTGCTTCAGGCTCCTGGGTAGCTAGGATTACAAGCATGTGCCACCATGCCCGGCTAATTTTTATATTTTTAGTAGAGATGGGGTTTCTCCATGTTGGTCTCAAACTCCTGACCTCAGGTGGTCCACCCTCCTCGGCCTCCCAAAGTGCTGGGATTACAGGCGTGAGCCACCAAGCCCAGCCTGATGTCACTCATTCTTGATCATTACGTGTGACTTTTGTTTGTTTCTCTCTGGAAAATTTTGCCCCATATTCTAAAACTTCATGATCATGTGCTTTGGTGAGAGCAGGTTTTTGTTGTCTTTGTTTGTTTTTTTAAATCCATCCATTGTGTTGGGCAGTGGATAAGCCCTTTTAATCTGGAAACTCTGATTCTCACTCCTGGGAAATATCCTTGTATTTTTTATTTGGTAATTTTTCCCCCTCTTTCCTCTGTGCTATCTTTTTGGAACTCCCGTTGTCAGATTTTAGAACTCCTGAATTAATAATTTTATTTCTTAGGGGACCCCCTTAGTTTCTGTCTTTTAAAACAATTCTACCTCTTGGGAATATTTCTCAATTTTATCTTCTATTCTTTTTATTACATTTTAAAATTTCAATTATTTTAACAAATTTCATAAAACTCCTTTTCTCTCTTCTTTTTTCAAAAATAACATCATATTCTTATTTGCATATGAAACATTTTCTCTCCTTTAAGTATTTATTCAAAAAAGTTTTTTCTCTCCCTGGATTCTCTGTTTCCTCCAAGTTCTTTTTCTTTTTTCTTTTAGTTTGTTTGTGGTTATTTGATCTGGTCTTGGCTTTTGCCACTCCGGAGATCCTTGGCTGGCATTTCTCACTGGCTGCGTGTGGCTTGGTGACTAGAAGACTTTGCTGCAGGGACGTCAGGCAGGTATTTGATGTTTTCTGGGGGGAACTCAAATTATAGAGTGTTTTCTCTTGGGGCAGTTTTCCAGAGAATACTTTTGCAGTTTCTTGCCTGAATATAAATCTGGCTGCCTGGGAACCAAGGGAGGCAAGGAGAGAGCTGGGACTTTCAGTGAGGCCTCACCCTCACTCACTGGTTCCCTTGGACTGTTCCAGGCCAGAGCATGTCTGATTCCATTTCTCTGGAGTAAAATGCTCCAGTTTTCTGTCTATGCAACATGAGAGCAGGGATTCCATGTTGGTATCACTCAGGACAGGCATCTGTAACAAATAATACTGAACTCTCAAAAACTTAACAAACGTTTGTTTTTCCCTCTTTTGGGCAGCATACTAGGACAGTTTTCTCCTACCCCAAGGTCCTGGCATGGGCTCCAGGGACAGGACTTGGAGCAGCCATTCTCCCTCTTTCTTTTTGGCTGAGTCCCAATTTTATTTGTGTCTACACCTCCACTATGGAACCCAGGGGGACATCCTGACTCTGCTAAGCCAGTCAAGTCAGTCTCATTTCCCCTTGCTAGCAATTGGTGTAGAGATGGGCATGTCACCCAGTTCCAGCCAATGACACATGGGGGAGGTCTGCTCAGACAGGATTCCTTGCTCTTAAATAGAAGAAATAACCTCCCTTCTTACTACCTGGACATGATGCCAGGAATGTTGGCTGACGCCTTGTGACCCCGAGGGGAGCTGGTCTCTGAGGCAGAAAGGTCTAAGCTGAGAATAGGTGAAAGGAAAGAAGGAAGGAGCTTGGATCCTACATGGCATCATGGAACTTCTTATGAACCCATTGCACAGCCACTCTACCTGGGGGATCCCTTCTTAGGTACCTGAGCCCAGAGGTCCAAGCTGGGTGCAGGCTTGGTCTGGGGTATGAGATTGGTCTTGGGCCACACAGTCAGAGCCAGACAAGGGGCAAAAATGTAAGGTGGTGGTGCCTGCTGTTTAGGAATGCTCTGGAATCCTGGCTTCACCACTTACTCAGTAGGTGAACTTGGTGAGCTACTTAATGCATCTAAACCTCACTTGTAATAACTTCCTCATTTGTAAAATGAAAGTAATCATGGTAACTTCCTTCTAAGTTCTTGAGATTATCAAATGAGATAACACCTGTCCAGAGCTCAGAACTGTGCCTGGTGCATAACAAGTGCTCAGACTGTCCGAGGCTGGATCCGCTGTGTGCTGAGCCACAGCAGCCTCAAGCTGTCTGTGAAAGGGATGGTGAGTCCCAGAGTGGGCTGGGGCCAAGTGGACACCAGCACCCTCTATGGCAGCGGGGAGAGGGCTTTCAACAATTTGAAATAGCACCAAGCTGTGGAAGTCACGATACTGCAAGTTATGGAGAAAATACATTAGACCAGTGGTTCTCAAACTTGTGCATGGAAATTGGCATTTCTAATGAGTTGTCAGGTAATATCAATACTGCTGGTCTGGGGATCACTTTGTTAGACGAGGTCAAAGAAAACAAGACTCTGAGGGAAAATCATTTGAGGTTGGTGTCTTTTTTAAATATAAAATTTATTTTATTAAAAATTGTTACTATGGAAGATGCAAGAGGACATAAAAGTAGAGAGGAATATACTGAGCCCTCATGCACCCATCACTCAGCTTCAACATGTGCTAATTCATGTCCCATCTTGTGTCCACTGGTGCTTTTTGAATGTGCTCCCTCTCTCTCCCCACAACCAACAGCACAGGCCCCGGCCCCACCTCAGGCCTGCTCCCAGGGCTCAGAAAGAGGCACATTGCTGGGGTCCAGCTGCATGGAGAAATGGCTGAGTCAGGCTGATTCTGAAGAAAGTCAAGGCTGGGCATTTCTTGATACTCATCTGTCACACAAACATTATCCACTCCATCATGTGCTGGTAGCAGATGTAGCATCTAGCTATCCCTGGCCAGCAGCTCAGCTGGATGTCTAAGACTGTATACAGGTGGTTGTAACCACCACAGTCTTGGGCTCTGAAGATTTGCTCTCCTCCAAATGAGCCAGTCTCCTGGCCAGCCATTCATTCAATCAGCCACAGTACATTGTCCACTTCTGTGTTGAGTGCCAGGGAGACTAAGATGAATATGATCCACCCCAATGGAGAAGACAGGTAGGTAAATGGTGACCATAAGACAACGGGCTAAATGCCCAGGTAAAGCCCATGCATAAAGTGTCATGGGACCACAGAGGAGGGTGTCCCAAACCCAGCTAGGGAGGCAGGCCATCCAGGGAAGGCATCCTGACTTGATGCTGGAGCATAGCTTCTAGGCTGCTGAGGAGAAGCCCTCCACATCTTTGTTGCTGGGCTTCCTTGTCTCTTGCTCTTTGTCCCAACTCTTTTGAGCTCATGGTTCCTGTAATTTGCATGCATTCTTCTTGTCCAATTATCAGGATACTACTGTCCATCTCTCCTCCATACAGAGCCCGAATCCAGCTGTGGCCTTCTGTTTTATGAGCCCATGTGGAGTAGGGGTGATTGGATAACATCATTTGGGGTCAGCCAGAGGTTGAAGGTCAGCTACTCCAGGATGAAGCATCACAGCTCTCTATCCTGAATTTCCTCACTTATTACTCTAAGTCACCTAGCGATGAATTGCACAACTTCTACTGGTTCCTGTATAGAAGCTGGGTGATTCTGGGGTAGCCTGCATTATGCATGATAGACATGGGGTAATGCCTGCGCACTTGCACATGCAGGGATGGTGTTGATGCCAGAAGGGTTGTGCAGCCAGGAAAGGTTTTTTTTTTTTGTTTTTTTTTGTTTTTTCCTCTCTCTAGACTGGGTTGGGAGGCAGATAGGCCCGGGGTCTCACAGTGCATTGCACATTGTGATATCAGTGCAATCTCCTAAGATTCTCAGAGCAATGCGGGGCTAGGTCTTCCTTTAAAGAGGGCTTTGGCCCCAAAGGGGTCCTGGTACTGGTATGTTATAGGAGCCTCATGGGGAAGGGTAGAAGGAAGCTCACAATTGATGCACTTCAAATTTCCCCTTTACAAAAATTTCTGTTTACTAGCCCACTGATCACACCAGAACCCTTTGTTCAAGATCTCTCTTTCCATGACTAGATACAACCCCACAAATTTATCATCATCTTTATATTTAATTAAATTGTTGTCTCCTATTTAATATTTTCAATTAAGCTCCTAAAACCAGATCTTACTTATAGATCTAAGTTTTCCCTTGTAGGTTCTTTCAAAGACTTTTTTTTTTATCACTATTAATCCCCTATAATAAATAACATCAACTCCAATAATGCTACACCAGATACTTTCCCCGACTCCTGTCTCCCTGCACATTTATTATTGACTCAATTTATGTTCCTTTAAATCAGTTTCAGTCTGGGTGGCAATACTCTCATTTACTGACTGATCAATTTGAATTTGTTTTATAAGATTCCATTAATTACTCTGTCCGATTCTCTTGCAGTGCCTGGAAACAGTGCATCTCTTAGAATTCCCTGTAGGCCCTGTGGCTGTATATTTTCATGGAAATGGTCTTTAGGTTAGGGCTAGTGAGTCCTCAGATGCTCATATTGTCAAGTGTTTTCAGTCTTATTCTCAGCAAGGAACAGAGGGCTGAATTGCTCTGTGGTCTGGCTCTTTCTGACATCATAGTCCTGTAGGTATGACCCCTTCCCCAGTGAATCCCCTGGAAGTTTTGCAGGGAAGAGGAAGTAAAGTTTGAGAGGGGGTGGTCAATCTGTATATGGTGGATATTTGGCGGCTCATGTGCCCTTCCTGTCATGCATAGTTTGGGTTGTCTAGGGTCTGTCTAGTCTGCCATACATCCAAGCCCCTCCTTGGGTAGAGCATGAATATGTAGACCTGAACCTCCCCTTCTTATTAGCCAGAGGTACAGAGGACACCTGTGCTTTGATACAAAGCCACCAAATCCTTTTTCACAATCCAAACTCCTCTGTTGGTACTGTCTTCGGAGTCATGCACAACAGCCACCCCCCCAATCCAGCCTCCTCTGCTTCTGTCATTTGAAAAGACAATAATTTTGTTTTTCTCTGATGGTCAATTACTTTACACCCTTTCAGTTGGTTAGTTACTTACAGGGAGAATGCTAGGCAGGACGCTCAAATCTTCGCTGCAACACTCAAGTACAAAAGGACGGATGCACATGACAAACTCAGGCTGCTGGTTAGGTGAGCACCACCTTCCAAAGGTGCTGAGCATAAACTTACTGAAGGGCAACCTGGCTGCCAAATCTGTGCCAGGTGTCATGCCTCCCCTTTTGACCATGGATATTTGGAAAAAAGGCAGAGGCTTAGACTAGGTCTGGCCTATTGTCTGGAGCAACACAGGAGCTGGTCCAATGAGATGCTTCTTTCAGGACATGGGAATGGTACAGTGAAAGGCAGGTCAGTTGATACTGAGTGTGGAGATTCGAACACGTGAACAATGGCTGAGGCAGGTGAATAATGGCAGAGCACTGGATGAGGCTGTTTAAACTCCTATTGCTAAAGTTCCATGGCCATCCTGACTGTGGAAACTCAGTTAGTTTTCAGTTTCTTTGAGGTTGGCAGTGATTTCTGCATCAAACTCCTCAAACACTGCATAACTGGGTAGTGTTACCCTGCTCCACCCATCCACACGTGTGCATGTGTACACTCACACTCACACACACACACCACTTTCTTAAGTTAGCTTGGGTGATCTTATCTTTTTGCAAAACGAAACACCTTGTCTCAAATAAGTGGTAATTTACTAGAGTAGTGTAGAAGAGTTGATAATGCTGTGTTGGAGCCTCATTCTAATGTCTCCCAGGAGAGTGTGTCTTTAACGAGGGCAAAGACATAGAGGCCAGTAACATAGTGTGTGTACATTTAGGCCACAAGGCTGATTCAAGAGGGAAAAACAAAATAAAATATGTCTGTTTCCACTTAGGGCCTGAAAAATTCTATGCAATATGAATTAGGAGGTTTCTTTATGACAAAAGGCATTTTTGAGGCAGAAGAAATTGCCTGAGAGCAAGAATGAAGACCATAGAGACAATAGAGAATCACTGTCCTTAGAAGCAAGATGATCTAAGATTTGACTCTCTTTCACCGCACCTTGCTGGGCAGAACTGATGGTGGTCATTCAGCCTCTGCTTGGATGTCTTTGGTGATGGGAGCCCACTCTTCCTTCCCTCCTAAAGGAACCTCTTTAATTTACAGACTGTGTAAATCTGTTGGCTTTACTGACAAGTTTCTATTCTGGAATGAGCACCCAGGTTACTTTTTCTTTGGAGAATCACCCCTCCTCCAGTCTCAGTCTTTGTGGTTTGGGCAGGGCTGATCCCACCTCCCAGCCTTAGTGGAGGGTCTGTTAAATCCAAGTCTGGTAAATCATCATGTTTCACACCATGTTTGTATGATTGGTTCTAGAATGGGCATGTAACCCAAGCTGTCCAATGAAAATCAGTTTTGGGAGTTTTGATGGCACCCTTGGGAAGGAGACACATTCATTCTCCTGGTTATTAAAGTAGGTAGAATCTAAGCCTGGTGCTGCCAGTGGCCCTCTTGCCACCACTGAAGAAGAAAATGCCTAATAATGAAGCCAACATAGAGAAAAACAGTATAGAAAGATGAAGTGCTTAAAATCTTTCTCTGGACTTTCATGTTAAGTGAGCAAATAAACTTTCCATCTGGCTTAAATCTATTTGTGTTTGATTTCTGAGTCCTGAATTATCAGGAAGCTTTAAATTATTATAATTTTATTGCTTTTTTATTTATTGGAGTGACTTCTCTACAACCTAACCCGTTCAATTTTTGTTCTGCCCTGTGGGTTAGACAGAAAACATCCACATTCTCTTTTAAAGGAAGTCTTTGTTTAAAGACATTCTTGCTTGCCTGAATTTTCACTTCTTCATTTTAAACTCACCAATCATTAGATTTTGATCTATTTACCTTATGATAAGATTTCCAGTCTCCTCACCATGCAGGTTACCTTCTTCTAGACAAACCATGGCTTCTCCTTCCAATTCCCCTCTTAATTGTGGCTCCCACATCTGAGCCTTGGATTCCAAAGCGGATTTGATCAGACTGGAGTGCACAAGGCTACACTTTCCTCGCTGGGATGGACACTCTAGTAATTCAGTTTAAGATTCCAAGATTCCATTCATAGTTTCAGCGGCTGTGGTGAACTTTTGATATATTGAGGTTATGGTTATATAAAACCTCTGTTTTTCGTAACAGTTGTAGAGAAGCCAGGGCTACTCTGTCCTTCACTTAACCACTAGGTATGAATTCTGTGGCCACATGAATTTGAATCCAGGCTTTCTTCATTCACTAACTGTGCAACCCTGAGAAAGCTGCTAAACTACCATAGGGCCTTGCTCTTCAAGGTGTGGTACAAGGACTTGTTTTCATCAAGCAGCTTGTTAGAAATGCAGCATCTTTTTTTTTTTCTTTTTAAAATAGAGACAGGGTCTCTCTATGTTGCCCAGGCTGGTCTTGAACTCCTGGGCTCAAGGGATCCTTCTGCCTTGGCCTCCCAAAGTGCTAGGATTACAGGTGTGAGCCACCATACCCAGCCCAGAAATGCAGAATCTTAAGCTCCATCTTAAACCTATGAATTAGAATCTGCATTTTAACACAATCCCCAGGTGATCTGTGTGGACATTAAACTATAAGAAGCACTTTCCTAGGATATAGATTATTTTCTCACCCATGTAGAAAGTTTATTTTTTAAAGAGTTTTATTGAGGTATGTCTTGTGGCACATAATTCACCCATCTAAGTATACAACTTAATGTTTTTTAGTATGTGCACATGGTTGTGACATCATCACCACAATCTAATTTTAGGTATTTTTTCTCCTCCTTAATAAAAATTCTGTACCTAGTAGCAGTCAATTTGCATTTCTCTCCTAACCCTATCCCAGCCTTAAACAATCATTAATCTACCTTCTGTCTCTATGTATATATCTGTCTGGACATTTCATAGAAATGGAATCATAAGGTATGTGATCTTTTATGCCTGACTTATTTAGTATAATGCTTTCAAGATTCATCATGTTGTAGTATGTGTCAATACTTCATTTCCTTCTTACTGGCAAATAATATTTCATTGCATAGATGTATCACATTTTGTCT
Source organism: Homo sapiens (assembly GCF_000001405.40). Classification (NCBI taxonomy): domain Eukaryota; kingdom Metazoa; phylum Chordata; class Mammalia; order Primates; family Hominidae; genus Homo; species Homo sapiens. The sequence goes on from NC_000003.12 coordinate 134,719,861, forward strand.
ATCAACTCATCAACGAATGAACATTTGGGTTGTTCCTACTTTTCACTTATTATAAATAATGCTCTATGAACATGTATGCATAAGAGTTTTTAAGGATATATGTTTTCATTTGTCTTGGGTATATACCTAGGAGTAGAATAGATGGGTTGTATGGTAACCCTACATTTATCGTTTTGAGGAACAAACAGTTTTCCAAAGTGGCTGCACCATTTTACATTCCAACCAGCAATGTATGAGGGTTCCAATTTCTTCAATTCTTTACAAACACAATTGTCTGTCTTTTAATTATATCTTCTTAGTGGGCATAAAGTGGTATCTCATTGTGGTTTTGATTTGCATTTCTCTAATAACCAATGATGTTGAGCATCTTTTCACATTCCTGTTGGTCATTATACATACTATTTGGAGAAATGTCTATTCGAACTTTTTTCCCATTAAAAAATAGGTTACTTTTCTTTTTAATATTGAGTTATAAGAATGTATTATTTATTGTAGATACAAGTTCTATTTAAAATATCTGATTTGCAAATATTTTCTCCTATTATTTGGTTTGTCTTTTCACTTTCTTAATGATGTCCTTTGAAGCACAAAAGGTTTTAATTTTGACAAAGTCTAATTTATCTGTTTTTTCCTTTGCTGCTTGTGCTTTTGGTGTCATACATAAACAATTCAGGGCAAGCCTTAGATAATAAAGATTCACCACTGTGTTTTCCTCTGAGAGTTTTATGGTTTAAGTGCTTTTATGATTTAAGTGATCCATTTGATCCATTGATCCATTTTGAGTTAATTTTTGTATGTGGTGTGAGGTAGGGTCCAACTTCACTCTTTTGCATATGGAAATCCAGTTTTCCCAGCACCATTTGTAAAAGAGGTTATTCTTTCCCCATTGATGGTCTTGGCACTCTTGTCAAAAATTGATTGACCATAAATATAAGAGTTTATTTCTGGACTCTCAATTTTATTTCATTGATCAATCTGTTTGTCCTTATGCCAGTACCACACAGTATCGATTACTGTACATCGTAGTAACTACTGAAATCAGGAAGTGTGAGTCTTCCAACTTTGTTTTCCTTTTTCAAGATTGTTTTGGCTATTTTGCGTCTCTAAAATTTCCACATGAATTTAGCTCTCATTTATGCAAAAAAGGGAAGTTGGGATTTTGATAGGTATTGCATTGAATCTGTAGGTTAATTTGGGGAGTATTGCCATCTGAATAATATTAAGTCTTCCAAACTATTAGCATGGTATGTCTTTCCACTTATTTAGCTCTTCCTTAATTTTTTCACCAATACTTTGTAGTTGTCAGCATACAAATCATAAAAGTCTTGCATTTCTTTTGTTAAATGTATACCTAAGTATTTATTCTTTTTGGTGCTATTGTAAACAGCTTTTTTAAAAAAAATTCTGATTTTGGAGTGTTTATTACTGGTATAAAATACAGTTGATTGTAATATATTGACCTTGTATTCTGCCACATTGCTGAACTCGTTTATTAGTTCCAGTTGTGTTTTAGTAGATTTCTTAGGATTCCTGTGTACAGGATGATGTAATCTACCAGCAGATTTTACTTCCTCCTTTCTAATCTTGATGCCTTTTTTTCTTTCTCTTACCTAGTGGCCCTTACTGGAGCCTCCAGTACATGTTAAATAGAAGTGATGAGAACAGACATCCTTAACTTGTTCCTGATCTTTGAGGGAATGTTTTCAGGCTTTCACCATGTGGTATGATGCTAGCTGTGGATTTAAAAAGAAATAAATTTCCTTAATCGGATTGAGGAAATTCCCTTATGTTTCTAGTTTGTTGAGTGCTTTCATTATGAAATAATATTGATTTTTGTCAAATGCCTTTTATGCATTTATTGAAATAATCTGATGCTTTCTGTCCTTTATTTTATTAATGTGATGTCATATATTAGTTGATTTTTGTATGTTAAACTAATCTCCATTTGCAGGACAAATCCCACTTGTGCATAGTATATCATTCTTTTAAAATATTGCTGGATTTAGTTTGTTAGTATTTTGTTGAGGGTTTTGCATCTATATTTATAAGAGATCTTGTTCTACAAGTTTCTCTTTTCCTTGTGATATCTTTGTCTGGTTTTGGCATTAAGGTAACATTGGCTTCATAGAATGAGTTGGAAAGTGTTTCCGTCTCTTCTAAGTTTTAAGAGTTTGTAAAGAATTTTGTATTAATTCCTTTTGGAATATTTAATAGAATTCACCAGTGAATCCCTCTGGGCTTGGGCTGTTCTTTTTGGGAAGTGTTAATATTACATATTTGATGTCTTTACTTGTTATAGGTCTATTCAGATTTTCTATATCTTCCCAAGTCAGTCTTGGAGATGTGCATCTTTCTAGAAATTTGTTCATTTCATCCAAGTTATCTAATTTGTTGGCATACAGTATTCTCCTATACTGTATATATACAGTACAGTATTCTCCTATACTGTATATATACAGTACAGTATTCTCCTATACTGTATATATACAGTATAGTATTCTCCTATAATCCCTTTTACTTCTGTAAGTTGGTAGTGATGTCTTCTCTTTCATTCCCGATTTAATAACTTGAATCTTCTCCCTTTTTTTCTTGATCAGTCTTACTAAAGGTTTGTCAATTTGGTTGATCTTATTAAAGAGCCAGCTTTGGTTTTGTTGATTTTCATATTGTTTTTCTATCCTTTCTTTCATTCATTTCCATTCTAATTTTTATTTGCTTTATTCTGCTTGATTAGGATGTAGTTTGTTATTCTTTTTCTAGGATGTCATTTTTATGTAATCTGAGAAAAGAGAACAATAACATCTGCTTCAAAGTGTTCTAGTGATTTAAAAAAATGTGTGCCTGGTAGGTAGCAGGTATTCAATAAATGTTAGCTCCTTTCTTTATTTATTCACTCTGGTGGTTTTAGGCCCATATATTCAGCCTGTTGATACCAATTTGAATTTTGATATTGTTATCAGGGCACTAGTCATGCTGCTCAGCTGTGTATCTCTGCAAATTCAATAAAAGATGATTCCAATGCCTACATCCAAGATGTGGATAAAAACAGTGGAGCAGAGCAAAAGCTGATAGCATGCCACTGCAAGCCTTTTCCAGATGGACAACTATCTATTAGTCAATGTTCTTTGGGCACAGCAGTTTAGCAATAAGTCCACTCGGCTGTCCACATTTGCCCTTGCCAAATGCCCTGCTAAAGCTGTGTTGTCTGTGGCACTTCCAGTTACCTCATCCTTATGGCTGCTGGCTTCACTCATCTGTCATCTGTTCTTCTTCAGAGGTATGGTAGAATGAATTATTGGCCCTAATTTTTCACCCCTCCCTGTGTCCACACCCTTGGCATAGTCTCCTTATGAGTGGAGTGTATGTTTCACCCTTGACTTTGAAATTGGCCATATGATTTGCTTTGACTAGTGGCATGTGGATGACAGCCATAGCGTGCTAGTTCCAAGCCCTAAGCCTTAAGAGATTTCACCTGTTTCTGTTTACTGTCTTGTACCCCTGCCATCACCCTGAGAAGAACATACTTCTAGTCCTCTGGTACAAAGAAGGATAAGAAATACGTGTAACCAAACTAGGTCCACGATTCTGCAGCACAATACTAGCCTATGTAGTTCACCCATGGATCCCTGAAAGTAAATTGTAATTGTTTCAAGCCAAAGAGCTTTGGACTAATGGGTTACACAACTTTATTAGAGCAATAGCTGACCAATATACTAGGAAAGACCCATTTGAAAGCTGTGCATGTGGGATTTCAGTGGGTATGAGAAGGAGCGATGGAACCACCTTAAAGGTGAGACTCTGCTCTGAACTAGTGGGAAGAGCTTTGGGGTAAGGATGGCTTAGGAGGTGTCTAATCCTGGCCCAGCAATCTTGGAGCAGCTCTCACCTCTCTCTATCTGTAATATAAAGGCCTCCCACCAGCACAGTGGTCCTCTGCCATTTTTCTGGGTGTGGGGCATATCTGGTGGACAATGACAGTATATAAGATGCATTTCCTCCACAAGACGCAGATTTTAACAAAACTCTAGAAGAGTATTTTGGAGAATGAAGTCACTACAATAATTGACAACCACCACCACAACTGCAGCAGAGTGCTCACACAGGGCTACGGCTTAGATCCTAAGTGCTGTGGGTGACATGAAAATCCAGTATCTCTACAGGTTTTTCCAACTCTTTATTTTCCATTCAAGAAGGGAGTGGGGTGAGATTGCTATTATCCACCAGCAGAGGCTGATTCCCTGGGATGCGAGTGAAACTTCAAATTCACGCCCCTCACTCACAGGCCACTGTCAAGACCATGGGAGGGACCTTAGATGTGCCTATGTGATTCTACATTTCTTACTGAATTTGTAAAGGTAAGAAGTTTTAAATACAACTGGAAGACCCCAGTGTCACTGTCCGTTCTCTCTTCTGCTCTGTCAAACTTCTCTTTCTGTCAGGTGGCATTAGAATGGCCAAAGGCTTTTCTGGTATCTGCTAAGGGGGTTTGAGTTGGGATGTATTTAGTTTAGGTTTAGTGGGATATATTTCTGTGGTTTGCATCACTCTCAAGGATAAGTCATTGCTGGCCATGTTGGTATAGAAATGGCTTCCAAAAATATTCTCACTGCCCACTCTGCAAACTCTCTCAGCATCGTGACATGAATGTGCCCATTGGCACCCAGCTCCAGAAGTAGGTGGGTAATGCAGTAAAAACAAGCCTTGAAATGTACAGAACCTGCAGCGTTCTGTGGGATTATCTTCTGGCTATTAGGCATATAAAATCGTAAGTGATAGCTTCAGCTCCCATGAATGCCTAGTCAAAACAGAAGTTCATTTATAGAGGAACATATTAAATAAGGCAGAACATAAAATCATATTTGTACTATAAGTCCTTTTTTCATTTTTGAAGGGAATAATGTAAAATAGAATTGAGTAGGATGCTATGCAGTTTCCAAAGGCCTATTGCAGTTTCCAAAGCACAAATACAACTGCAATAGCTCATATATGAAAAAACTTGATAAAAGTTCTCCTAAATTTGACAACAATCCCTAAATGCACATGATGTTACCAATAATGAGAGGCAAGGTTTTAAAAAAAGCTTTTCTAAACTCTCAATAATTGAAAATAAGGCAACCAGCTGACCTGGAGGAAATAATTAATTTCTATCTACTCTCTAAATAATATCTAAAATACTACCAAATCATTTTCATATGGAAACATTAATCAAAGAGTATGCAACCAAAACCTGTAAGAAAAAAAGCATTATAGAGGCATGTCAGGCAATGAAATTTTTTTAAAATATATAATTTTTCTGAATTTTGCAACCTATACGAATTTGTCATCATTCTGTGATTTATAATTGTCATTGATATTTGTCATCAAATTTGTAATCGTCTATAATTTCTTTTGTCATTCTAAATAAATATTCATTTTGCACCTAATTTGGGATACAATTTTGTATTTTTTTTTAAATGTGCTCCCCAAATTGTATAGGTTTCAGAGCCCAGGAAATTTTCTTCTGCCCCTGCCTGACAGAAGTTACACCCCAAATACATATGAGTGCTGTGGCCACTCAGGAACTCACGTGTCTCTTGAAAAGCCCTGCTCCCCACCGAAGGGGCAGGGCCACCCAACCCCCAACAAGAGCTGATATGTGGGAGCACCAGTCCTAAGTTGCCAGGTTTTTACTTTTCCAAAACAAGCTAACAATATGGATTTTTATGTGCATTCTCCTGAGTTTGAAAAGTTATTACATACATATTGTGTGGGCTGCCATTGTGCACCCTCTCTTCAGATTACTCTGCTCTAAGTTACTTGGTGAAAATTAACTGACTTGTAAGCACCAGAACTTTATTGCTTACAGTAAGAAAGTTCTGCAGCAGAGACAGGCCTCAGAGTTGTTAGGGTCTTGTTGGTTTGGTGCTCCAGTGTCTCCTTCCAGCAGGCTTTCTGCTACCTGGCGTTAGTGCAGACAAGGAAAGACCCTGAACAGTGGTGGCCAAGATGTGCTCACAGGCCCTGGCAGGTCAGGGGGCTCAGAGGAGCGAGGGCAGCAGAGGCCACAGCCACTAGAGCCAGGATGGTGTCCTCTGTGGCCCTGAAGGACGGGAGTCTGTGGAAGGACATGGGGGTTGCAAGAGTTAATGTGATAATGTTTGTTGATTATTTTAAGCTACATGGAGGAAAAATATATTATAAATAGCAAGGGCCATAACAGATTCAAAGGGTAAGTGTATTGATAGCCTTTTTCCTCTTCCTAAGATTTCTGATGTTTCAAAACAAGATTATTTCGGGAGTGCATCTATTTTAATTCAAAAGATTCTTCTTTAAACACGTTCCATGGCGAGAGAATCTGTCTCCTTCTTGTTCTCCCCTGGCTTTTTCCACGGAAAGGCAGAGCTCTGGTTTCACACACCTCGTGCCGGCCTCAGGCCTTTCAAAACCTTTCTGGGCGCCACCAGGCCACTGTGCACATTAGTAAAGGCCCGGCTTTGGGTCGGGCTTGACATTTTAATCCCCCAGAATCCTCCTTGTTTACCACTTGACAGTAGGCTTTACTTTGAATGAGGTGCTCTGTAACTTCCAGCTCCTGAAGCTGGACACAGGCACACAGACAGACACACACACACACACACACACACACACACACACACACACACACACAGAGCAAGAATGTACCCAGATATAGGAAGGCTGGGCTACCTTCCTCCTTCTCTCTCTCCCTCCTTGCAGCATAACACATCAGCCCAGGAGATGCTAGGGGCTAGTGCAGAGCAGAAGCTTGATCTGAATGCAAGTACTGGTCAATAAAGGGCATTTAGGCTTTTCTGAAGAAGTCTTGGGATCCCGGCCATGGCTGGTCCTGGGCTTTGACAAGCAGGTATTTCTTCACCCACACGACATAATTTCCCCTGATCCACAGCCCCAGCCTTCAGAGCCAGATGCTGAAGTCAGGCAGGCAGCTCAGATTCCTGCGGCTCCTGTTGCTCTCACTGGGATTAGCACAGGGAACTGCCGGCCGGAGCACGGGGCTAGCATGGCCTTCTCCTGTTCCAGCCTGGCTGCAGTTATGTCTTTGCAAGCACTTATTTTTTAAAAGCTACTTTTAAAAAATATCTTGCAGACATGTCTTCCTCATGATCTCTCTCTCCCTCCCTGTCCCCTGTCCCATTTCTCCTCTTTCTTCATGCTGCCCTCCCATAGTCTTCACATTTGAGGCAGCCTGCTTAGATTCTGATTGCCACTGAGATTTGAAATTGTGTAAATGGTTCCAATAGAGGAAATAAAAATATTGCCACCATCTTGGAGTTCTGCTTAGAACACCAAGCCCAGTCTGCAAAGGGGAGGGCAACAAGTTTCACTGCTCCCAGGATGGCAAAGAAGTCCCCATTTAATAGGGAGAGGAGGAGAATTTTTCTCTCTCAATGTGAACTGTTATTTAATGAAGATGAATTAAGATTTAATAGTGTTAGTGCAATTGAATTATAAGTTTGATTAAAGTGGGTGATCAGTTAGCAAAAACACCAGCCTGGGAGACTAGTTGTTTATGTGCTTGGCAAACACAGATTGATGATTCCCTTTTCATCCAGATCTGGGTGACTTTGACAAGGCCTTGGTTATTCATTTGTCCTGACAGCATGGCTGTGAAATTTTACCAATAACCACGGAGTACGTGCAAGTGGGCTGAAGAAGGATAAAGGCCACATTTTGTATGAAAAAAGAATCAATTAAATGTGGAGGCATGACAGAGGGCAGGATTCTCAAATGTTATAAATAAACTCCTTGTTGTGAAGTCAATCTATAGACTTCTTAAATAGAAATATTCATACGGTAGCTTAAAAATTCCTTGGATATTTATGGGTAAAATGCTATGATGTCTAGGATTTGCCTAAAATACTCTGGGTGAAACAGAAAATGTCTATATGCATGTGTTAGGGAAGAAACAGATAAACAGATTAAACAAGATTGCCAAAGTGTTTAGAATTATTGAAGTTGGGTGATGGGAATATGGGGGTTTGTTGTACTATTTTTTCTACTTTGGGGTCTGTTGGAAATTTTCTATGCTGTAAATCTTCCCTACAGATCTAAAAAATCCCCTGGAGACAATTAGGTAACTTATATAAAGTGAAAGAAAAACAGAGAGATTCAAAATTTAAAACTATAAGGTATAGAAGAAAACATGAAGGCCCTAGTAGATAGATGGACAAAGTATAGGAGCAAACAACTAGCAAAAAAGAAAAAAACTGTGTCTAATAAAATTTGAAAACATGTTTAACCTCACTAAAAAATTAAATTTAAATGATGGCAGTTGGATGCACTTTCCTTTCCCATGTGATGAGCAAAAGTTAAAGTAGTAAGAGTTCTTAATTTCAGTGAGCGTCAGTGCCCAGCCTGCCCTAATCAGCTGCTGAGAGTGCATACTGGGACAACTTTTTGGAAGGCAAATTGGAAATGTGATTTCAACAACTTTAGATTTTTTTCCTAACCATCGAGCCAGTAATTTCACTTCTAGAAATTTCACCTATGGAAACAAGTAAAGATATGCTTAGTAATTTGTGATTTACGTATAGGAATGACTGTGCTAGCATTATTTAGAGGACTAAAAGCAATAGGATATCACCCAAATGCTCAACAATCAGAAGCTACTTAGATAATTTTCAGATAATTAATTTGTGCATTTATTAAACAGTCACTGATCAAGATCTCTTTACATACCAGATACAGGGGACACAAAGATGAATAAGACATAGCCCCTATCCTCAAGGAGCTGGCAGGGCAGTGGACAGGTGACAAAGGTCATTTATACGATGGAGTATACTGCAGGTGTTAAAAACAGAAGTTGCAAAGGATGCTTTTGCTTTAAGGTAAACACGGGATAAAAAATTTTATATGATGCCTTATGTAAACATTATTACATAAAATATAAAGATTGATAAGCAATATACAAAATATTAACAGATTTATCTTGGAGTGCTGAAATAATAGGTTATTCTTTTTTCCTGAAACTTTCCTTTAACTTGCAGAATTTTCTCTCGTCAAAAGATTTAATTTTATAGCTAGAAAAAAGACTATATAAAAGAGAAGAATGCTACATTTAATGAATGCTTATTATATTCCATGTACATTTCTGGGTACTACACACAGACACACAAACACACAGGCACACACACATGCACACATATAATAAAAACACGCTACACACAGTCTCATTTATCTTACAACATTTTGTGGTAGGGTTTATTTTTAATTTTTAAAAATGTTCAACTTTTAATTTTTATAATTAATGACTTTTATATTCACATGGTTCTAAAATCAAAACGATACAAAATGGTATATAGTGAAAAATCTAATTTCCAGACCTGCCCTAAACCACTACATTTTGCTAGCAACAACTCCCATCCTCACACCAGGGGTAATCCCTTTTATTAAGTTCTTGTGTATTGTTTATGTAAAATAAGCAATTAAAAATACTTTTATATTCTCCCTTTCTTATACAAAAGGTAGCATGTTATACATACTGTTTCCCATCTTTCTTTTCTCACTAAAATAAAGTCTAGCTCTTATAATCACGAGGATTAAGAAACATGCTCATTTTTAATGCCTGCATAGCATTCCACTGCATGCGAGTGTTGTAATCTGGCTTATTAGTCCCTAGTTCTGCTGCAAAAGAAGTTTGTAGCTTGAGCAGACACAGTTTTTGTCCTTTAATCTTTATGGCTCTAAAAGGGTAAGATCTGGTTCAAATATGAAGTTTGCATTTTTCCCCCCATTAGTTTGAATGGTTTCTTATAGAATAAGGTCTGGTTCAAAGGAATTACTTTTAATAGTCCCATTTTATAAATGAGGCATAGAAGTTTCAGAGAAACTCAGTGAATTGGTTAATGTTACACAGCAGGTAAATGATAGTTCTAGACCTCAACGCCAAAAGCCAGTTAGGGTCAGAGCCCATGCTTTTCCCAGTCAGAGCTGTACTGAAGGGGCAGGGCGGGTTGTGTGACAATGTTGGCAAGGGACCAGGTGGGAGTTCTAGGATGTCAGCTCTATTAGTTTGAAAACCACATGGCAACAGTGCCCTCATTCCCTAGATTAAATGCTGAAAGAGGCCCTGAGAAAGTGCTTGCAAAAAAGGAATGATGAGCTGGGTGTCTAAAAGGAGAGCACGCATTTCTAACCCTTCTCAGGCACATTCAGCAAGAGAGGTCAGGGACTTGCAAGGAAGAGCCACCTTGCTTCCTGGCACTCTCCAGTGAAATGAATGGGGTCTTACCCATAGGGTAGGGTCAAATAAAATGCAGTACACCCAGTTATATTTAACTATATATAACTTGGATAAACAATGCAAAATTTTTAAGTATATCCCATATGATAATTTTATTTGCTAAATCTGGCAACCCTACCATAGAGGCTCAGCTCAGACAGTCTTGCCAGCATCCATTCTTGCTTGGCAGCTATTTGCTCATCATAGGTAAAAATATTTAGGCGAGGCAGGTTGGGGATATTCTGCCATGCCTTCAGACCACTTCCACTGTATGGCTGTTGGTAAGTCCACCTGGTTGTAACAATAACATAATTTCCATGTAAGTATTATTTATTTGTTCATCTATATATTAAACTATCTCCAAACAATTTTTAGAATACAGAAGTAAAATATGTTCATTGTAAGAAAAAAAGATATAAATAGTGTGGATACATATATGTACACACAAGTATTTATCAAAACATTTAATGTTATTTGGATCTGATAGAAGAAAATACTAAAGTGCAATTGATAGAAAAACAACTCTAGATAAATGTTTTTTCATAACAAATCAGTTTCTTTAAAAAAACTATAAACTTAAAAAAATGAAAATAGTAAAAGCAAGGTAACTATAAAGCACATGGTAAATGTGCTTTATAATATAAATATCACTGGAGAAATTATTCTATGTAAATATCTACAATCACAACATAAAATTACCAAGTTCTAGTTACAAGATAGAATTATCACATTAAATTTTAAAACTCATTATACCTCAATTAAACAAGGAAAAATCAATACATATTCTGCCTGCAAGAGCTACATTGAAGTCAAAGGACATGAAAAGGTAAAAAATAAAAGAATGGAAAAAGATATTTGCCAGGTAAAATAACCATAACCAAGCTGGTATAGCTACATTAATATTTATGTTTTTTAAAGATGAAAATAATCAAGATATAATGGTAAAATCTTCAATTTACTAGAAAGAGATAATCATTATAAACATTAATATACCTAATAATATAGTCTCAAAATATATAAAGTGAAATTTGACAGACCAACAAGGATAAATTGACAAAGACACAACACACTGGGAAATTTTTGACATCCCTCTCTCAGTAGTTAGTAGCTCAAGTCAACACATGTTTTTAACCATATTTGAATAGTATGATAAACTTGATTCAGTGAACATATACATGAGACTCCTATAGCAAGAAATTGGGGCATATACATTCTTCTCAAGCACACAAGAATCAAGTATAAAAACTAACCAAAAAATAGTTCATTAATTAGGTCTCCATACATTTCAAAGAATCAATGATATAGAGACCACATATTTGATCCCAATGCAATAAAATGAGAAATAAACAAACAAAATAATTATAAAACTCCATACATTTTGAAATTTAAAAACACACTTCTAAATAACTCATGGGTCAAAAAAGAATTCAAAGTGGACTTTTAAAATACTTAGAGTAAGGGAGTACTTCCAGGTCTGAAAAATAATGGCAGCTGCCTGAACCTGTTTAGTTTTATATCTCATCTCCAAAATCAGTGATTTGAGAAGGCAAGCAAGTAAAGCCACCCATGATCCACTCCTTCACATTACCAGGAGACAGAGACTACCGAAAACTTTAAGTTAAAAAACAAGCACCACGTTCCAACAGAGCTCTTGCTGCTGCTGAACATCTGTAGGGTAAAGTGTAAAGAAGAGAAGACAAGAGAATCTATGAAAAGGGAAAAAGGGAGAAGAGGGCATAGACAAAACGCTACAAAACCACTGCCAGAAAAAAGTTTGACAATAAGTGCAAAATACTGAACACAGATCTGGAACATAGTAGTTCATAGCATCAGCCAAGGGAAAGGGGCTTAAAAATGATCAGGACTGGAATTGGCAGCTTCAGAGAAGCTGAGCTTGTAAAAGTTAATTAGATAATCAGATAAATAGAGATTAATAATGTCTTCTGTAGTTGTGACAATGAGGGAAAAGCTTAAGTTAGAGAAGAAAAATACTGATCCTGCAGAGATAAAAAATGAACAAGATATACCAAGATATTCGATTCCTCTCATCATCTGTAAAGAAACTGAACTTCACTAAACTGACAGAAGAAGGTACACTTAAATTTTGCACCTGTATACATAATACTTCAGGAAAAATAAAAATGGAAAATAAATCAAACCAATGCTGTTCAAGACTACTAGCAAATAAAAATTCTCCTCCTAACAAAACCCACTAAGTAGAAGAAGCTAATAACAAAATGTTTCCTTCTGAATTAAATACACTTTAAAAGCCATCTGAAGATTCCAAAATGCTGTAATCAGAAATTCAAAAACTAAAAACAGAAAATGATAAAATGTGAGAAGAAAATGTAATAAGAGTTGATTAAACTCAGGAAAGAAATGGAAGAAAAAGGCAATAGAATTTTATAAATCAAGAATAATTACTAGGTGTGCAAGAAGAAATACATTTGAATGAAATTTTTTTTAAAAACTGAAGGGCAGAAAAAGACCCAAAATAATAAAAATGAAATAATGAAATAAGTAAAATAGTTTTGAAAAAAAGTGATCAAAATGGAAGATGGTCAAAGAAAGTTCAGTCTGCATGTAATTGGAGTCCCTGGAAAAACAAAAACAAAGCATAGGAGCAAAGCAAAAACTTAAAACTGTTTCCAAGAAAATTGTCCTGACATAAAAGAAAATTAAATAATTGAAAGGGCCCATCATATTGTTGAGAACTGTGAAGGGCCTTATATTTTATTCTACTTATAAACTTACAAATTAGCTTGTCACGGTTGTATGGATATCAGCAGAAAAGGAGAGACTCCTAAGTCAGAGAGAAAATAAAATATATTACTCACAACAATAGAAGTAAACAAGTATTGTCATTTCTACACTTCTTTCCCCAAGTCCCAGTGTTCACAGAGCAATGTAAAGAGGGCCAGAGGACATTAGCACAATGTTATAGGAGAGAATCCTACACTTAGGGAACCCAATCTTTTAAAATGGGTAGGAAGCATTTCTTCCCTTTGCTCCATTATATTACACAGTAAGCTTGTCTTCCCTTGGTTTTGGACAAGACACCATCTCTATATTCTGAGGCTGTTTGCTATACAAACTCCCTTGAAAAGACAGACTGAATAATAATAAGTGCCTCACTCACAATCTGATGGAACCATGAACAATCCATGCAGAATTGTCTGCCAGCACACATACTTGGAAACTTACTCCAGAATGATAAAATCTCAAACCTGAGACATGTATTAGTAAAACTACTAGACTTTAAAGACAAAAAAAAAAAAATCCTCATGGCTTCCAAGCAAAACTATCAAATTATTCAAATACATGCAAAAAATTTAAGCTTCATGTATCCCTAAGAACAACATACAAAGGAAGGCAGCAACAGAATGACATTATTTGGAAAGAAGATTAATGCAGATATAATCAATTAAGATGAGGTTATACTGGGGTAGGGTGGGCCCTTAACCCAATATGACAGGTGTCATTATAGAAAAAGGAGAGGCACAGAGACACAGACACAGGGAGTGGGGGAGAACGCCATGTGCCAGTGGAGGCAGAGACTGAAGGGTGCAGCTTCAAACCAAGGAACATCAAGGATTGCCAGCAAAGCACCAGAAGCTAGAAGGAGGTAAGGAAGGATTCACTCCTACAGATTTCAGAGGGATCCTGGCCTTGCCAAGACCTTGATCTCAGGCTTCTAGCCTGCAGAACAAATTCTGTTGCTTGAGGCCACCCAGATTGTGGTACTTTACAAAGCTCTAGGAAACGCATGTAGATGGATACTTCCCTAACATAATAAACCATATAAAGCTCAAATCCAAAAGCCAGAATCTTATTCAATGGGGAAAAACTAGAGGCATTCCCGCTAAAGCAAAGATGCCCACTAACTTCAATATGATTTAACATTGTCCTTGAGGTATTAGCCAATGTGATTAGATATGAGTAATATTTAAAGGCATAAGAATTAGAAAATAAGTAAAACTATGTTTATACATACTCACTCTAAGGCTCAGCAATCACACTCCAGGAAATTTATTACAGAAAAATAAAAACGTGTTTACATGAAAACCTACACATGTCATGCATTGCAGCTTTGTTTATAATAGCTGAAACCTGGAAACAGCCGAAATGTTCTTTAGCAGGTGAATGGTTAAACATACTGTGGTACATTTGTACCTCTTTATACTACTCAGCAAGAAAAACAAGCAGACCACTGATACACTCAACAACTTAGATGAGACTCCAGGGCATTATGTTATGTGAAAATACCAATCTTAAAAGGTTGTATGATTGGTTCTTCTTATATAGTATTCTTGAAATGACAAAATTAAACGTTGTTCTTTGGAAAGACTACCAAAATAGATAACATTTAGGCAAGCATGATCAAGAAAAAAGCAAGAGGCACAAGTAAACAATATTATTAATTAAAAAGAGAACAATTACAGACTCTGCAGATATTTAAAAAATAAGCATATACTATGAGCAACTTTATTCTTATTGATTTGAAAATTTAGACAAAACTGTCAATTTATTGGAAAATGGCACTCACCAATACTGACACAAGAAGAAACAGAAAATCAAAATTGTCTGATAATCATTGAAGTTCAGCTAATTTTAGTTGTCATGGTATTTATGTTCTATAAAGTTGCCGTAAACACTGAAATAGTGAATACTGAACAGAGAAGACAGAGGGTTAGGTTCTTGTGAGCCTTTGGTCACAACATTCTTGTCAACTAAAACTCCATTTGTAGTATATACATTCATTCGTCATTGTCCTTTTTAAACAAGCTGGTCTCATCAACATTGAAAACCTGCTCTGCCAGATAATCATTTTCCCGTATAACACTTAGCAGGTGTTTTCAAACTTCTTCTATAGGCTCTTGCTTGGCAGAACCTACCTTATCTGCAACTTTAACATTTTTTACACTGTGTTGTCTTTTGAAATGTATAATCCAATGGCAAGGGTTTAACATTTTCTTGACATAGGTGACATGACTATATTTTCTTTTCGTTTCAGCCTCACAACAATGCTGTAACTAAGCTTTTTAAAAAAATCCATTGTCGTCACATGAATCCACAAATTTAGCTGCTTTCCATCTTTTCTATAACTTCATCAAGCATTATAGATGTTACTTTAGCACTTTCTGGAGCAGCCTCACACACAGATCAATGAATTTGTTCTCCCTTTTTTTTGGATGTACTATATTGTTGATTTATTAACATTGAACTCACAGCCAACAACCTACAACTCATGCCTGAATGAAACTTATCTAACACATGTATTTTCTCTGTAAGGCACATAACAGCTTTCTTGCACTTAGGAACACTAGACAGCAGTTTAACACCATGCTTAGTGGCCATTTTAAACAGCAAAATCAGCAATAAAAAGCCCCGAAATGTGAAAAATGTGGTACTAAATTGATTACAGAAAAGGTATTTGTTTATAGTATGACGGTTGAGACAAGAAGGTAGAGCATCACCTTGTTCAACTTCAGCTGGGAGTGTGTGTGTTGGGTAACTCAAATTTTTCACCACTTTGAACATGTTTACAAATTACCACAAAAGCACCACAAATATTGATTTGGGGATTACAAATGCATTTTAGCAAGTAGTCAAATTGGCAAATACAGAATTTGCAAATAATGACAATTGACTGTAATTGAATCATAACTTAAAATCTATCAACTAAGAAAATCTAAAAACAAAAAGCAAAACTAAGCTCAGGTGATTTTATAGCAAGTCTGTCAAGCTTTTCTGTAACATCAACTGTTCCAGAGAAAAGGGTGGGGAAAAGGGACTAATCCCCCAACTCATTTAATGAGACTGGTATCACCTCGATACTAAACAAGATAAGGACTGTAAAAGAAAGAAAAATCACAAGCCAGTAGCACTTAAGAAAATAGGTTGAAAATTTAAACAAAATACTAGAAATCTGAACCCAAAGGCGAGTAGGAAAAAATACAATATGATCAAGTTAGTTTTATCCCAGGGATGCATGACTGGCAATGTTCTAAAATTATTTATGAAATTCACTACACTCACAGGTTAAAGGGGTGAAAACATATAATCATCATGCGTATATTAAAAAATCCTACAAAAATCATACGGAATATGTATGTATGTATGTTCAAAACACCTGTTGGAAGCATCATGAAATTTGGTGAAACATTAGAAGCAATACATTTAAAATTAGGAATGGAAAAGAATGCCCCATTCACCACTTTTATTTAACATTTTACAAGAGGCTGTGGCTCACACAGGAAGACCAGCAAAAGAAAAGGTAATTGTAAAGGAAGAAAAGAAAATTACCATTTGAGAGTTATATAATTATCTACATAAAAACATTATAATTAATATGATGGATGGTTGTTAGACACAAATGTACAAAAATTAGATGCACTCCTATTTACCAGCAATGAATAGTCAGAAAATGCAATTTAAAAAATACAAATTTCAGTGGGAACAACAACAAAAATGTAAGGTATAAAAGAATAAATCTAAGAACAAGTGTTTGTGACCTTTCTGAAGAAATCATTAAACTTTATTCAAAAACATTGAAAGGTTCCTGAATAAATGGAATGATACATCACATTCATGGATAGGAAAACTCAATATCATAAATATAAATTATCCTCAAAGGATTCTATAAATCAGAATCTTTATGGGGTTAACTTTGGAATTTGCCAGTTTGATTGTAGAATTTACATGGAAGAACATTCATCCCAGATAATGGGATAAGAATGGGCCAAGAATAGTCAAGCTGATTTTGAGGAAGAATAAGGGGTGGCAACTAATCCTAGCACATAACAATAATTTTTAAAAAGTTACAGTAACAGAGACAATTTGTTCTTGGTGTGGGGCAGAGCAAATAGACTGATGGAGCAAACAGCTCAGAAAGAGTCAGACATATATGGGAAAGTTGCTTTGTGGTAGAGGTGACATTTTTGATCAATGGAAAAAGGAAAGGCTATTCAATTAATAATATGAAGTCAATTGTTATTTATAGGGATATAAAGTGAAATTGAATTCCTGCTTGACAATATAACCAAAAACTATTCTAGGTCAATTTAAAACAAAAATTAAAAAACACATTCAATATTTTAGAAGGAGATATAGAGAAATTTTTCATGGCTTTAGGGTTGGGAAGGATTCCTGATGCAAAACACAATAAGCACAAAATCTAATAAGAAAGATTGGTGATTTCAATTCTATTACAATTAAAAACTTGTGATTGTCAAAAGATCCTACAAAGGTGAATTGATAAGCCAGAGAAGATACTTGTAATATACCCAACTAATAAAGGATTCAAATCCAGATTATATAAATAACCTCTACAAACCGAAAAGCAAAACATAATCCAAGAAAAAAAAGACAAAAGATATAAATAAGTAATTTACAAAAGAGCAAAGCAAGTGGTCAATGCATGTACAAAAAGATGCTCCACCATACCAGTGGTCAAATCATTCAATTATCACTTGTTCCCTAGTGGCTTAAAGAAACCACTATTTTACTCTTTTTCACTATTCTGTGGGTTAGAAATTTGGAAAGGGCTTAGTTGGGACAGCTTATCTCTGCTCTACATAATGTCTTCTGAATCTGCAGGGGCAATGTGGCTTCTTCTCATGTCTGGCACCTTAGATTGGATGGCTAGCAGCAGGGAGCCAGCTGGAATGGCTCAATGTAGGTTATTTGACCGGGGCTGCTGTTAGAGGTTTGGGCTATGTTCCTCAGTTCTCCATGTTGTCTCAGGGCCTCTCCTTCCCCATGTAACCTCTCCAAGTGGCCTCTCACTATGGTTTTCCCATGCGGTCTCTCAAGGCTTAGGCCCAGCTCCTGCCCTGTGTCATTTCTGCCATACTGTACTGGTTAAGGCAGATCACAGAGATCACCTAGGTTCAAGGAGAGGGGTTTAAATGAGAGCAAGAATGCTGGGAAGTGTGATTGCCTGGAGGCCACCAAAGTGACAGTCTACCAAAAATGCAAAATAAAATTGTGATTAGATAAAATTTCACACCATCAGGATGGCAAAAATTAAAAAGAATATCAAGAATTACTGAGTTACTTCACTTAGAATAATAGTCTCCAATCTTGTCCAGGTCACTGGAAATGCTGTTAATTCATTCCTTTTTATGGCTGCGTAGTATTCCATCATACACACACACACACACACACACACACACACACACACACACCACAATATCTTTATCCATTTGTCGATTGATGGGCATTTGGGTTGGTTCCATGATTTTGCAATCGTGAATTGTGCTGGTATAAACCTGCGTGTGCAAGTATCTTTTTTGAATAATGACTTCTTACCCAGTAGTGGGATTGCTGGATCAAATGGTAGTCCTACTTTTAGTTCTTTAAGGAATCTCCACACTGTTTTCCATAGTGACTGTTCTAGTTTATATTCCTCAGGAATGGAAAACAAAATATCATATGTTGTCACTGATATGTGGGAGTTAAGCTATGAGGACACAAATGTGTAAGAATAATACAACAGACTTTGGGGACTTGGGGGGACAAATGGGAGGGGGCAAGGGATAAAAGACTACAAATACAGTGCAGTGTACACTGCTCAGGTGATGGGTGCACAAAAATCTCACAAATTACCACTAAAGAACTTACTCATGTAACCAAACACCACCTGTACCCCAATAACTAATGGAAAAAAAGAATAATGAACCCATACAACTTAGAAGACATATAACCTAATTTAAAATGGGCAAAATATCTTAATAGCGTTTCTCTAAAGAATATATGCAAGTGGCCAAAAAGCACATGAAAAGATGCTCAACATCATTAGTCACTAGGGAAATTAAAATGAAAACCATGTGAACCATTTTATACCCTCTTGGATGGCTATAATAAAAAAAAAAAAAACCCAGATAACAAGTGCCGATGAGGCCAGGGAGAGTTTGGAACCCTCATACACTGTTGGTGGGAATGTAAATGGTACAGCCACTTTGGAAAACAGTATGGGACTTTCTCAATAGGTTAAATATAATGTTACCATGTGGGCCGGAGATTCTTCTCCTAGGTATATACCCTAAATAATTTAAAACAGGTGTTCACACAAAATGTATACAAGGATGTTCATAGCAGTATTATTGATAGTGGCCTAAAGTGGAAACAACCCAAAGTCCATCAATTGATCAATGTATAAATAAATGTGATATCTATAGAAAAAAGAATTATTGAGGATGTGGAGTCATTGGAACACTTATGCATCATTGCTGTAGGTATAAATTAGTTCAGTCACTTTGACAAGTTATTTTAAATTGAAGATATATGTACCCTATGACCCATCAAATTCTTCCTCCAGCAATCAAGAAACTCTTATATATATACCGGGAGATTAGAAATGTTCGCAGTAGCATACTTATAATAGCAAACACCTGGAAACAATCTGTGTGTCCATCAACAGAAAAATTGATAATGCACTATACATACTATAAAATGATAAAAGTTAATGAACTAGTTACACACATCAACAGGGATGACTCTCGTAAACATAATGTTGCGCAAAGACAGCAATCTATAGGATATTTATGTACAATATGATACCATGTACACGAACTTTAAAAACATGCAAATCAATGCTTGTTTTTTTTTTTTGCTAAGGGACACATGCATAGCAAAATTGATTCATGAGAATGGTATACACAAAATCCAGGTTGTGGTTATAGGGGTGGAAGCAGACACTCAGGAAGTCATACAAAAATTGTACAAAAAGTACCCTAAGTAATTCAGTAGCTGGGTTGTGAAGTGTTTTTCAACAACGTGTTTCAAGTGTTAGACAATGCCCATCACCTCCTGCTATGACAGATGAGGACACCGGTGTACTTGTTCTTCCTCTCCTTCCCTTTCCTTCCAGAATGAAAAATTAGAGGCACCTCCCAGCTGTCTCATGGATACTCCATCCACCGTCCTCCACTAGCCTGCAGATTGCTGTCTCCTGGGCTAGGCAATGGAAGTAGAACACGGAGTATCTGAGGCTCAGATCGCCAAGTTACTCCCTGGGGGTCTTTAACATTCCTGCCTTCCAGGTGCTCAGGGTACACAGTCCAGTGACCCCTTGCAGGGACTGATATTTATCTTGCTCTTCTCGCTCCTCTTCAGTCATTGCATTTTGGGAAGTGGGGTGGTAGGAGCACTTATTCTTTTCTTTTATTTATTTATTTATTTATTTATTTATTTATTTATTTATTTATTTTTGAGATGGAGTCTGGCTCTGTTGCCCAGGCTGGAGTGCAGTGGTGCAATCTCAGCTCACTGCAAGCTCCGCTTCCCGGGTTCACACTATTCTCCTGCCTCAGCCTCCCGAGTAGCAGGGACTACAGGCACCCATTACTATGCCCGGCTAATTTTTTGTAATTTTAGTAGAGATGGGGGTTCACCGTGTTAGCCAGGATGGTCTCGATCTCCTGACCTCGTGATCCGCCCGCCTTGGCCTCCCAAAGTGCTGGGATTACAGGCGTGAGCCACCGTGCCCCGCCTCTTTCTCTTCTTTCCTGTCCTACATCCGACCTTGGATTCTTACCTCTCCGTGTGGTCAGCCTGCTAGCAGCCTGAACATTCCCTGGGAGCTCTTGATCCCCAAGCTGTTCCTTAGCACATTAAAGTTGAGAAACACTATTCAGAACTCAAAGCCAAGATTTTGTCTTCTTTGCTCTCTGGTCCCTCCAAGCTGACTCTCCTAAAGCAACGAGGGCCGACCCCAGGGAAGAGGTTCAAATGAGTACACCTCAGAGGAGAGGAAGTTCAGCAATGGAGGTGTGTACACGTAATTTAATATTTGACAACATCTTCCATCACATTTTGCTCCTTTCATCTTGTTTCTTGGTGCACTTTTGCCAAGGTCCTGTGCTGGTCCCTGTTTGGATGTTACTCATCAACCCTCTCTGTTATTTAAGGAAGAATGGTGGTGGGAGGGGTGGGGGAGTGTAAGCTGAGGGCAGCTGCAAATTTCAATTTATATATTGTAACATTCAAAACGCTCTCAACAGATGGGTGGTGGCTGTGTGCTCCTATGTCCCCACTCAGTTTTCAGAGGACTATTTCTGCCCTTCTCTGCCCATCTTCATCCCTTCTGCCCCACAGGGCCAAGACAACCAAGGCCCATAGTCCAGCCTGAGAACTTGGTTTCTTCGGTCTGCACCTTGTTTTATCTCCTGTGAAAAATATAAGCCAGGAGGTTTTACACTCAGTTCTTGAGCATCTGAAGATCTGACAGCTGATCTGAAGAGCCGAGGCCCCCTCATTCCCTCCTAGCTTCAGTCACAGTTGTTAGGGGTAGAGAGTGAGGTAGCATCTCCTTTACTTGGTCGTGTCCTCCCCCGGTCAGTCTCCCTCACACACCTGTGCACAGCTCCCTGCTCCTGCTTCCCCCTATGCCTGGCCAGCCCCTGTGGATGCTTGAGTCCTCGCTCTGATCCAATTAATCAGTGCCATGTCCTTTCAAGGAAATGTCTATCAGGTGTGTGTGGCTCTCAACATTCATACTTGCTCCAGCCTTTTTCATTTTTAACATAGATTTAAACAATCGTGTCCTTTGAGGTTTATGCCTTTGCTGCATGCTTAGAAAGGCTTAACCAACAAGTGATTTTAAAAAAGATATATTTACTTCTTTTTTCCAGTCATGGTTTTGCATTTCCATTAAACACATCTAAATCCTTATGGATGTTTGTGTCTGTTTCTGGGATTGTTTGCTCCCTTCTGCAGTGTACTCCTTAGACTCTCAGGGGTTCAGCCTCAGCCCAGCTCCTCTGAGGGGATCTGTGTTTCTTCCCAAGGAAGCTCACACTTGGCTGGAGGAAGACTAGCCAGAAACTCCAAAGGGGAGTGGGAAACAGTGAGCAAGTGGCCTGTGGAGAGATCTGAGAGACCAGTGTGTGTGTGTGTGTGTGTGTGTGTGCACTCTCGTTCCAAAGGGGTACAACCATTGCAATGCAGTTTTAACTTGATTCCATTTATTCCTTAATTGAGACAATAGGAGGCCTAGGGCATGATGTCCTTCAACTTTCATCCTCTCATTTCTCATTCATAAAGATTCTGCTCATGGGAAGAGGTGGCCCTCTCTCTCTGATCAGCTACTACTCCTCTCTCTTCTACTCCCTCTCATCAGCTCTCATACTCCTGGGTCTTCTTCCATCTGCAAGTTTTCCTCTCTCCTGTTTCTCCACCTTCTGTTTCCTTCCCACTAAAGCACAGAGGATGAGGATGAGAGAGTCTAGTGTGTCTGGTGGATGGCAACAAGTCCAGAGTGGGAGGAACATGGGTGTGGGTGGGTGGTGAACACCAGGAGAGGAAAGTAAGAGGTGGGTGGGGCCGGGATTGTGTGTCTCCTTTGCTGGATAGCAGGAAACCAAAAGGGTTATCAAGCAGAAAATACTGCAGGCCAGTTTTCTGAGTGGTCTCAGATCAACCCAGTTCTCCCTTCTTTCTCATTTGTAGTTCTCATGAGTAACTGTAGACTGTGCTGGGAATGCAACATTCCTGAATGCTATGGTTTAGTACTTGTCCCCTCCAAAACTCACATTAACATTTAATTGTCAATGTAACAGTGTTGGAAGGTGGGGCCTTAACATAGATTTAAGAAGTGACTAGGATATGAAGGTTTCACCCTCATGGGTGGGTTTAACTTCTTAATGAAAGGGCTTTTGGGAGTGGGTTCTCTCCCTTGCCCATCCACTATCTACCATGGGATGACAGAGCAAAAAGATCCTCACAAGATGCTGGCCCCTTGATTGTGGACTTCCAGCCTCCAGAACTGTGAACCAATAAATTTACGTTCATTATAAATTACCCAGTCTGTGGTATTCTGTTATAGCAGCACAAAGTGGACTAAGACACTGAGCTAAGGAGGAATCAGCTGGAACAGCCCAGGCTCTGTCTCTGTCCCTCCTAGAACAAGATGTTCTAGAATACTTTAGCCTAGAAAATCATACCTCCAGGGCATAACACCCAGGGCAGCTGCCTTGTGGGGGTCCCTCAGCTGTTGTGCCATATGGGGCATGCATGGATAAGATTTCATCCACCCTGGGCAGCATTCCTGAGCCTTGAGGGACCAGCTTGCCATGAATCCTAGGCTTCTACTGTCTCTCCCTGCTTATGTGTGAGTAATAAAGTTGCTTTGCTCAACTTGTTGGGTGAGTATTCTGTCTCACTGGACTCATGCAAGTAGTAGAAATTGCAGCCCAAGATGCAGTGGCCTGAGGTGATAACCAGTGCACAGGGAACCTCCTTCAAAAATACATGGTCATAATTATTCTAGAAAATTCTCGCTGGTAGAGTAGAAAAGGCAGGCTGGGAGGGCTCCTGACAGGAGACAGAAACCTTTCTATTTAAATCTAGGTCAGAGGTAGAGATTCAGGCTGGGCCGTGAGAACAGAACTGAGGCGATGTTAGGGCTCATGGAACTATTTGACTGAGGATTCACTCCATGTATGAGTTCAGGGCTCTATTGGGCCTACTTCACTGGACCAAGGGGGTGAACCTGAGCCTTGACTAGGGGTTCACATCCCATCTGGGTATCATAGGATGCAGCAGTTTGCAGCAGGATTCCAGCTATAACATCAGACCAGTCATCTTCACCTACCCATTCGTGACACTCAGCTTGAAAGCTAAGCATATCTGCTTCAATAGGGACCTAGCTATGTCTTCTTCCCCATTGGAACAATGTCCTCCCAAAAAACTCTTCCTTCCTCCTGACACTCTTCCATTAAAGTTCCAACCCTAGTACAGAAAGTTCTCCCTTTCTGGTGTCCAAATCTTTCTAAGATAAGTCCCTGCAATTTACAACGTTGCCTCTCATAGCACCTCTCCTCAAAAGAAAAGTATTAAGGTAGAAGGCAGAGCACAGAAGTCATGGTCTTCTTTGCAGAGTTCTGTTGGACCATGCTGAACTACTAATCTGCACCTCTAGGTCTCTGTGGAGTGTGATATTCACCCCACCCCCAGCCATCCAGCTACATGCACTTTTATTGGGTTCAGAATCCCAATGGGAAATAACTAGAGCCCTATCCATAATTGAGATTTGGTTTTATGTAGCCTGGTTGTAGATAGCCGGGAGGAGGTGTATTGTCCAGACTGATGTCAAATGGTTATCAAAAAGGATATTAGGGCCCCTAGGTAAAAGAAAAATCACATTAATACAGAAGAGGTCCCACACAGTGGCCAGATATAGCCTTTGGGTTTTGAAGAGAAGGGATCATTAGGCTATACCTGAACACAGCCCAATATAGCCCCCTGGAGACACCTTTAGATTCTCAGAAGGATGTGGTTTTAAGATCCAACTGAAAGAATTGTGTCTATAAGAACTTAAGCTATTCTGCTAGGGAAACGGGTGGCAATTTGGGAAGAAGCATTCCACTGGGGGCCCAAGCAACTCTGTAGGCTCCACTACTTCTCTCTCTTCAAAGCATAGCATTGGGAAGGAAAGGAAAGGAATGAATTATCAGGCTGGAGTGCAGTGGCATGATCACAGCTCACTGCATCCTTGAACTCCTGGACTCATGTAATCCCCCTGCCTCAGTCTCCTGAGTAGCTGGTACTACAGGCATGTGCCACCATGCCTGGCTAATTTTTTAAATTATTTTTGTAGAGATGGGGTCTCAACTTCTTGCCCAGGCTGGTCTTGAACTCCTGGGCTCAAGCAATCCTCCCTCCTCTTCCTTCCAAAGTGCTAGGATTAGTGGTGTGAGCCACCTTGCCTGGCCTACTTATATACTCTTTAACAAGTTCTGTGTGTATTTGTCTAATGCACACTATCTTCTATTACCTGGGCAGAAATATCAACACCCTCATCTTTTCTAAAAAACCAGCCTTATTGAGGTATGAGCACATACAATAAAATGCATACTTTTAAGCATATAATTTGATGTTTTGACATATGTATACACTCATGGAATCATCTCCACAATCAAGGTAGTGAACATACCTATCACCCCAAAGAATTTCCTCCTGTCCCTTTGTAATTCTTCCCTTCCCTGTTTCTCTGCTTTTTCTCCTCTCACCATCTAGCACTTCCCACTGTTGCCTGGAAACTTTCTCCGACCATTAAACTTGGATGATCATAGGGCTGGCCAAAGCTGTTTTCTGCCTCTCAGGGATAACAATTCTTTGTTACCCAGTGCTCAATGTCCCAAGTACTATTGTTTTGTGTATGTTGTCTGGACTTTTAGTTGTTTCAGTTCATAGAGCAAACCTGGTTTATGTTATTCCACCCTGAATGGAAAAGGAATTCCAACCTGTTCATCTTGTATGATTATCTGAAATTTCATTAGTAAATGATGCATTCTCTCCTTCAATTCATAAAGTCTGAACAATGTTGTGGTTGATCATCCTGAGTATCCATTATGGGAAAGATACTTTTACTCATCCAGTCATCCAACAAACATCTTTGAGAATGTCTGTGTTGCAGAGTTTTCTTTTTTAAAATTATTATTATTATACTTTAAGTTCTAGGGTACATGTGCGCAACGTGCAGATTTGTTACATAGATATACATGTGCTGTGTTGGTTTGCTGCACCCATTAACTCGTCATTTACATTAGGTATTTCTCTTAATGCTATCTTTCCCTCAGCCCCCCACCCCATGACAGGCCCCAGTGTGTTATGTTCCCCGCCCTGTATCCAAGTGTTCTCATTGTTCAATTCCCACCTATGAGTGAGAACATGCTGTGTTTAGTTTTCTGTCCTTGTGAGTTTGCTCAGAATGATCGTTTCCAGCGTCACCCATGTCCCTGAAAAGGACATGAACTCATCCTTTTTTATGGCTGCATAGTATTCCATGGTGTATATGTGCCACATTTTCTTTTCTTTTTTTTTTATTATACTTTAAGTTCTAGGGTACATGTGCACAACATGCAGTTTTGTTACATATGTATACATGTGCCATGTTGGTTTTTGCACCCATTAACTCATCATTTACATTAGGTATTTCTCCTAATGCTATCCCTCCTCCACCACCCCCCCCACCCCATGACAGGCCCTGGTGTGTGATGTTCCCCACCCTGTGTCCAAGTGTTCTCATTGTTCAACTCCTACCTATGAGTGAGAACATGTGGTGTTTGGTTTTCTGTCCTTGTGATAGTTTGCTGAGAATGATGGTTTCCAGCTTTATCCATGTCCCTACAAAGGACATGAACTCATCCTTTTTTTTATGGCTGCATAGTATTCCATGGTGTATATGTGCCACATTTTCTTAATCCAGTCTATCATTGATGGACATTTGGGTTGGTTCCAAGTCTTTGCTATTGTGAATAGTGCTGCAATAAACATAAGTGTGCATGTGTCTTTATAGTAGCATGATTTATAATCCTTTGGGTATATGCTCAGTAATGGGACCACTGGGTCAAATGGCATTTCTAGTTCTAGATCCTTGAGGAATCGCCACACTGTATTCCACAATGATTGAACTAATTTACACTCCCATCAACAGTGTAAAAGCATTTCCATTTCTCCACATCCTCTCTAGCATCTGTTGTTTCCTGACTTTTTAATGATTGCTATTCTAACTGGTGTGAGATGGTAGGTATCTCATTGTGGTTTTGATTTGCATTTCTCCGATGAACAGTGATGATGAGCATTTTTTCATGTGTCTGTTGGCTGCATAAATGTCTTCTTTTGAGAAGTATCTGTTCATATCCTTTACCCACTTTTTGATGGGATTGTTTGCTTTTTTCTTGTAAATTTGTTTAAGTTCTGTGTAGATTCTGGATATTAGACCTTTGTCAGATGGGTAGATTGCAAAAATTTTCTCCCATTCTGTAGGTTGCCTGTTCACTCTGATGGCAGTTTCTTTTGCTGTGCAGAAGCTCTTTAGTTTAATTAGATCCCATTTGTCTATTTTGGCTTTTGTTGTCATTGCTTTTTTTTAGTCATGAAGTCCTTGCCTATGCCTGTGTCCTGAATGGTATTGCCTAGGTTTTCTTCTAGGGTTTTTATGGTTTTAGGTCTAACATTTAAGTCTTTAATCCATCTTGAATTAATTTTTGTATAAGGTATAAGGAAGAGATCCAGTTTCAGCTTTCTACATATGACTAGCCAGTTTTCCCAGCACCAGTTATTAAATATAGACTCCTTTCCCCATTTCTTGTTTTTGTCAGGTTTGTCAAAGATCAGATGGTTGTAGATGTGTGGTGTTATTACTGAGGCCTCTGTTCTGTTCCTTTGCTTGATATCTCTGTTTTGGTACCAGTACCATGCTGTTTTGGTTACTGTAGCCTTGTTGGTATTGGCAATATAGTGATGAGCAAGACAGACATTGTCCCTGCCATCAGGGAAACCACTGCCAAGTGGCAGGCACTGATCACTAAACAGACAATCTCAATTCAGAAAAGCACATTAGAGGCCATAGCAATGTTCTATGGGAGTGTATGTTCACAGATTTGGCAGGTGTGTTTAGGGCCCCACTTCACACCCCTTGCCCACCTGATTTTGGTTGCAGCTGTGGTGAAAAGTTCCACGTGAGCTCAGGCTCAAGCTGACAGTCCCACCTTTAGTGCACCTTGTCCTTTTCTGCTTCTCTGCTTCAGGCCTTCCCTGAAGCTTCAGAAACCCACACACCTGCAAACAAGAGCAACTCTGAAGTGTAGTCTGGAAGAAAGGGGGGGAGAGTTAATGGCCATATCAGCCCTTAATCTATGGGAAGTGGGAACTGTAACTGTGATAAATGACCCCACTTTCTTTCTTTCTTTTTTTGAGACGGAGTCTCACTCTGTTTCCCAGGCTGGAGTGCAGTGGCATGATCTCGGCTCACTGCTACCTCTGCCTCTCGGGTTGAAGCGATTCTCCTGCCTCAGTCTCCTGAGTAGCTGGGACCACAGGTGCCCGCCACCATGCCCGGCTAATTTTTGTATTTTTAGTAGAGACAGGGTTTCACCATATTGGCCAGGCTGGTCTCGAAATCCTGACCTTGTGATCCTCCCACCTCGGCCTTCCAAAGTGCTGGGATTACAGGCATGAGCCACCACGCCCAGCCCCCACTTTCTATCTTTTGGATGATAGTTCAGTGGGGGTAGGGTGGGAGTTAGGGGGCATTTTGTGTGCTTCTCAGAGGTTCCTGCAAGACGGAGTCCCATTCCTTACAGCAATAGTTATACTGGTGTTTCCTTTTTTCTGTCTTGCCTTCACCAAATCGTCCCTCTCCTACTCCCTGGGATCACTTCCTAAATAAATTTCCTGTACCCAAATCCTTGTCTCAGGCTCTGCTTTCAGGAAGGCTCAAACTAATATGTGTATTTATCTAAATTAGTACAACAATTCCTGGGAGATTTTCTTAAGAACTCATTCTACACATGATAAAACTGTATCTTGGAGTTTTGTTTTTTTTTTTAAGATCAAAGGGCTAGAAAGTAGTAGAACTAGAATTCAACACAGGTCATCAGACTCCAACTTTACTGTTCTTTCTACATATACTGAATGCCGCCCAGAAGACATGCCATCATGAGCATGGGTCCAGGTGAGCTCAGTGAGCTTGCTATGAGACCTCCAGGGGCCCAGTCATTCCACTGCAGTAACAGTAAACCCAACAGTAAAAAGAAGCCCCCATGCCTGTATGCTGGTGTGTGTCCAGGGATCTTGTGATGACTGATGGGCAGTGCTGAAGTCCTGGCTTTGAATCAGTTGCCACATATATGCAGGGTGCTAGGGTTCTGAAGTGCAAACATGTGACCCTGTCCTCAAGGAGCTTGAAGTCTAGGGACAGAGAGCAATAGGCTGAGAGCTAAGTAGGACACGGATGCAGGCTAGTCAGGGAGGGAGGGGCACCCAGAAAGGGAGTGGCCAGTGGGTTCTGTGGGCAGATGGCAAGGGCATCTGGGCATGAGGGAAATGGCACAGGGTCTTAAACCAGCCCCTGTTCAGGGAACCACTTGCAGGTGGGAATAGTTTAAGCAAGGTGTGCTGGGAAGGGGCTGGTGGAAAGGGCAGGGAGGAGGACTCAGGACTCAGAGGACAGGCAGGGAGTAGGTCCCAGAGGTCCTGCAGGTTGAGCTAAGGAATCTGGGCCTGGCAGTGGGACTCGCTGAAGACTTTTCACTAGGTCAGTGTCTTTCAACTTTAGCAGGTAACAGAACCAGTTGGAGAACTTATGGAAACCCAAATTGTTGGGCCTTCCCCAAAGTTCCTGAATCCATAGGTCTGAGATGTGTCTGGAGAATTTGCACTTCTAACCAGTTCACTGGGGATGCTTATGCTGGTGGTCCAGGAGCCACACTCTGAGTATCACCAGATCAGGCAAGGGAACTGCTCGGATTTTGGCTGGGGTGGACTGGGGAGGGACCAGCTGCAACAGGGAGGTAGGTTAGAAGGCTGTTGCTTGCTGCAATGATTCAGCGGAGAGCCAAAAGAGCCTGAACCAGGTATATGGGGTGGGGAGGAGAATGGAAGGAAAAATGTCTAAGAGGAGAATCAATAAAACTTCAATGGTTTGGGAAAAGGTAATATAAAAATCCAAGTGGATCTTATCACTATCCCAGAGTCTCAAGATGAAGGGTCTGTGTGTGCAACCGGGAGAGCTGTACAGAGAGACTCATAGACCCTCCCCACCGCTTTGCAACTTTCCTTTCCTGTCCATAGTCAGAATAACAACAGGGGTTGTTCAAAAAAAAAAAAAAAAAAAAAAAAAAAAAGGAAAATGATGCAAGGAAGGTAAAGTGGGATGATAAAATGAAATGAGAGACCAGCAGAGAATTGATCATCATCTAGAGCCCAGAGGCTAGGAGAGTTGAGCAGACAGGAATGGAGCAAGCAGGACAGACAGACCAGAGCTTCCAGCCCTGGGCCACACTGGTAGAGCAGGTGCCTGAGTCGCTAATGGGTGTGAGCGCCCAGGGTTGAGTCCAGTCTTCTGAAAGTTAATTAATCCCTTGCTACAAGCCCCTGCAGTATGTGAGCTTGGCATTGGAAGCAAGGGGCGCTAGTAAGCAAAGGCTCCCCTGAGCTGAATAACACCTCATTTCACCTGCCTTTCCTGGGCTGCTTTCCCTGGATTCTGCAACCTGCAGTGCTTTGGGGACTGAATCACCATTAATATCCCCTGACCAACCTTCCCAATGTGAGCTCTTCGGGGTTCCTTCAGGCAGGGCATTTTTATCTGCAATCAGGCCAGGTGTTGAGCAAGGCTGTCTGGTGTGCTGGGAAGGGCCCCTGGCTGCAGTCTCTGGCCTGCTGCTTTGGCCAGAGCCCCTCCGTCCCTGCTAGTATATGACCCAGCCCCTGTAGGCACATTCTAAAGGAGTGGCCCCATAGAACCCATTCTTCTGCTCCTAAGCCTAGGGCTGCTTCTGGAACTCTGAGTGGAAGCAACTGAGCCCAGGGCAGCAGGATTCCTCCATCTCTCTCAGCAGCTCATAGGATAGGATGGAGTTGCCTCCTGCTTTGAGGATCAGATAGTGGCAGCGCTGCTCTGAGCCCCTGTGTTGCTGGGGTCAGGACTCAGTGCTAGCGTTTGTACACATGCAGGGCCTTTTTCCTTGGTACCCAACCTGACACTAGCAGAACTGCAGCCTCCCCTTGGAGACAGGTGGGGGAAGCCAGCTCATCTGTGCATGGGTCTGGGGAACAAAGGGGCTTCCTACAAGCCATGTATTGATCCTCTGGCCTTATCTTTCCCACTTAGCCTCCATACCATGAGTCTTTCTTGCCTAGAAGTGCTGGGCATTTCTGGGCTGGCAGAAGAAAGGGGTTTATGTCCAAAACCAACAGAGTCTCCAGAGAAAGCTTTGTTTGCTTTTTAAAAAAATTGAGATGAAATTTCTACAACATAACACTGTTTAAAAGTGAGCAATTCAGTGGCATTTATGGATTCACAATGGATTTCCTATGGATTCACAATGGAATTCCTATGGATTCACAATATTGTGCAACCACCACCTCTGTCTAGTTCCACAACATTCCTGTTACTCCAAAGGAAACCGTTTCACCCATTAACTGTCTGAATAGATTTGCCTATTTCATATAACTGGAATCACACAATATGTGACATTTCATGTAACTAGAATCATACAATATGGACATTTCATATAACTAGAATCACACAATGTGTGACCTTTTTGATCTAGTTTCTTTCACTTAGTATAATTATTTAAAAGTCCATCCATGTTGTAGAATGTACTTCATTCCTTTTTATGGCTGAATAATATTCCATTGTAAGTACATACCACTTTTCATTTATCCACTCATCCACTGGCTGACCTTTTGGTTATCGTGAATAGTGCTGCTATGTGTTTCTGTACAAAGATTTGAGTACCTATTTTCAATTATTTTGAGTAAATATCTATGAGTATATGCCTATAGGCTAATTTGATGCTTAACTTTTTGATGAACCTACATGCTTTTAGTTCAGGGGTTTTCATACCTCAGCCCGACCCCACTAGACTTCCCAGGGCACTATGACTGCTTAGGTGGGGGTGAGAGATGGCTCCGAGGTTCTAGCTCAGGCAACTGGAGCCATGGGTGAATGGCTGTGCTGTCACTGTTGGGAGCACTCATAGATGGTGGGAGATGAGTTCCACTGGGACCTGTAGGATTTGAGGTGCCAGCTGGATGCCCACATGGATGTGGCTGGGGGAAGGGGTAGGTATGTTTATCTGCAACCACAGGGAAAGGTCTGGGCTAGAGACCGAAGTGGCTCAGGATATTATATTTATGCGTCTTACTTTACTGAGCCCTTAACATTTTCCCAGGCACTGTTCTAAGCACTTTCCATTATTCAATAATCCCAACAACTCTATAAGACTCCATGAAAATCCTCATTTTCCAGAAAGGGAAAAAAAAGTCTGGGCTCCCTCAGCACTTCTTATAGTCCACAAAGACAGAGCTCATTGGTTTTATTGGAGTTGTGTTTCTGGCTGCGTTCCTAGAAGATGGAGCTCCTTGTGGGCAGGGACGGGGCTTTCCTCACTACTCCCCTGGGCCTGACTCAAGCCAGCAGGCTTGCCCAGCATGTGTTGAGGGTGGATGGACTTCCTGAACTAGTGCTTTACAGTGAGCAGAGAAGAGGGCCAAGAGGGACATCTTGAGAACCCCAGCACTTAAAGGGCAAGAAGTAAAAAGCATAATCAATAAAAGAGACCAAGAAAGACTACTTGAAGGGGCAAGAGGGAACCAGAGAGAACCCAAGAGTAGATGTTTTTGGGTGAGTTAACCCATCTCCAGAACACTCTGCATATGGACATTTGGGAGGACTTCCCAGGATGACAGAGGCCTTACCAGGTGTGGCCATTACCACAACCAGCCCTGTGCCTGAGGAAAGTGTCCAACACATATGAGCTGCGTGCATGATACATGACTGACCTCCCTGTCAAGGAGAGGGAAGCCCGAGGAGGATTGGCTGGGCTGGGCATGTTCCAGCCTCATTTCTCCTGCTTTGCCCTCTCTCTCTTGCACCCTCATTTCGCAGCGGTGGACAGCAGCCAACTCCTCCTGCAGGAAATTACCAATGGGATGTCAGATGATTACATACATAGACAGCACACTCATTTATCCCCCTTGCAAATAATTAATTACAATAATAAAAAGAAGACAGAAAAGATGTCAGCTGTGCTCCCCTTCCCTGACACCGAGTGGGCAAAGCCAGGACAAGGGAGAGGTACAGGTGCACGGGACCAGCAATTGTAGAAGAAAAGCACCTTATCCGGGGAGAAAATTACATGAGGTCTCATTAATACCATTAAAATTCAGGGCTGACAAGTGAGGGCTCCTTGGTAATTGCCTATGGCCACACTGGACCCTGAACTGTTTGAAGCCACTGTGTCTCCTCCTCCCCCTGCTTCAGCTTGCTGGTGACCTGCTCTGCCCCACTCTCTGCCTACCGCTTCCAGGCTCTACCACTGCCCGGGCATGATATGGGTCTGGTGGCCAGGAGCCTGGCAGAAACACAGCTGCTGAGAAGAAAGGGCCTCTGGGGAGTTCAGGCACGAAGTGGGCACGAAGGTCATAGGCAGATGGGGATCTGTGTTTTCATCTTTTTTTTTCTCTGTCCTCAAGTGTGGGTGTCTGTGCATGAGCAATTACTCGAGCCCATGATCCTGGAGAATGGTCTTTCTCACTATGTTTCTGCCTGTCTATCAGTGGGTGTCTGGCTGTCTGCCTCTGTATGGTCTTTCTAAGCTGAGCTCTATATACAGACCGTGTCTACTCGTTCTCTTTGCATCTGTCACCACTCTATTTAGAGTTTCTCCTCTATATTTATCCTAGCTCTCTTTCCCTCTTATTGTCTCCCTGCGGTCAGTGCCTGCCTCCATGGGGATTTGTCATTGACTCCTGGGCCTTCCCAGCAAGCACTATATGGGCCGAAAGTGCACAAATGCCATCCCTCTGATGGCCCACATGCTGCAGGTCTTGTGACACATAGTGAGCTAAGGACCCTTGGTCTCCATAGACCTCTGGAGCTGGAAAACTGGCATAAAGACAGCAACAGCCACCAGGGCCAGGGCCCATCACCTAGAGCATAAGACAAGCAAGCACCTCATGATTTCCAGAGTCTTTGCTCCCCTGACTTAGCCTATCATGGTAGGAAAACATACACAGTCACATTCCAATGGTCAGGCACTAATCTCAGGCTGGGAGTTTGCAGGTAAGTTTTCCAGCCCATCCTCATAATGCGCCTTGGAGGTAGATAATTCTGACGCATGCACTTTTTCAAATGAGGAAAGAAAAGTTCAGAGAGGTGGGGTAACTTACCTGAGGACACAGAGCTAGACAGAACAGAGTTCTCTAGGCTCAGCATCCACACTCCTGACCGTTTTGCAATACTGCCTCAGTGCATAGAAGTGTGGGACACAAACGTGTAAGCCACACACTAGTGTGTGCATCTTGTGAGTATCTGTGAGGTTTGTGCTTGCACGTGGGGGTTCTATGCATGTGTGTTGCTCTTGTGTTTTAAGATCTGGCTCCTCTTTTCAGGAAGTTCCTGTGGACAATGTACAATGTCCCTTTATACATTGTTCAGTCTTTGCCAAAAATATGATGAAATGGCATCCCTGAGCCCAAAGGACCTTCCTGGTGAATGGCCCCTGCTGGGGTGGAGCACATTCCCTCCTGCCTTGGCTTGGCTGCATCACACACACGGTGATGGGGCTACACACACCACCAGCAGGCGAAGTGGTGCCATAGCCTCAGGGACTCTCTTCCTTGTCCTCCAATGCCCTGAGGCTGTCTGGCTAGGCCAAGCAACCATGAGAGCAGTGGGGCTAATGCTCAGAGACCCTGGGCTGCCCATATTCGCCCGCCAGGAATCTACTCAGAAGGCCAGCATTTTCTTCTGGGGTTTTGGTAGATGATGCAGCTCATCTTGTCAACACAATGGCTGCCCAGTGTGAGGAGGGTCTCCTCTTGCTTCACAACTCCCTTCCTTTATCAGACAGGAACACATGCATTGAGGGGATGCTGTCTGGGCTTATGGTGATGCTCAAGGCCTCAGGATGCCTTGCCTGATGATTTTCAAGCTGTACTTGAGACTCTCGGCTTCTCCAAGAGGTGCCTCAGTGGCTGCTCAAAACTGGGGTCAGGAGGGTGGGTGTCCGAGGGACACTCAGAAGTTGGGAGTGTGTCTACCCTCCTCTAACTAGGGCAGCTCTGATTTTCTGTGTTCTACAAAGTGAGATTTCTTTTAAGAGTTCAGTTAGTCCAGCACCCAAATGTATGCCATACTTTTGTCTTCTTAAAAAGGGCTCCAGACGCCACGCCCCCATCTGCTCCACTCCTAACCATGACTCCTAGATAGAGACAGGCAAGCATTTAGCTCCTTCCCCCTAGCCCAATGAGTAAATGGGAAACAGACCTCCAGAGGGCTAGGAGGGACATTTGGGGGTCTCATGGACAAGTCTAACAGGACTTTCCCTATCTCAGCTGCACCCTGGGCTCCCTCTTCACTGCAGGTATCTTGGCCAAGACATGTGGGTCCCTGGGCAGCTGGGCTTCATGTCTTGGGGGTCCTTACTAAAGGTAGCAGTGCTAAAGCCACAGGAGTCATTAGGTCATTCTGACTTCAGAGGAAGGGTGCTGGGCCATGTTGTCTCTGAGAGCTGATTTATGGAGGATACAGCAGGTACAAAGAAGGGAGATGGGAGCACTTCAACATTCACCTATCTGGTAGCTCCTTCCAGAGGCCAGAGCCCTGAACCCTGAGCCCTGAGCCCTGAGCCCTGAGCCCTGAGCCCCTGGAGGCCCTGGAGCTCCCAGCCAGGAGAAGGGGCAGAGCCCTGTGTTCACCCAGAGCTGACCTCTAGTGGAGAGTCTGTGAATGGCGCCACAGCTCTCAGGTGATCAGCATCTCCGATCCCAGAGAGCATCTCCAGGGGGCTCAGCTGGAGATAAGGGGTGAGTCTACCACATTATATGCACAGGGCACTTTGGCTCTAGGGTGACTGCAAGGCTCCTCCTTGGCTGATTTGGCCTCTGAGCAGGAGAAATCACCCTACTTTGTTTGTTCATTGTGCCAGCTGCTTGAGGCTGGGGCATCTCCACACCAGAGGGCTTTCTCCAGCCTTGCTCAAGGTGCCTCTTCTGGACTGGGGCTCAGTCTCAGCTTCTTTCCCCATCCCTCTTTCAGCCTGGCTCCTTTCTGTGGAGAAGATCCTGAGAGGAACCACAACTTGGTAAGTCCCCTGCGTAGCCTGGATACCTGTTGCTAAGCAATTATAAGTTAAATACTCACCTGGTCCTCTTGAGTGTTTGATGGCAGAAAGAGCTGTGAGAACTGACTGGTGCTTTGAGTTTTCCAAAAGCAATGCTTAGGTAACCAGTGACTGATGAAACAACACAAAATAATACTCATACTTTGCCCCTGAGGGATGGTGTCAGAGGGGTTTCCACCTGGTTTGAAGAAAGGCTCACACGGGTCCACAGCATGACCTGAGCCCCATCCAGGGGACAAGGGAAGCTTTATTTAGTCCCTGCCAGGAAGCTGGAGCCAGAGGGGCTGGAGGCAGGTTGTATAGAGGAGCTTCTGGCAGTAATTGAGCCCTTTGTGCTGGGAACTTGCCCAGCCCGAGCAGGGCACTCTCCATGTGGCACCCCAGGAACACTTCAGTATTTTGGGTCTAAATGGCATCTTATAACAGAACTTCTGGACTTCTATGTTGTAGCCTTCCTGAGTTCAGGTTAAGATTGGAGACAATTCCCTATGGCCTTTGTGTAGAGATCATTCCCGAAGGGACTCCCCATAGAGAGCTGGGAAACTTTCATCTTAGCACTGTACTTTTGGCAAGGTGTTGGGGAGGCCCCTAAATAGTTATGAAGGGTATCCTTTTTTTGAGACAGGGTCTCACTCTGTTGCCCAGGCAGGAATGCAGTGATATGATTACAGTTCAATGAAACCTCGACCTCCTGGGCTTAAGCGATTCTCCCACTTCAGCCTCCCAAGTAGCTGGGGGTAGCTAAGACTGCAGGTGTGTGCCACCACACCTGGATAGTTTTTGTATTTTTTTTAGACATGGGGTTTTGACATGTTGCCCAGGCTGGTCTCAAACTCCTGGGCTCAAGTGATCTGCCCACCTTGGCCTCCCAAAGTGCTAGGATTACAGGCGTGAGCCACTGCTCCCAGCCCCAAAGTATCCTTATTGACAGCCTCGTGAGGGGAGTCTAGTCCTAGGTGTGCAGGGATGGAGGGCTGCTATCTAATACATTTGAGAAACCAGTACAGTGTGGGGTCTGGAAACCAGTCCTGCCCTGACAGGCTGAAGGTCCAGCTGAACCTGAAGAAGAGGAGACTCCAGGGATGGGGGCACCTGTCACATCTGAAGGGCTGTCACACATCTTGTTTTTCCAGCTCCAAAAGGGAGACCAGGGCTAGTAGGAGAAACTGCTATATGGGCCCAGAATGTGTTCAACGGCAGAGAATCTTGTAGCAATCATAGACCCTGCACATGTCTGGGTCTCTGAGCCAGATGGAAATAGGGACCCAGTGGACTCCAATGTCTGTCCTGCTCTCAGGTTCTGAGCCTCTAAAGCACAGACCACCATGTTCCCATGGAGATATCAAGCAAGCAGATGCTTTCCTTTTTCATCTTTTGCATGAAGGACCAGCTGCTTACCCACAGCCACTGATGATTCTGTGACCAGGAGGACACACAGGATGCAGCAAATGCCATCCTTAGGGCAAAACTGGATGCTAGGGAGCACCAGGGTTTGTGGCTGAGCATATCACTTCCCAGGAAAGAATCAGGGTTTTGTTAAGGAGTAAAAGGAGAATGGATAGTGGGTAGGCAACCAGCAATATTTGCCAGAGTCCTTAAAGCTTATCTTGCTCAAACTCCCATTTCACAGACAAGCAAAATGAGTTACATAAATAATTTCATGGTCAAACAGTTAGACTCTGGGCTAAAACTCAGAACTCTGGACTCTCAGGACAAGGTTGTTTTATCAATACTGCAATTCAGTAATACTTATTAAATATGGACAGGATTTGATGATTGGCAGAATATTGGAGGTAGGAGTAGAAAAAGAGGAATCAAGAATTACTCCAAAATTTTCCATCCTAAAGACAGAAAAAATGTACAAAGTTAGGAAAGAGATGAGAAGTAACTGAGTTTAAGTCAGATGTGCACATGCATGTATAGGAGATTGTGGGGAGACACACTGGGAGTGAGGGGCTAGGGGCCCTTGGGGGGTGGTGCATGGTGCAGAATTGTAACTGACGAGTCTGGTTGGAAGGCAAACCTTGGGGGTCCCCACCAAAGGTAGTGGTGCTAAAGCCATAGGAGTCATTAGGTCTGCAGGAGACAGTGTTAGGGAGGAGCAAAGTTCTGAGCACTTCCATGTGCCCCTCCGTGGAGGGGAATTTGGGGGGAATGGAAAGCAGAGAAGGTGCAGCCAGGTGGAAGGAGGGGCATCAGGATGGCAGAGATGATCTAGTGGGGAATACAGTGAAAGGTTTGGAAACCACAAAGTGTTTATCAGAATCTACTTGTTACCTCTCCTGAAAATCATCACGATGATGTATCTAAGGTGCCCACCCTGCTTCTGATAGAACTGATAATTATTATGCCTGTTACACGCTTCTATCACATATAACCATGTATTTGAAGCCTGGCTTGTAAACGGCACAATTGCAAACTCCAAGTGTAAACTCCAGGACTGTAACAACTCTGATTGTAAGTGCCATGAGGTTAGGAACTGGGTCTCTTTTTCTCGGCTCATACAGTACATATGCAGTAAATATTCATTGAATAAATGAATGATTCATCTTGCAATTACTTTTAGCCTCTGGACTTCTCAATGGCAGGGGCCCATGTCTTGATTTGTCAGTAGCCAACATAATGCCTGGCACAAAGACAGCCCTTAGGGTGTTGTAGTCGTTTACTGTGGCTGTTGTAACAAAAGCCCGAAAACTGGATGGCTTTACAGCAACATTTGCTCTCTCACTGTTCTGCAGACTAGATGGTCTCAGCCGCCCAGAAGGTATGCGGGGTGGGTGTTCTTCGGTTCACACATGAGAAACCTAAGTAAGGCCTAAGGAGTGAAGCCAAGGCCACTTAGCCATTTAACATTTTGCAGGTATTTATTGATTATCTCCTGATCTAGGGCTGCTGAATCTTTGTTCAGGGACACTTAAACTCCCCTCAGATTGGCCCTGATCTAAGATAGTCACTTCAAGTTCACACCTCAGGACCTTCCTGAGGGTTCACTTCCTATGAGAACTGCCCTTAGCAACTTGAGTTGAGATCTGTGGGTGTCCAGAATTCATTTCTGTGGTACGCTAAATAATGGCCTCGCCAAAGATGTCCATATCCTAATCCCTGGAACCTGTGCATGTGTTACCTCCCATGGTAAAAGGGACTCTGCAGATGTGATTCAGTTAATTATTGTGAGATGGTGAGATTACTCTGAATTACCTAGGTGGTCTGATGTAATCACGAGGGTCCTTATAAAAGGGAGGCAGGAAGGTCAGACAGAAAAGATGCTAACTTGCTGGCTTTGAAAGCAGAAGAAGGGACCAAAAGCCAGGAATGCAGGTGGCCTGTAGTCGCTGGAGAGGGCAAGGAAACAGATTCTCCCCTAGAGCCTTCAGAAGGAATGCAGCTCTGCTTACGCCTTGGTTTTAGACTTCTGACTCTAGAACTGTTCAGTAACAAATCCGTGTTGTTTTAAGCCACTAAGCGTGTGGTAATTTGTTCCTGTGGCAACAGGAGACTAATACAGTCTCTGACCCTATGCCTTATTATAAGATTAGACCTTTGAGGCTAGACCTGTGACTTTTTAGGAATCAGGGCCTTCATTTGCTAGCTCATTGGCATTTCTGCATAAACTGGTCCTGTCTTACCTTTGTCTCTGGCGTCATCACCCATTGGATTTTCCTGGCAACAGAAACCGTGCTCTTGTCTTTGGCCACCTACAGAAGACTAATCTAGCATCCCAATAATGGGTAATTCATCCAAGTGAGCAGGAAACAGGCAGGCCCTGACTTTGACCTGTAGCACCTGGATTTTGAAACTCAAAACCAGCAAAGCCTGGCTTGTAGAGCTATGGTGTGGAAAGAACCTGGCTAAAGTGGTGGCTGCTATTGGAGAAAGGAAAAACCAAGTTTTTCTGCTAAGGGGCAGGGGTCTCTGGCAGTGATGTGTAAGCATGAAAGACTTCTGGGACTAGCAACCCTTAAAGAGGAAATATGACCACAATTGCTGCATGTACTGGTATTGATAGCAATGATGACAATAACTGTAATCTTAAAAGAAGAAGAAGAGTAACAAATATTTTTTATTGTGTTTGCAAGGTGCCTGGAACTCTTTTCAGCATTTTGCACATACTTTTAAGTCTTCACAATAGCCTATAAGATGTTTGCTCTTCTTATCCCTGTTTTGCAGATGAAAAACCAGAGCACAGAGAGGTTAAGTAATTGCCTAAAAAACAGAATTAGAACCCGTGTTTAGATTAGTCTGATTCTAAGGAGTGTGCTCTTGAATCAAATGTGGAAATATTCGTCTGTGTCATCACAGATACCAGAGCACTTTCTTTTTTTTTTTTTTTTTTGAGACGGAGTCTCGCTCTGTCGCCCAGGCTGGAGTGCAGTGGCGCGATCTCGGCTCACTGCAAGCTCCGCCTCCCGGGTTCACGCCATTCTCCTGCCTCAGCCTCCCGCGTAGCTGGGACTACAGGCGCCCGCCACCACGCCCGGCTAATTTTTTGTATTTTTTAGTAGAGACGGGGTTTCACTGTGTTAGCCAGGATGGTCTCGATCTCCTGACCTCGTGATCCGCCCGCCTCGGCCTCCCAAAGTGCTGGGATTACAGGCCTGAGCCACCGCGCCCGGCCAGCACTTTCTTTTATGTGGTTTCATTTTGCTACACAGTGCAGCAGGAAGGGACCTTTATCTCCATTCTTCAGATAAAGAAGATGAGGTCAAGTGATGAGGTCCAGGGAAAAGTCAGCACTATCATCCCTGTTAAATGTCTGTGTGGTGTATCCACAGACAGCATGGTCCCAAGCTAGTGTTATGGGGAAGTAAATGTGGTAGAAGAAAGGGTTACCATTTATTGAGCAATTCCTATGTGTCCCCCAGTGATGGTGTTAATGCACTATCCCTTGCGTACTCAGTCCTCATGACAATGACATGATGCTGGGACCAGAGAGGTTAAGAAACTTGGTTCAGGTTACATAGCTATAATAGTTGGTGGCCACACCAAAGCTACAAACATTCACGTGCTCTTGGCTGGAGAGAAGCTTCATTATAGCACAATGCAAATAGCTTTCTCACCACTACTTGCAGATCTTAGGGAGACTGCTGTCCTGGGGCACCTCCGGACTTGGAGGGCACCTCTGCAGGTCCTAAGGGCTCAGGCTTGCTTAGTACCTCAGTGCCCACAGAGCACTTCCCCTGACCTCCCCACTCAGTTGTCACACCAGGACTCTTTCAGGTATTCAGGTTTAATCCTCTGGTATGACTAAAACATGTTGCTCAAAAGACATTTGTTAAAAAAAAAAAAAAGAAAGGCTGAGGAATCTTTTTTGCTGTTAGATGATATATTCTAGGACAAAACCACTTCAGCTTTGTATCTGAGGAAGAACCTGGAAGCAATTTCCATTGTCACTGGGGTGATTCCTCTGCACATCCACTGTTCTATTTCATTTAAATGCTCAGATGCCCCTACTCCCTGAGCCTGCAAGCTTCCCTTGGCCAGCTACAAAGCTCTGCCCATTTGTTCTCCCAACATGGTCCCCTAATTAAATCTTCAGGGTTTTTAATTTTCATGCACATGAATATGTAAAATGAAGGCGCCTGAGAGAGAACCTGGTGTGGAACAAGGCCTGCTGCAGCTCAGAGGGCAAGGTCAGGACTTGGACTCCCTCCAGGAGAAAGGCATGCGTGGAGCCCCGGACACCGCCTTGGCATTGTGCAGCCCTCGGTCTGAGCATTCAGGGAGGATGCCTGTGAGCAGGTGTCCCCTGGCATCACCTGAAAGCCGAGGAAAGAAAAACTCATTTTATCCAGGAGAGTAAGGAGGAAAATTATTGTTTTTGCTGACACGGCCAACAGCAAAGGCACTGCCTCCACTCGCCACCCTGGGCAATGAGGAGTGAGAGTGCACTGGGATGGCTCTATGACAGCTTTTTCAGCACTCTGTCCACCTAGCCCTGGTACAGTACTTCAGATTTGTCTAGGAAATTCACAACAAAATTTGTAAATCAATCTCTCTCTCTCTCTCTCCCCCCTGAATGTCAATCTCAAGAGAGGAGAGCCCTTCACTTCTTCTCCTCCTCTGTCTCCCAAGTGGATAGGCTGCTGGGGAGGTTTGTCTGAAGCCTCCAGCCACTAAACCTGAAAGCAAACAGAACCTTAAGGATTTTCTTTCCACCTTTTACCCACAACACTGGACTTCATTTACTCTAGCTGCTCCTTCTTCTTCCTGCAGGAGCAAAAACTTTCAGCCGTTCTTATCCTGAGATTTAACAGAGTCACCACATTTTGTAGCTTGTTGGGCAGAATGAGAGGTAAGAAACCTTGACATCAATCCCTCAGCTATATATAGTGTCTGATGTGTGAGACCAGCAGACACATCAATGCCAGCACAGTGAAGGTCTTTGCCTACATGATGATTAATATGGCCATGAAGATAGGCCTAGACTATAGGTTCAGACTCTAAAATATCAGTCAGCCGAAAGGTAGTCAGCCTGAGAGAGGAAAAGTGCGTGTCTTCCTAGTGGGCCACCCTGGAATGGGCTTCGCTGAGGGTGAATATTGTATGAAGTGTGAGAATTTCTCCCCTTCACTGTGGAGATGTACCACTTTCTGGGGCGGTGTATCAGGTAACATTGCACTTTCATCCCCCAGATGCCAAAAGTGCATGTGAGTGGGGCTGGGGGACATTATGGGTTGAATTGTACCCTCTAAAATTCGTATGTTGAAGTCCTAACATCTGGTACTTCAGAACATGACCGTATTTCAGGATAGGTCTTTACAAAGGTATTCAAGTTAAAATGAGTTCACTAGTAAGAGTCCTACTCCAGTATGACTGCTGTCCTCATAAGAAGGGGAAATTTGGACACACAGATCTACACAGAGGGAAGACTACACAAGGGCATAGGGAGAAGACAGCCATTTGCAAGTCAAGGAGAGAGGCCTGAAACAGATCCTTTCCTCACAGGAGAAACCAGCCCCACTAACACCTCGATTTCAGATGTCTAGCCTCCAGAACTGCCAGACAAATTTCTGTTGGTTAAGCCACCCACTTTGTGGCACTTCGTTACAGCAGTTCTGGCAAATGAATACCAGGGACTCCTTTAGCCAAAAGCCCCCACAGAAACAAAAAACAACAAAACAAACGAACGAACAACCAAACACACCTCTAGCTAAAATTTCATGACTTGATGAATAAGTAGAGATGAAAAGTTTCTTCCAGGGGACCCAGAAAGCTCATCATTCAACTTCTAGGGCCTGCGATGGTAACACTTCGAACTGTGAATAAGAAGGCAGAGACAGTTTGCCAAAGCAAATCAGAGGGCAGGAGTAGTGGCATCATATTTTTTTTTCTCTCTCTCTTTTTTTTAAATTATACTTTAAGTTTTAGGGTACATATACATAACGTGCAGGTTAGTTACATATGTATACATGTGCTCTGTTGGTGTGCTGCACCCAGTAACTCGTCATTTAACATTAGGTATATCTCCAAATGCTATCCCTCCCCGCTCCCTCCACCCCACAACAGGCCCCAGTGTGTGATGTTCCCCTTCCTGTGTCCATGTATTCTCATTGTTCAATTCCCACCT
The DNA here is from genome assembly GCF_000001405.40 of Homo sapiens. Taxonomy (NCBI): domain Eukaryota; kingdom Metazoa; phylum Chordata; class Mammalia; order Primates; family Hominidae; genus Homo; species Homo sapiens. The sequence continues at coordinate 134,763,311 of NC_000003.12, forward strand.
ATGAAGGAATTGAACATTATTTTTTAAAAGTAATCAGCAAAGCTCATTAAAAATCGTGGCTTGTCTGTGGTTCAGGGCTATGTTACGGAATGTCGAATCTGCTTTTCTCTTATGAAATAGGATTCAGGACACGCCAGCACTATATAATCTAAGAGGCAGGAGAAGATCAGTACATCTCACATTTATTAGGTGCCTATAGGGATAAATACTTTCTTATCTTGTTTAATTCCCCAGGCAACCCTGCCCAGTACATGTTTTCATCCTTGATTTAAGATATCATGGAGAATCAGAGGGCTTGAGTAACTCATCCAAGTTTACCCAGTTCGCTGTGTTTTGGAGGAATATTCCTCCAATGCACGTATTCTTTCCAGGACCATAAATTTCCTCCAGATCAAGGGTCTTCATTAGATATCTGAGATGTTGACCTTGGTGTCCCCCACTCTGACCTTTGGCCTGATTTAGGATAAGCACTTATTTTAAATAACACTTAGTTCTTAGTGATTCAGTGAATGCTCTTCAGGCTCCATGTGGCAATTCTGCCAGAATTGAGAGTGAGTAGCCTCTCCACTACTCACTGCTCATTTCCCAGCATACCACCTCAAAGGGCAGAAGGAGGAGCAGCAAGTACTCTGGATTGATGCCTCCCCTTTATACTCCCTGGGTCATAAGGATAGTCCAAGGCTAGCTTTGTTTACTGGGTAGAATATATTCTGTTGGCATGAAGAATTTCTAAGAGCAAACTGTACAAGACATGGGCAATTTAGAAGCATATGGTAGAACTATAGGCTGTAGCTTGTCATGGTTTAGCAAACAAGTTTAGTTTCATATTTCCAGTTTGCCTCAATGCCAAGTAGCTACATGAGTCCTCACATTCCTAGTCTTTAAAGAAAATGAGTACTTTCTGGTGGGATTTTGGGGACCAGCTCCCAAGTTCAGGTTGGGTTTGCCCTTTCCAAAGCCTTCCGAGGCATTCTTGTTCTGCTCCCACTGGACTTCAGCCCCAGGGTCCTTTTATCCTGGCTTTATAGAGAATATGTGACAATAGACAGTTCTTTGCCTCACAGTGTAGCACTAACTTGTGTTTTTCTCCCAGGTTTAATTTTTTTAAAAATAATTCTGACCCTTGTTGTGGGTTCCCATCCTGTCGTAGCCCCTCCCCTGAAGACCTGAGACACCTGTATCCACTCGGTCATCAGTTCTGCTGCATTTGCCTCTCACACCCAGATGATGTTTCATTGATCACAATGGGGCAGTACATAGACTTTGGAAAGAGCTTGCTCACTGGACCCTGCCGGTGAATTGACACCTTCCCCATCGCAATGCTTCTTATGCTAGTCACCAAATTAACTTTCGGCTCATCTGGTTTTCCCTATTTTCACTTTTCAATTTTGTCTTCAAATTATTCACCTGACAGAGTAATTGTCTCTCCTCCAAACTCTCATCTGCAGTGACATCTTCATCCTTGGAGCTCTGTTTTATAAATATCCATTTGGAGAATAAACTGAGCTTGACTACTTTGAGGTTACAGCCCCCAGGAGAGTAAACCATCCCCAAGACCTCTGTTAGCATACTTCTAGCAGTTTTCACGTATCATTGACTTCACCAATACCAGAGAGTCCTATTACTTTCAGAATCCTTTAACGTTTTCACTCCTTTGAGGTCTCATTATATGACAGTACAGTGGTTCTCAAACTTGGAGGAGCATCAGAACCACCTGGAGGGTTTATTAAAACCTGATAGCTAGGCCCCACCCCCAAAGTTTCTGATACTGCAGGTCAGGGTAGGGCCTGATAATTTGCATTCCTAAGAGGTTCTCAGATGATGTCGATGTTGCTGGTTCAAGAATCATACTTTGGGAATGACCATGATAGTGTATGTATAAGGTATTCATATTCTGCTTAATTAGAATATAGGCTAATGTCCCAATAAGACAAATGATCAAATTCATGTTGTTCATTCATTCATTTGGTAAATACTTACTCATCACCTGTTGAGCACTGACCAGGCCTTGGGGATGAGGTGGTAAACAGATGGACTTGATTGCTGTCCTTACACAGGAGAAGACAGAGCAGCTATGAGGATACAACAGACCAAGAGGCACCCCAGGGGAAGCACAGGCTGCTCCTGAAGCCCAGGGCAGGGGCCCCAACACATCTGTGAGTGAGTGAATAAGGGGGAAGGGAGGAGGCATGTAGGGTCTCCTGGAGGAAGTGCCTCTATGCTAGATATTGAGACAGAGTAGGAGAGAACCAGAGGAAGTGAGGGAGAAGTGTATTCCAGGTGAAGGGGAGAGCATGTGTACAGATCTGGCAGGACTTTGTCATGGTGTCATATGGAAACTGGAAGGAGTTCAGTACTTAGTGGGGAGAGAGTCTGTGTGAGAGAGGAGTAGGGGGCGTAAGGAGAGACTGGAGGCTGGGGTTGGCCATGGTAGCTGGTGAGGCTAGGCAGTGGTTCTCCAAGTTGTCCTTTGGCCAGCAGCATCAGCATCACCTGAGAATGAGTTGGAAATGTAACTCTGGGGGTGAGGCCCAATCCGTGTTTTAAGAAGCCCTCTAGGTAGGGCCAGAAAAGACATACTGGGGCATCTGGATTTGATCCTACAGTGCCTGCAGCACAGAATCAGTTTCCAGTAAACACAGGGAGCGTTGTTTCTTCATTGAAGACATTGTATTTATAGGGGTCAGAGATGAAGGCATTAGCTGAGCCTGACTCCTCATGATTTCCAAATATATTTATCAACACAACAGAATAAACTCAATCAACTTGTGTGGGAAGAAGGAGGGTGCTCTGGTAGTGAAAAGTTCTGGACAGCTGAGGTGGAGCTTGAACATGCTCATACTGTGAATGTATTTGGGTGCAGGGCCTTGCCATTTACTTTAATGTTAGGATCTACCTCTCCCCGCAGCTTTCATCTTCTGATAGCTCTGATGGTAGAGGGTCAACGCTGCAGATGTGTATAGCCCTCCAGGATTCAGCAGTCTCTGTGGCTGTGAGTCAAGTATTGCTCTGCCTTTTTCTGTGCCCAGTTCTGGTGCCTGCTTTCTGATTTGGGAACCTTCCTCAGATTCTTAGGAACCTGCTTTACCCCTGGCAGTACTTCCCTGCCTCCTCCAACATGAGCCCTTGCCCAGTGCCTGGGACAGCAGCTCATGGCCAGACCTTTCTGGTGCTGCCTGCCTGTCAACCTGGATCTTTGGTCAGGGCTACCTTGTAGGGACTTGTACTATTCTTGTACTAGGAATGTTCCTATCCACCTGCCTGCCCACTTTCTCCTAGTGGAGGGCTGACAGAAAGAATTGGGCTATGAACATAGGAACTGGAGAAGCACAGCCATGGTGTAAGGAGAGTGAGGCCGGAACAGTCACAAGGTTTGTGCAGTCCACAACAAGGGCAGACAAATCACATGTAAGCGGAGGGTGCTGGTCAGAGGAGAGGGGAGGGCAGATGGAGCAGGCTCCAAGGAAAAGAGGAGCAATGAAGGAGAAACCTGTACTCATTGTTTCTTTGCTCCTGGTAGCCTTTAAGTTTCAGTTTGCCCATGACCTGGCACCCACATTTCACTCCAAGAGCTCTGAACCCCCCTGACCAACCCTGTTTTTAACAACTGGCTTGAGAGGTTCCTGTAGCTCCTCAGTGGGACTCTCTCTGTCACTGGTTGTGTGCTTGGGATTGATTAAATTTGTACAGAGGCTACATAGCCACTTGGATACTCACCCCACCCACACAGACCAGGCTTTGCTCTGAAGGGGGATCTGGTCTGCACTCCAGCCCTCCTACTTGGCTTCATCTTGCTACCTGGTACCCTCTGGGCTGAGCTGTGAAGAGACGCTGGCTGTTGGCCTGTGCACATTGGAGTGATTTGGCCTTTCAAACCAATGCATTAAGAAATGGGCCACTAGGTGCCCAGGTCCAAGGCTGTTGACATAGACAAGCTTTGTGCAATGTGGCTAGCATTTTAATGCAGGTGGTTACCTTCCTCTTTTCCAAAGAAAGAGGCCTCAAATGGAGGCTGAATTACCTTCCCCCTTCAACTAAAAGACTGTTTCAATTGGTTAATATTATAGACATTTACAATCAGGCTGGAGGGTTTTGGGGAAATGGAAAGTAAGTGTTCTGGCCTTCCACGCTCCACACTTTAGCCCAAATCAAGATTCCAGACTAGCAGGTCTCATTTTATGGGCATGTGACCTGGAAAGTCTCATAGAGCTCTGCACTCACAAACATCCTATGCTCTGCCATTTTAAAATTCTGAATAGCTGTTTCGCAAGGAGCCCTGCATTTTCATTTTGCAATGGGCCTTGTAGGTGAAGTAGCAAGTCCTGCAGATGGGGTCCTAGTCTGGCCTTTTCCCGACTCCCACACTGATTATTCCAAGGTAACTTCAGATGCACAAATCTGGGTCTGGTTACTCTGGGTTCTTGCCGAGGGCTTTGTTTTTTGAAAGCAAACATTTTTGAGTATCTGTGCTGTGCCAGGTGCCATGCTCTGTTCAGGGAACTCTTCCTTTAATGGAGGAGATAGGTGCAGAACTGGATTGTCAAAATTCAGGGGCAGCTATTCTAACCTAGCTACAGAGAGAGAAGAGCCTTCCTGAAGAAGAAGACACTGAGTTGAGTGATGGATGATTATTGATCAGTCAAATAAAACTAGGGGAAAGTATTCTAGGCAGAGAGACAGCTAGAGCAAAAAGCTGAGGACGTAGAGTGTCAGAGTGTGCTCTGGGAGCTTCACACACATGAGGAGGACACAGCGTGAGGCCAGGAGTGACCGGAGATGAGGCTAGAGGGACAAATGGGGTCCAGATCACAGGGCTTTTATACACTCAAGGAAAGTGGAATCGGAAGCATCAAATGGGGAGCCACAAAAGGCTCAGAAATAGGCAGGGACATGATCAGATTTGCATATTGGACAGATTCCTCGAGTGGCTGTGTATGGGAATGGACTAAAGGCAGTGAGCCTGGAGGGTATCTGTAACATGTGACTCCATTATTGGGATTATCTTTAGCCAGCCAGCCCCGAATTTTTCAGGAACAAGGACCTCATTTGTCCTGCTGCAGACTTTGCCTACAGATTTGAATTTCCCAATCTCTGTTTTAAAGTTACTGGAGCTCTAATTAAGGCCATGAAAGGCTTTAACTGTGACCAGAGGCATTTTTCCTTCTCTTCCTCTTATGATGCCAGAAGCACTGAGAACCCTTCTACCTTCTCAGTCAGCATTGGCATACCTTCTCAAGTCTGGGCTGGTCCAGGCATGGGAAACACTGGGATTTCAGATGTCCAAGTACCAACTACTTGTATGGCTGACTCTAAAAAGGAGTGTCTTCTCCAAGTGCCTGCTCACTGGAAAGCACTACTAAATAAGCAGGCTGGTGTGGTAGGCAGAAGTCTAAAAATGTCTTTTAACATTCTATCCCCTGGTTATCCAATGAAACACTAATCTAGACACTGCTGTCGAGGGCCTTTGAAGATGCAATTAAGATTGCTAATCATTGGGCTGTAAGATAGGGAGACTATCCAGACTTGGCCGGGTGGGCCCAGTGTAATCACATGAGCTCCTCCATAGCAGAAGAGGGGTCAAAAGAGCTTCAAGCATGAGAAGGCTTTGATATGCTGTTGCTGGTTCTCTCTGGGATCAGAGAGAAGTTTCTAGGAGCTAACAGGAACACTCCAGCTGACATCTAGCAAGGAAACAGGGAACTCAGCCCTATAACCTGAAGGAACCGGTCAGGCCAGGGAGCTTGGACTTAGAGACTCACAAAGTAGAAGCGCTTTGGGTGGCTCTGTGGTGAAAGAAGTGTGATTTTTTTTGTGAGCTCCAAATAGGCAAGAGAACACATTCTTAATTGATTGTATGTCTCAAGAGATGCAGGTACTGAGCCATTCGGTGATTCTGAATATGGTCGGGGACCATCAGGATCAGCATTACCTGGGAATCTGTAAAACAGCAAATTCTTGGGCCCCACCTCAGACCTACTGAATCAGAATGTGTGGTGGAGGCAGAATTGTGTTTAAACAAGGCCCCCCAACCCCAGGTAACTCTGGTGATCATTCCTGTTTGAGGGCCACTGGTGTAATTCTAGCACAGTGAGTCTCAACCTTGGCCACACATTCAGGTCACCTGGGAAGTTCTCATAATAACAGCTGCCTAAGACTGCATGTGAAACCAATTTACTTAAAATTTCTGGGGCGAGGCTTGGATATTTGTAATTTTTAAACAGTTCCACAGGGACTCCAATATCCACTGAAAATTACTGGCCAGGTGCCTTGTACATAATTGAAGTTGATAAATATTTCCTGTCTGGATGGATGGTTAATAATTACTCTGAAAACTCCTTGATGTTAGTGATTGTTCTCTCATTGGAGTAACCCCAAGGCCTAACCCTAAGAGGCCCCAGGAAGCTGTATGCACTGCAGGAGAGACCAGCCTTTTGGAAGATTATAACCTTAGTCCTGGTTGTCATCTTACCTCTAAGCCCTATTCTGATATCTAATCTGGCCTACTTATGCTTACCTCGAAAGGGCAGAAATGACATACAGGTGTATATCAAGGGCCTATGGCTATTTATCGTCCCTCTCATATCATGTGCTAGGCCTAAGGGCAAGGAAGGTAAATAGGCTAATTTCTGAGACTGGGAGATCTCTATCAGGCCAGCTCCTGTATCATGCCCAGAGCTTTCTCCCTGTCATTGCATTGGTGTGCAGCACTGGCACATCACGTCTACTTTTCTTCTCTTGGGATGCTTCCTCCATTAAGCTAAGCTGCCAGCAAGGGCGTGGTGGTCTTTGTCTTTGTGGTCCAAATGGCCAGGCTTCTCCAGAGGGTGGAAAACAGAGGCCCAGATTATGGTTCTGAGATCTGGCTGCCCACTGAAATCTCTTGGGAAGAGGGTAACAATTCCTACTACTGTTTCCCATCCAGACTCTAATTCAGGACATTCAATAGCAGAACTCTCAAATCTATGTTTTTAATAGAACCCCCAGGTGATTCTGAGGTAGCCAGTCCATGAGAGTCTGTGGATCACTGAATCCTAGCATACTTTTTCTAGTTATGCTTTTTCTAGGAAAAGAAGTCTTGAGGTTGTTAAGCTATCATTAGCATAAGGATTGCACAAATAATTTAGAGTAAAAATTAAAGAAATGTAAACACTTTGGAACAGTTACAATTCTATTTCTGTTTTTTTCCCCACTCACTTGATTCTATTCTCAGGATTTGGTGGTGTTTCTTATATGAATCTCTGATTTCACAATTTAACTTGTTTCTCCTTGTGATTTTGAAACATTAAGCTAGTTTAAGCTAGTTTGTTGTCAAATACCATTCAAAATGCTTTTACTTTTTTTTATTCCCTAGCCACAATCATCGCTTACCTGTGTTGTAGTTGATGAGGGGTGAGATAACTTGATCTCCCTACTCACAGTATCTTTGCATTCCCCCTCTGAGATTCCACCTTCTTCTTGTCAAGTGGCAAAGGAAAAATATAAATGGATAAGTAATAGTATCATCAGGCCCACTCCTGAGTTCTCCTCTTGCGTCTGTTTTGCCTTAATCACTAGTGCATATGCTGACTAGCTTCAAAGTCTTTCAAAGTTACAGCTTGTGTTGATGCTAATTTGGAAAACAATGATAAGATTTATACAACAAATACTTTTCTCCTGATTCCCTTAGCAACCGTCTCCAAATTTGACAGGAAATTTCAATCCATGTTGTCAGGAAGGTAACCTTAAGAATACATTTGAACGAAGTCAAGGAGGGTAATTGACATCCTTACTTCCATTCTGGGGTGCTGAGATCTTCCCTCACTGGAATAAGGTTCTCAGTGCAGGGCAACTCAGACTCCTGCTTTCTCTCCATCCACTTTGCTGGCTTCCTGAATACAGTGAAGAGAGTCTTTTCTGTCCTTTCTCTAGGCTGAGTGGGGGTAGAAGGACTGAAAGGACTAGCAAAAACCATGGAATACTATGCAGCCATAAAAAAGGATGAGTTCATATTCTTTGCAGGGACATGGATGAAGCTAGAAACCATCATTCTCAGCAAACTAACACAAGAACAGAAAACCAAAGACTACATGTTCTCACTCATAAGTGGCAGTTGAACAATGAGAACACATGGACACTTGGAGGAGCATCAGAACCACCTGGAGGATTTATTAAAACCTGATAGCTAGGCCCCACCCCCAAAGTTTCTGATACAGCAGGTCAGGGTGGGGCCTGATAATTTGCATTCCTAAGAGGTTCCCAGATGATGTCGATGTTGCTGTTTCAAGAATCATACTTTGAGAATGACCAGGATAGTGTATGTATAAGGTATTCATACACTGGGTCCTGTCAGTGGGTGGTGGGATAGGGGAGGGATAGCATTAGGAGAAATTCCTAATATAGATGGGTTGATGGGTGCAGCAAACCACCACGGCACGTGTATACCTATGTAACAAACCCACACCTGCACGTTGTGCATGTGTATCTCAGAACTTAAAGTATATTTTTTTTAAAAAAGGAAAAAGCACCCACACAATAAAACAAAATGTAAAATAAAAAAAAGAAGTCCATGCCCATCTTCATTCTCAGAAGGTACTAACTAGATCATAATTTTCTAACTGCTGTCCACTGACCCTTGAGAAATAACCAGATTATTCTTAAGAGATATTCTTAAAGCCATATATGTATTCTGTATCCCCGGCTTGGGGTAAAAATTGCCATGGATGAGGGGTTAGTTACAAACAAGCAGGTAAGATCAAGTTGCACACATCTTCATGCTGGAAACTAGATCCTGCTGCCCAGAGTGGGTGGGATTAAAGCAGACACAGGCAGGCTGAGCAGCAGCAACCCAGCCAGGCCTGTCTGAAATGTCAGTCTTGGCTGCCCCATTGCCCTCTCCCTTGGAGGCACCATGGGCATTATCTTCTTTTCATGCCAGGAGAGGAGGTGGATGGGAGAAACCTGACCCTTTAATGCCAGACACCCCGTGCAGCTGTGCAGGGCTGGATTCTCTTGCTAGACTTGGCTGGCCTCCCTCTCTGTTCAAGGCAGCATTAAGAAGATTGATTTCTGTTAGCCGGCCATAATGGGAGACTATAATGGCTGCGAGGGAGACACTTGGCTTGTGGACACCTTGTACAGGTGCCAGTCACTTTGGGGGTGAGCCAGGCAAGGCTTCTTGCTTTTTGGTTTGATCTTCTCACCTCCCCTCCCCTCTTCCCCTCCCCTCTTCTCCTCCATTTTCTCTTCCCTTTCTCCTCTTCATTATCTCCCTCTTGGTCTAGAAATGCTCCATGTATCTAGGACTCAGACCCCTGTGGCTTTGGATCCAGTGTGCTCTCTCATTAGATATTCCCATTTGTCTCTGCCAACTGCACATGTGGGAGGAGCCTCTGCCACACCCCAGAGTAGGGGCCTCCCCACACATTCCCAGTGACATTCCAAGATGGCCTTCAGGCTTGCAGGACAAGCCTGCAAGCTTTTCCTTATGGAGTTTGACTGCTCCCAAGAGGAAGCAGAGAGCTTGGCTGCCACAGGAGCTGAAGGCGGGTTCCCAGGAGCTCAACTTGACTGTGATTCAGTTTATGCCACTTGCAGACCTTTGGGGCAAGGAGAAGGGAATTTGGCTTCTGGTAGGTTGGGAGAGCTATTTGGGCTGGTGTTACCAAGGCACTGTGGTCAGTTAACCCTTCCTGGGAGGGGTTCTACAAATTCCGAAGCATGGGAACCCATGACTTCTTCTGTCACAGGCCCCCTGATCTGCCAAGGGTGCCTGCAGCATTATTTGCTAGTCCCAGCCTCCCATCAGCTGCCCTGTGCTTGTAGAGGCAGCAGGGCAGAGATCACAGGCTGGCCAGGTGGAGAATAATGGCATCTCCTTCCTGGTTCTCCTCCCCCATCCAAGGCTGCAAGATCCTGCTTCTATTTGCTGCCACCAGCACTCATGGGTGAGACCAAGGCCTCAAAAAGATGGGAGGCTTACCCTCAGTTATGGGTGGGCACTATCTTGGACTTCCTTCTTGGAGGAGCCAGAGCCAGACTCTTTAGGAGCAGGCAGAGCCGTCTATTATAGCATGGCTGAGAAGGACCTTTGGAGGCCACTCAAGCTATCCACTTAGCACAGGCAAAATGGCACGCATAGAAATGAAGTCTATTTTGAGCATTAAGTTCCAGACACAGCTATTCCTAGAGGGAAGGAGTGAGGAAAAATTCAAGTGCACCCTGCTATGTTACCTCTGACCCAGCTTATCTCTCACAGCAAACCATTTCCATGAACATCATTCTTAAATCACAACTCAGAATAAAGAGGACACAGAAATGACCACTGCCATTTCTCCAACCTCATGTCTTACATTTTCAGCAATTTGCTCTTCTAGTAAGCTAGACTTCAGCCCCACAGCCCACCCCCCCACCTTCTCTGACATTTCTGTTTACATCCCCTGATTAAATGTTGCCTCCTCAGTGATGCCATCCCAAATGGCTCTGGATGAAGGTGCATCCCTCATTCCTCCAACAGTCATCCTTCCTGTCACCAGGTGTTTTTGTTTCTTCTACATAGCCTTACTGGAATCATCTGAAATGATCTTACTCATTGTATTTCTGTGCTTGTTTTTATGGGGAGGGTCTGTCTCTCTCAGTAGAGTTTAACATTCCTGAGAACAGGGACCTTGGCTGTCTTGCATGTCACCATTTTCCCAGTGTCCAGCAGGCAACAGGGACTCAGTAGATATATGCTGAATACAATTGAGTAACAGCAATAACAGCTTTGCCTTACTGATGCAGAGGCTTTCCTGGGGGTGGAAAGCACATCCCTCTGGGGCCAGAGAGAAGGAAAGGGGGTCCCATTGACATGCTCTGGGGCATTATTTCTTAACTGACTCTTTGTCCCCTATGTGGCTGATGTGGCTCCCCTCCTCACCTTCTTCTTATTTCCTCCCACAGGGTCTCTCTGGGTGATGCTGATATCTGCATTCATGCTCCTCTACTATGCTCAGTCACACAGCCAAGAAACAATACAATAAACACTTTACTCTCCAACTTAGCACACAAACTTAATTCTTAACTCAAGGCAATACAATGGCATACCATGATACTAATGTAACAAAGAGTAAAATTGCCTTATTGATCCACAAGTACCTTCTAAGGAGAATCCTGTAAAATGAAAGACCCTTTTGTTCCACTGAATGCCTTGATGGACTCTTGTCCACATGGGAAGCCTGGAGATGAGGCAGCCAGACAGGGTTCCCCAGGTGGGACAGCTGAAAGACTTTTAGGAATAGAAACGTGCAATGTTATCTTTGAAGATATATGTATCTCAGCAAAGTAAATATCTCAATCACCTGAGCCCTAGGTGAAGCCAACTTATATATAAATGCTGTGTGAGAGAGTGTGTGTGTGAACAGAGCGGGGTTCAAGCCCATTTGGGTCAGTATGGCATCGAATAGAGATGTTTTAGAGGTCCATGCATTGAACTCATTAAACAGACAGAAATTTGGGGCTAGAATTGAGAATTCATATACCCTGCCCATATTACCTCCCCTCTTCAGTCTCAGTTATCTGACTTCCAACTGCCAGCTTTGGAGCCCAAGGGCTTTCTCTGAAACCTAGGAGGGCTTCCCTGTCCACCTTGGGCAGGCTGGAGTGCTGCGGGGTTGATGTAGTCTGGCAGCTTTTGACCAATGTCTGGTGAGAACTGGTGTATAAATACCCCAGCCCATTGGATGGGATAATTCAGAGGTCTGTGTTCTACATCGGCCTCCAGTTTTGCCACAGGATTAATTTCCAGTCACCTCCGGTGGTGACTGTCTTAATAACATACCTTTATTGTCTTCTTCCTTATCTCACTTCCCCACTCACCTACCTATGTTTCCCTCACCTCCTGTCACAGCGAGGTCCCTATAAGCAGAGCCTGAGACAAGGGTCTCGTTCACGTGATTTAGTGGAATAGTGTCCTCAGGGAAGAGGAGACAGGGCTGTAAGATGGGGCAGGGAAAGGAGCTGAACAAGGATGCAGTCCTGGCTGGAGCCTCGCTTCAGCCCAATCCCCTGAGGGAACTTCCAGAGCACAGATTGTAACAAAGAGTTAGTGTCCCCTTCAGGTAAGGGGGCCAGCCTTTGGAATCCCTACTTCAGTTAGACATTTTCTGAGGCTTTCCCTGAAGTGGTATGGTAGCATATAATCTCCAAGCTGAGGCAGTGCCCATTTGGCCAAAGGCAATTCTCCAGAACAGAGGTCAACTGTGAAGTGTTGGCGGCCAATACTCACAGCTGGAGGATGGATATACCTTCCAGTATAGGGGATCCCAGGGAGCCCCAGAGAGTCCAATACGCCCCCTACTAAACTTGCACCCTAATCTCTGTCTCAGGGTCTGATTCTGGGGTAGAGAATGGGAGACATGTTTATCCAGATATTCAGGAGAAGGGAAACCTCAGATTTCTTGACATTATATTCAAGTTCCTATTTGTCCATCCGATTGCAGGGGTTATTTTGGACCATTAGGGGAGTTATCTAGACAGTGACGCTTCTCTCTCCATCATTCATTTGATGTGGAATGGTGCCTCTTCTTTTCAGCCGTCTCATTCTCACTGTCAATCAGCTGTGGATGTGGGGCTTCCCGCTTTCTTTCTGCAGGCACCCCTCCCGGTCTCTGCATCAGGTCTACACACTGAACACTAAAAGCTGAAATGACAAAAATTGCCAGGTATTACCAATATAGCCAGTTGCTTTCTCAGAAAGCCACCTCCCCACCCGGTAGTCTGTGGGAAGAAATATCTGTGGTGTTGTAGGACTGTGTCTCTGACTTACATTTTCTTCCTGTAGCCTAGGCCCTCTGGGATACCATGCACCGCAACCCATCTCTATGGGGCCTTGACATCCACCTAATTTTTGCCAGTCCCTGGCCCCAGAGAGCCAAATTCTGTGTCCAGCAGTTCCAGTCAGCAGCTGGTTCTGGGGAAGTTCTGCTCAATAGAAATATAATGCAAGCCACATATTTTCTAGTAACCACATTAAAAAGGTAAGACAAACAAGTGAAATTCATTTTAATATTATTTAACTCAATGTATTAAAAATCACCATTTCAACATGTCAATATGAAAATTATCAACAAGATACTTAATTTTTTTTTCATATTAAGTCCTTGGGATCTGGTGTATATTACACTGATAGTACATTTCAATTTGGACCCGCTACATATCAAGTGCCTAATAGGCACATGGGGCTAATGGCTGCTGCATTGTGTGTGTGAACAGAGAGGGGTTCTAGTCTCTGGTAGTAATTTTGCTTTGTTGACATGGCCTACCCACAGGGTCTAGGCTGGACTAGAAATCATGTGAAGCCAGGAGTACACGCTCTTCTTGGTTTGGGGCAGCTGGCTGAGCCTGAAGTCATGATGAGGCTGAGGTGTAGTGATGGGTAGGGGTGCTGGAGGCCTGGAGGTCCTGTCCAATGGGTATTCTCCAGAGTTGGAGGTCATGGGAGCCAGGCAGTTTCTGATGCTGGTGGCAGTCAAGAGGTGGTGAAGATATGACACTTACTTGAGGTGCTAGAGGAACTTTCAGACCAGTGTTTTTAACACTTTTGAAACCATCCCAAGATACTAGCAGGGGTTGGGAGAGATGGACAAACTGTTAGGCTGAGGCTGGTGCTTTTTGGGGATCCAGGACTGCCTCATTCATGTGAGGCCAGATTAAAGCAAATATTGCTGTTCTGTGGCTTGTCTATTAAACATTAGGAAAGCCAACCATTCTTAATTCTAATTTTTTAAAAGGAAGATTTCAAAAGGAAAGAAGTGACAAACACACATTTAACCAGCATGCTTTCTATTGCATTATTGAGTCCTCAGTGAAGGTGTTAAAAAAGGCACATGTTTTGTATTGACCTCTTTGAAAAGCACTTCTGGATTTTACCATTAATAAAGGCCCCTTTGGTTCTCACTCTCCAATTAGTTGTGTGATCACCTAACAGTGTTTTGATCTGGACTATATTTCTTGTTTTAATAATTAGTATTTCATACTTTAGACTCTTTGTGAAAAGCAGGATAAATTGGCCTTATTTCTTCTCCTTGATCAGCCACACATAGTGCTCCATAAAGAAAATGATCTTTTTTTTCACTCTCAAATGCCTATTACCTGACTTTTGAGCAAAATATATACTCACCTCATTTTTCAGAGGGGTCTTCATCAATTACTGGACTTGTCTAATTAACTCACTTAAAATAATTTAAAACTCGAGAATTTGCTCAATAACAATACATGGAAATGGTGAGTATTGTGGTTTCTAACTTTCACTTTCGGTAGACTTCAACCTTTGAAAGAATAGAATTTTTTTTTTTTTTTTTTTTTTTTTTTTTAGATGGAGTTTTGCTCTGTTGCTCAGGCTGGAGTGCAGTGGTCTTGGCTCGCTGCAACCTCCGCCTCTCAGGTTCAAGCAATTCTCCTGCCTCAGCCTCTCGAGTAGCTGGGATTACAGGTACACGCCACTATGCCGGGCTATTTTTTGAATTTTTTTAGTAGAGATGGGGGTTTCACCATGCTGGCCAGGCTGGTCTCGAACTCTTGACCTTGTGATCTGCCCACCTCGGTCTCCCAAAGTGCTGGGATTACAGATGTGAGCCACCGCGCCCGGCTTTAGGCTTTTAAAAACAACAAATTATTTTTCTGGAGGAAATTCAGAATAAATAACACACACACACACACCAACCACTATAGGAACTATTACACAGTCTTCTCTCATTTGTTCTGCAAGTTGCCTTTTCACAGAATGCTGTATTGAAGATCCACTTATGTTAAGCACAAATAGTTCCACGTCACTTTTTTTTTTTTTTTTTGAGACGGAGTTTCCCTCTTGTCATCCAGGCTGGAGTGCAGTGATGTGATCTCAGCTCACTGCAACCTCTGTCTCCTGGGTTCAAGCAATTCCCCTGCCTCAGCTTCCCAAGTAGCTAGGATTACAGACGTGCACCACCACACCCCACTATTTTTGTATTTTTAGTAGAGACGGGGTTTCACCATGTTGGCCAGGCTGGTCTCCAACTCCTGACCTCAGGTGATCTGCCCACCTCGCCCTCCCAAAGTGCTTGAATTATAGGCATCAGCCACCACACCTGGCCCACATCACTCTTTTTGACTGTTTCATGATATTTGATAGTATGGCTGAATCATAGTTTAGTCATTGCCTTAATGACAATGACTAAAGTTTAGTTAGTCAATGGCTTAAGTAGCATCTAGGTTATTCTCAATGTTTTTGCTGTTTTGTTTGTTTGTTTGTTTGTTTTCTGTTTTGTTTTTTTGAGACAGAGTCTCGCTCTGTCACCCAGGCTGGAGTGCAGTGGCGCAATCTCTGCTCACTGCAAGCTCTGCCTCCCGGGTTCACGCCATTCTCCTGCCTCAGCCTCCCAAGTAGCTGGGCCTACAGGTGCCCACCACCATGCCCGGCTAATTTTTTTGTATTTTTTAGTAGAGACAGGGTTTCACCATGTTAGCCAGGATGGTCTTGATCTCCTAACCTCGTGATTCGCCTGCCTTGGCCTCCCAAAGTGCTGGGATTACAGGCGTGAGCCACCGCGCGGCCATTTTTGCTGTTTTAAGATTTGCTAGACTGAACACCTTTGCACACTGTCTTCTTATGTGGCTCCATGGTTGTTACTCTAAGTTGGTGCTGAGCAGCGAAATTGTAATTTATAGAAGTGCCCAGTTTAAGCTTTTGAAGATAACTTCCAAAATGCCCTATACAGTAAAAATTTATTCTACTACAATTCATACTTTTGCTATCCATATCTTTGTCTACATTTAATATTAGTGAACATTTGCTTTTACCAGCCTGTTGTGTGAAAAATTTTATCTATTTTATGCTGGTAATGTAATTTTTCTATGGTAAATATATGCAAAATAATAAATATAGTGTACATATATATGAATACACAATTCAAATATTAATAATAAAACAGGCACCCAAGTCCCTACTGCTCAGCTGAATATTGTCTTAGAAGTATCTCATGTGATACTTTCCAATTGTGCAGCAATAATTCACTCA
Organism: Homo sapiens; assembly: GCF_000001405.40. Lineage (NCBI taxonomy): Eukaryota > Metazoa > Chordata > Mammalia > Primates > Hominidae > Homo > Homo sapiens. The sequence goes on from NC_000003.12 coordinate 134,779,320, forward strand.
TTTTTGCTCCTGTATAAGAATACACCATGATTTATTTTTCTATTTTACAATGATGGGCATTTGGTTTATTTCCTGTTTTTTCCTATTATGGATTGTGAGCCTATAAGCTTTCTTATGTCTGTCTCCTGGCATACATGTGCAAGGGCATTGCTAAGGTATTCCCAGCCGTGAAATTGCTGAGTTCTAGGTATAGTGGAGAGTGACAAAATGAATTTTATCCACCCAAAATCATTTTCCCCATCTTACACATGGATGTTCATCTAGACTGCATTTCCCAGCCTCCCTTTTAGTTGGATATGGCTATGTGACTAAGTCCTCACTAGTGGAATTTAAGCAGCTTTCTATTCTGCTATGTCAGGATCAGAGCCTTAAGGTGGTGGGTGTACCTCCTCCATGTGTTCTTCTCTTTTCCCACCAGACAAAACCAAAATGTGGTGGTGAGCCAACTTCAATTTTGCAGAAACTGACTTGGAAAGAACTGATTACCTGAAGGACCGTGAGGATCAAAGTTGTCCCACTGACCAGGCTGTAAACTTTGGAACTGATAAGTGAGAGAGATAAGGTAAACTTCTTTACCTTTAAGCCATTTATTGTTAGTATCTTTATTATGTCAGCCTGTACTTACTCTAATTAATACATAAAGAAGCACATGTTAAACTTCACTGAGTGATGCCATACTCCTATCCAAAACCTTTGAAGCAATTTACACTCCTACCGGCATTTTATGACAGCTCTTGTTGCTCTGTATTCTACGAACCCTAGCTATTGTCTGACTTTATTATGTTTACCTATCAGTGGGTGAGAAGCATTATCTCAGTATTGTTTTCATTATCAAATGAGGTTGTACATTTTTTCAGATATTGTTAGCTTATTCATAGTTACTTGTATCTGAAATGTCTGTTTGAATCTTTTGCCCCCTTTTTAACACTGGATGCTTTTTTGTAGTCGAAATATATAATATAAAATTTTCATTTCAGCCATTTTAACTGTATAATTCACAATGCTATGCAATCATCACCAGTATTTATTTCCAAAGCCCTTTTATCATTCCAAACAGAAACTCTGTACTCATTAAGCAATAACTCCCGATTCCTCTTCCCCCATCCCCTGGTAACCACTAATCTATTTGCTATCTCTGTGCATTCACCTACTCTAGATATTTCATGTAAGTGGAGACATACAGCCTTTGTCCTTTTGTATGTGGTATAAAAATATGGAGTGCTTCACAAATTTGCATGTTACCTTTGCAGAGGAGCCGTGCTAATCTGTATCATTCCAATTTTAGTAATGTGCTATCAACGCGAGCACTTGGGTGCTTTTGACACATTTATTTCATATTGATTTATAGAAATTCTTTATATATTCTAGATACTAATACTTTTTAAATTAAGTTGCAGATAGTTTCTCTCAGTGTATGGCTTAACTATGTTTATGGTGTCTTTTTACATCAAAGTTTTCATTTTATTAATCAAGTGTATCTGTATTTTCCTTTGTAGTTTGTGCTTTTTGTGTCCTGTTTATGACATTCTCCTCCTTACAGCCCACTGCATTTAGCTATTCTCCTATGTTATATTTAAAAATATTATGAAGTCTTCCTTTTAATATTGGTTTTCAGTCCACCTGGAATTGATATTTGTGTGAGAAAGGAATCAAATTTTATTTTTCAGATTGTCTTGGCAACGCTTATTGAATAGTTTATTCTTTCTCACCATTTTGTAATACTTCCCTTGACATGGAGTTTTCATATATACATTGATCCTAAATCTCTATATCAATTCCATATTGTTTTAATTATGGTAGCTTTATAATAAGTTTTGATAGCTGATAAGGCAAAGCCTTCCATTCTGTTTGTCTTCAAAATTGTCTTCGTTATTCTTGCCTCTGCTTTTGAACTTCAGGGTCAAATTGTCAAATTCTTCAAAAAAATTATAGATTTTTTTTGTATTTGTATTGCATCTATAGGAAAAATTGGGGATAATAGCCATGAGATTTCTCACCCATAAACACAGTATATCTCTCCAGTTATTTAAATGTTGTTTAATAAATTTTTATTTTTTCATAAGGCCTTTACAAACTTTCTTAAGATTTGTTCCAAGATATATTAGAGTTTTTATTGCCATTAAAATGCTGTATTATTCATGTGGACACAAAGGTGGGAACAACAGACACTGGGGACGGCTTCAGTGAGGAAGGCGGGAGAGGGTGGTGGGCTGCAAGCCTACCCATCAGGGTACTACGCTCACTACCTGGGTGATGGATCATTTGTACACCAAGCCTCATTTACCCACGTAACAAACCTGTACATGTACTCCTGGAACCTAAAGTAAAAGTAGTAGGAGAAAAAATGCTGCATTGTTAAAAAATTACTTATTCTTATTTGTTGCTGATGTTTAAGAAAGCAACAGATTTTTATATATTGACTTTGTAACTAGCAAACTTGCTCATGATTTTTGTTTGGTCTAATGATTTCCCTGTACAGTCTCTTGGGTTTTCTACAAAATCTTGCTGTCTGTGGCCTAATGTAGCTTTCTTTCTTTCTGTCCTCTCCTTATATTTTTCATCTCTCTTTTATGTCTTACAGCGCTAGCTCAAACCAGCAGTGAAATGCTGACTGGAAACAAGGAGAGTAGGCATCCTTTCTTCTTCCCCACTTTAAAGAGAATGCGTCCGATGTTTTGCCATGAAATGTAATGTTTTCTCTGGGGTTTGGATAGAAACCATGTCTCAAGTCCCTTTCTATTATTTTATTAAATATTTTTAAGTTGTGAAAATGTTCTGAGTTTTAATCAAATATTCTGTCTGTGCCTATTGAGATGATCATATATATGTTTTGTCCTTTAATCAGTAAATGGGACAATAGATTTCTCTAAAATTAGACAACTTTTTCAATCCTGGGACAAGGATTATGTCAGCTTCCTAACATCATTCAGGAAATACATCCTTGAGTGTTTGGATTAGAACCCACTAACAAAACCGTTTAGACTTAATGTTGTTTCTTTTTTTGGTGGGTAGATTTTTAATTACTGATTCAAATTCTTTTGTGAAAATCAGTCTACTCAAATATTCTATTTTTTATTGTGAATCAGGTTTGATATATTGTATTTTGTTCTCAAGAAAAATTGCTATTTCATTCAAATGGTTCACAGTATTTTCTACTGTTTTAAAGTTTTACTCTATCCGTATGCCCTCTTTTCCATCCATAACATTATTTAATTTTGTTTTGTCCCATTATACACTCCACCCCACCTCTTGCAAACTAGCACAGTCTTGGCAGAAGTTTTTTTGTATTTTATTAGTTTATTTTTTTCAGTGAGTAAGCTTTGAGATGTGGGAGCCTTGTTGATAATTTCTTTATTTTTCATTTCTGTGTTTACATATTTATCTTATCAATTTTCTTCTATTCTAATATTCTTTCTAATGTTCCAAGGTAAGGTATAAATTTCCTGTAGATACCACTTTAGCTGCATGCCAAGGTTTTGAATGGTAGTGTTATAATTATCATTAAATTTTAAATATTTTTCAGTACCCCTTATGAGTCCTTATTTAAAGTTTATTTAAATGCGTTTTTCAAAGTTTCTTTGGTTATTGATTTCTGATTAAATTGTGTTGAGGTCAGAGAATATGATCTGTGTGACAAATTATTTAGTCTTTATTGAGCCTTGCTGTTTGGTGGTAAGTCATCAGGTTTTGCAATTGTTCCACATATACTGGAGAAGAATGTATAATTGCTCGTGATTGGATAGGGCTCTATACATCCACTAAATTAAATTAAGTTGTTGCTTACTTCCATTTACTTACCAATTTTCATCTGCCTGATTTATAAATAACAAAATGAATTATGTTAAAATCACTTTCTAATGAGAGATTTGTCCATTTTTTCTTGAGATTCTGCCTTTTTATTCTTTATATGATTAGAGGCTGTGTCTTAGGTACATAGAAACTCAGAATTTATTGTGTTCCTAAAAGAATTATTCCATTTATTATTATGTAATGATCCTTTTTATTATTAATAATGCTTTTATCTTAATATTTATTTTGTTTGGCATTAGTCTAGTTATCCCAGTTTTAAAAAATAATATTTGCCTGTTTTTTTTTCTTATCTGTTTACTTCGAATACATGTGAGTCATCGTGTTTTTGGATGTATTTCTCCCATCCAAGTACTAACCAGGCCCAACCCTGCTTAGCTTCCGAGATCAGACGAGATCGGGCGCGTTCAGGGTGGTATGGCCGTAGACTTTTGGATGTATTTCTTCCAATAGTATATAACTGGATTTATTCTTAACCAATCTGATATTTGTCTTTTAAATGATGAGTTTATTTCAGTTTTATTTATTCTGATTGCTAGTAATTTTAGATTTATTTCCATTATCTCAGTTTGTGCTTTATATACAGTTTGCTTTTTTATTCCTACTTTCTATTGTACTGATTAATTTTCATTAATCCCCTTTTTTTCTTCTGCTTATCTAGCAGTGGTCAACTTTAACAGTTTAAAGCATGGTTGATTTGACAACATCTAAAATTATTCAATATTTCTGCTTGCTTTCGGAATGGTACCAGGGCATTAGAAAACTTTCAGCTTTCCAACTCCCATCTTAAATGCTGTTATTCAACATTTTAGTGTTACCTTGTTTTTAGAAACACTAATGATTTACCCACATGTTTACCATTGGGTAAACAAGTAAACTTTCCTCTAACTTTGCTTTTCTGAATTATTTCCTTCATTCCTGAAATAGTTCCTTTAGTAAATCTCTTAGAGATAGTGTCTTAGTGGTAAATTCCCTCAGTCTTACTTTAAAATGTCTTTACAACTTTTTTTTTTGCTCTTAGTCTTGAATACAAATTTATCTGGATATAGAAATTTAGGTATATACAATTTTAGAATTAAAAATTTTATATATAATTTTATTTTCTTTCTATATGTACATCTTGCTGCTGAGAAGTCTAGTTGTCATTTCATGTGAGCAACTTCTCATTTCTGTCTGATAACTTTAAAGATTTTTTTCCCCCTATCTTTGGTGTCCTTTAGTTTCATTATGATTTGTCTAGTTAGGAATTTTTTTTTTGTTTATTCTGCTCAGGACTTCTTAAATCTGCTTCTTGAATCTGAATAATTCATTTGTTCGTCAGTTCAGAAATTTATCTGCCATTGTTTCTTTAAGTATTCCTTATCCACCCATTCCTTCCATTATTTTCTCTTAAGTATTAAATAAATTATGCATCACCCATATTTCTCAATGGTTTTTAAGATTTTATGTCTCTTTGCTTTTCTGTGTTACATTATAGTTAATTTTGAAAAATTAATTCAAAGTTCAGTAGATCACTCTTCAAGCATTTTAATCTCTTAAACCTATTCATTTAGTTTTTAATTTCAATGTCTTTTTAAAATTTTTCCTGTTCTATGTGGTTCTCTCTGAAATCTATAGATTCTTTTTATAGTGTCTTCCTTTATTATTTAAAATACTGATATCTAAAAGTGTTTCTTTGATAGTTCTATAATAGGGGTCTAATGTTGTTTTGGGAATTCTGTGGACTTTGTGTGCCTCTTGCATTTTCTTCCCTCTAATGTTCCCAGGGTATTATCTACTTATAACTGCTTTTTTCAGTTGAGTTCTTGGCTTGGGAGATCTGAGATTATTCAAGTAGCATAAATTTGAATTTGAAATCCATATGAGTGAAGGCCTATGATAAGAATTCTGAGGGGAAATTATTTTGTCTTACTCACTCCACCCAAGCCAAGAGTGGCAAGCATCCTTGTTCTCCTCTAGGACAGTGAGTAAACTTTTCCTTTCCTCTATTCTTTCAATGAAGGTGTTGCAATTTAAAGCTTCAGATTTATGCAGTTGTCTTAGTTCCAACTTTCTTCCTTGTATTCATTTAAAATTTTGTTTCCAACCTGCGTATCTATTAAAATTCAAGTCATTATGTTTCCCAGATTGGGGAATCAATCCCTGCAATGTAAGCTCCCAGATTCATCATTCTGGCTTTTTGTACCTCTTTGTTTCTATGCTCTTGGGGATACTTCTTATGGTTCTGCAATACATTCACAAGCAGCTATTTCACATATTATTGAATTTTTCTAGATGTTTTTATTAAGAGTTGTGTGGGTTATTTTGTCTATAATATTGGCACAAATGAAAGGGTTTTTTTTTTACTATTTATTTTCCCTTTGAGATATGATACAATGACATTTTTTAGCCAAAAAGTGCTTATCTTTTAATCAAGGTTCAATTCATTCATATTTCTTTCTTTTCTCTTCTTTTCTTTTTCTTCTTCTTCTTCTTCTTCTTCTTCTTCTTCTTCTTTTTTTTTTTTTTTTTTTTTTTTTTTTTTTTTTAGTGGAGTCTTGCTCTGTTGCCCAGGCTGGAATGCAGTGGCATGATCTCAGCTCACTACAACCTCCACCTCCCAGGCTCAAGTGATTCTCCTGCCTCAGTCTCTCAAGTTGCTGGGACTACAGACATGTGCCACCAGGCCTGGCTAATTTTTGTATTTTTAGTAGAGACGGGGTTTCACCATCTTGCTCAGGCTGGTCTTGAACTCCTGACTTCAGGTGATCCGCCCACCTCGGCCTCCCAAAGTGCTGGGGTTACAAGTGTGAGCCACGGCGCCTGACCCAATTCATTCATATTTCTTATTGGAAGTGATTTCTGTAATTTCTTATAAATTTTTATTGCTTAAATAGTAACTTTCTTTCTATTTGTGTTTTTTCAATTTTTTTCATTCTTTCTTTCTTTTGTTTTTTTTAATAGGGGTTGGGATTGGGCTCTGTATGGTGGCAGGTCCCTGGCTGTAGTCACCCTACAGCCTGGCTTTTAAAAACAATAAATAAATAAAATAATTTTTAAAATAGGAGTTATATTTTGTTTTTATTTTCTCTAGTATTTTCAAAGGTATATATATATTTACTCAGAGTATAATTTTAAAAGCCTTTAAGTATTTGAAGCCATTTTTAAACCAAGTTTAGCTATTTTAAATCAGTATTTCTAAGAGTCTCAATTCCTCCTAAGTAAACAAGGAATGTCAGATAGCTTTCCACTTCTTCTCCTTCTCCCCATATTCCTTTTCTCTTTGGTCCTAATTAATGTAATTTAAAGTATTGGATCTAGGCTTTAGTAATTAAAATTTTAACAATATGAATGTTCTTTATTGAGATTACTTTTTACATTTTATTTTAATTGAAAGGGACACAAAACTAACATACAAAAATCAGTTATATATATTCACACCAGTAACAACCTATCTGGAAAAGAAATCAAGAAAATCCCATTTACAATAGTAAAAAAATGAATAAAATACTTAGGAATAAGTTTAACTGACAAGGTGAAAAATCTGTACACTAAAAACTACAAAACATTCATGAGAGAATCTGAAAAAGATAAATAAATGCTAAGATATCTCATGTTCACGGGATGGAAGAATTAATATTGTTAAAATGTCCATACTGCCCAAAGTAATATATAGATTCAATACAATTCCTATCAAAATTCCAATGGCATTCATCACAGAAATAGAAAACACAATTCTAAAATTCATATAAAACCATGAAAGACCTCGAAGAGCCAAAGCAATCTTAAGAATGGAAAACAAAGTTGGAGGCATCACACCTCCTGATTTCAAGTGATATTACAAAGCTATAGTAATCAAAATAGTTTTGGACTGGTGTAAGAACAGACACATAGACCAATGGAACGAAACAGAAAGCCTGGAAATAAACCCAAGCATGTATGGTCAACTAGTTTTTGACAAGAACATTAAGAAGATACAAGGGAAAAAGGGAGTATTTTCAACAAATGGTATTGGGAAAACTGGATATCTACATGCAAACAAACTAATTTGGACCCTTTTCTTATACCACACACAGAAATCAACTCAAAATGGATTAAGGACCTAAACATAAGACCTGAAACTGTGAAACTCCTAAAGAAAACAGAGAAAAGGATCCTTGACATTAGCGTTGGCAGTGATTTTTTTGGACATCACACAAAAAGCTTTGGCAACAAAAGTAAAAATAAACAAGTGAGACTACATCAAACTAAAAAGTTTTTGCACAGCAAAAGAAACAATCAATAAAATAGAAAGGCAGCCTACAGACTAGGAGAACATATTCATGGACCATATATCTGATAAGGGGTTAATATCCAAAATATATAAGGAGCTCACACAATTCAATATTAAAAAAACCTTCAAAAAACAAAAAACAAATAACCCAACTAAAAATGGGCAAATAACCTGAACAGACATTTCTCCAAGGAAGACATAAACGTGGCCAGCAGGTATATGAAAAGGTATTCAACTAATCAATAGGGAAATTGAAATAAAAGCCATGAGGTATCACCTCGCACCTGTTAGAATGGCTATTAGCAAACAAAATAAGGGGCAAGTGTTCATGAGGGTGTGGAGACAAGGACACACTCTTGGTTGGAAGGTAAATTGGTGTAGTCATTATGGAAAACAGTATGAAGTTTGCTCAAAAAATTAAAAATAAAACTACCACATGAACCAGAAATCCCTCTTCTTGGTTTATACTAAAAGGAAATGTAATCAGAACCTTGTAGAGGTATCTGCACTCCCATGTTCACTGCAGCGTTATTCACAATGGCCAAGATATGGAAACAACCTGTGTCCATCAATGGATGAGTGGATAAAGAAATTGTGATACACACACACACACACACACACCACACTCACAGAAATATTATTCAGCCTTAAAAAAGAAGATCCTGCCATATATAACAACATGCTGAACCTGAAGGACATTGTGCTAAGTGAAATAAAGCAGACACAAAAAGAAAAATACTGCATCATCTCATTCTTTTTTTTTTTTTTTAGACAGAGTCTCGCTCTTGTCCCCCAGGCTGGAGTGCAGTGGTGTGATCTTGGCTCACTGCAACCTCCGCCTTCTGGCTTCAAGCGATTCTCCTGCCTCAGCCTCCGGAGTAGCTGGGATTACAGGTGCCTGCCACCAAGCCCGGCTAATTTTTGTATTTTTAGTACAGATGGGGTTTCACCATGTTGGCCAGGCTGGTCTTGAACTCCTGACTTCAGGTGATCCGCCTGCCTCGGCCTCCCAGATTGCTGGGATTACAGGTGTGAGCCACTGCACCCAGCCATGGAATCTATTTTTAAAAGTGAAATACATAGAAACAGAGAGTAGATCAGTGGTTAACAGGTGGCGGAGGGTGGGGTGGGGGGAGAAAAGGAGAGATATAGGTCAAATGGTACAAAGTTGCAGTTATGCAGGATGAATTTTAAAAAAACATTAAAAGCAGTCTGTAAATATTTAGACATCTATTTCAATTGATTTTATTGCTTGACACCAAATTTCATCTCTTTATCAATTGGAATATATTTTTAAGTAAATTTTTTTCTAAAGTGTTGCAAATTTTCTGAGACCCGAAAATGTTTGTTTCTTTCAACTTGCTGGATTTATATATATTTTGTGTTACAAATTTTCCCTCTTAAAAACTCTATTGCTAAAAAAAACCAAGCGAAACCAACAAACAAAACCAAGCAAAACCCAAACTCTATAGCTCTTGCTTCATTTTTTCCCTAGAATTTAGTGTTCTGAAATTAATGATATTTAGTCCACTGTAGGTATCCTGTTTTCCTATGTGGCCATGAATGTGTCTGTTTGTGTGTGTTCTTGAATAGATGTAAAATTTCTTTTAAAAAATCCATATGGTTCAAAAACATTTTCTAGATGTGACGATATATCGTCTTTACTCAGCTAAGAAAAATTTTATGCTTTCATAGCTTTGTCATTACTTTCATGGCATTTGTACTGGTCTCTTTTTAAAGAACTCTGAACTCTTCTCAGAACTCTTTTGGGGACCCTTTAAGGTCCCCAGCACCTTGCAAGCAACTAGCACAATTTTATATAAGTTGGTTCCCCATTTTCTATCTTCTGTTTGTTTTGTATTCTCTGTTTCCATTTTTCTTTTTTGTTCATGTTGTATGCATTTTTGGGAAGCTTCTCGAGTTTATCTTTCATATCATCCATTCAATGTTCAGCAGCAACAAATGTACTCTTGACTGACACACCAATGTGGGGTTGAATTCTGACACTGCATTTTTGCTTCCTTAAAACACTTCCTATCCCTTTCTCCTCCCCTCTTCTTTTATTCTGTTGTCTTTTCTGTTTAACCTGTTTCTCATAAGTTTGTTTCTCTATATTCGAATTTATGTCTTCATGTGTGCCAAGAAGTTTCCTGAAAATGTCTCTAGACTCTGCAGAACTTCATTTTCAAAAGGATGCTCCTCATCTGGGTCTTGAAGATGCTGCTCCTGGTTTTGCAGTGTTGTAATAGGTCCCTGAGGTGTCCTGACTTCTCTTCACTCCTCCTTGAGAAGGGAAAGACTCATTAATTCTCAGTGTATTTTGGTAGGCAGGATGAGTGGGTTGGCCTTCGATCCTCTAGCTGTCTACTTGCTTGATCGCTGAGTCGCCTTTATAAACCTACAGCAATGCTTAATTGCCAGTTGCCAACAGGCTTCATCTAGTGTATGTCTTCTTTACTGAGGTAGCATCTTTCTCCAACCACCATCCCAATTCTCTGGTGCTCTGACATGCTGTATCCCAGGAAAAACTCTAGTCAGCAGGCTGTACTGTCACAGTACAGTCATTAATGTGACTGCTCCAGCCTCTTGACTGTTTTTTACCTGAAGAATGCATTGTGTCTTCATCAGCCCATCCATCTATCCAGTTGTGTATTTCATTTTTAAGCTATTCTAGATGTGGAAGACACTAAGGAAGGGAAGAGGATGATCAGGAAAACTGTTCTTTGCTTGGCTTGAAACTGAACAATGGTGATGATAGATATTTACTCCATTCTCTGGTTAGTAGAGATCCTGAGTGTCTGAGTCAAGTATCGACAGAGAGGGAATTACAAAATGCCTTCCTAGCTATGTCTTTAAAGCAGCTTCTCTTTTAAAAAAGAGAACTTGGCATATGTCATACATACGCTTGACAGATTTTTCTCAATCCAGCTTGATGTACCTTATAAGTATTGTCAGTTTCTTCCACATCCTGGCAATTAGGTTGTCTATCAGTGTTTGTTCACCTTGTTTTATAATTCTTCATATTTGTCTGGATTTGCTGAGGTATTTTCCTGAGAAGCAAGGAGAGGCTTGTTGAAGGCCTCTAGCTAGAGACCATTTTGGATGAAAAGTCCCATAATACATTTAATTTTTTTACCATCTCCATTGGGAGACCATGAGATCCTTAAAGGGAGGGACTGGGTCCCAGCCATCACTGGGTCCCTAGCACTTCACAGACAACTGGCACAGAATTGCTGCTGAATAAATGTTGGAAGAAAGAACAAAATAGGGAAAGGAAGTTTTTTGTTATTTGCCTGTTACCCATATTAAAGTGTTTCAAATAAATCTTAAAGGTTCCACCTGCCTCTCAAAAAATAATTGATGAAAATATGTCCTGCAGCTTAAGAATCTAATTAAAGGTCACCTGGGTCATGGAGTGTGTAACTGAACCTTTTATTTATGCGGTAAAGCAGTATTTCAAAGGGAAAGGATAGGATGGGGCAACAAAATCTTCTCATGTACAAGATATGCAAGTGACATACACAGGATGGATGCTATTTGTGTACCTTTTCCACTAATAAGTAGTGAATGAAAAAAGGTTTTATATATATATACATATACACACACACACACACACACACACATATATATATACACACACACATATGATGTGGGTTATAAGTGAGGAGGAAAATTCTAATAGAATAGCTTTATATTGGGTAGAATTATCAAGGGAAATTGTGCAATTGCTTTCACTAGAAATGCTTTCCAAACATTTAGACACAAAACTGTTTAGAGGTAGGGAGTGAACTGGTTGACTGCCCCAAAGCCTTCTAGTCAGATGGGCCTCTGAGTCTTAGCAAAAGAGTTCAGTCACCCTTGGGTGCCTGAGAGCCCTCAGCTGCTGGCCTTAGCAGCAAGCATCTGTCACTTTGAAGGAGTGATTTAGTGATATCAAATAGCTGAGTGATTAATCAAGAAAATAAGTGAGGATTTGACATCAGACAGAAAAAAAATTGCCAAGGAGATGCTCTAGGGGAAAAGAGGCACCCAGGCTTGGAATCCCAAACCAATGGTGCCTTCAGGGATATTTACAAATCATAACCCATTGCTAGAGAAAGATCAATGTTCTGCAAAGCTAAATTAATATTTAACTTGCTCAAGAAAAGTCAATACCTTGAGTTATTAGGGAAATTAACAAGCAGCCCTAAACTGACACTATTCTTGCCTGAGCCATCAGCATGTTCTAGAAGTCATCAATGAGTTAATGTTCCCTACACCACCCAATCAAATCCTCTCCTTGAATTCCTCTTACTCTTCCCCTCCCTCCTTCTTTTCCTGCTGAAGAACAGTTCCTTCAAAAAAAAAAAAAAAACCTGATATAGATGCCCAGTAAAAAAGATAAAAAAGCTACTGGAGCAGAGGTGAGGTCTGAAGCCCCAGTTCCTTGGCCACTTTCATGAGCATCCCCTGAGGAGGCCTCAGGGCAGTTGTAAGCTCTTGGACCAAGAACAGCAGCTTCCAAGCCTCATCATGCAGCAGAGTCAATTGGGGAGGGGAGGATATGAAATCACATTCATGGGCTGTATTAGTCTGTTCTTACGCTGCTAATACAGATATACCTGGGACTGGGTAATTTATAAACGAAAGAGGTTTAATTGACTCACAGTTCCACATGGCTGGGGAGGCCTCACAATCATGACGGAAAGCAAAGGGGAAGCAAGACACATCTCACATGGCAGCAAGCAAGAGAGAGCGTGTGTGTGTGTGTGCAGGGGGGACCTCCCCTTTATCAAACCATCAGATCTCATGAGACTTATTCACTATCACAAGAATAGCATGGGAACCCCCCACTCCACCCCGTGATTCAATTACCTTCCACCAGGTCCCGCTTACGACACGTGGGAATTATGGAAGCTACAATTCAAGATGAGATTTGTGTGTGGACACAGCCAAACCATATCACGGGCCTACCTCATCCCTACTGACAGGCCTAGGGATCAGTATTTTTAGAGGGCCTAGTTGGTGATGTTGCTGTATTTATCCTGGCACAAGTTCAAAGTCCCTAGCTGGGTTCTACTTGAAATCCCTGTACTTGGTGGGCTCCAAGCGCACTCCCAGGTGTGACATTCTGCAGTTAGTTGGATAATGGTCATTTATACCTTCAGCCATGTCTGACAGAGCCATTCAGTACCCACAGAAATATAACATGAGGGTATCAGGAAGAGGGACAGAAGAAAAGGCTTCCTGGGAGAGGTGGGATTTGGGTAGGAATAGAGGTCAGGAAATTCAATTCAACTCATTTTAGTTGTGCAAGTAAACATCCAGTACAGTGTTTGTGGCGGAAGGTGCTCAGTAAACAGAAGGTCTTCCCAGCATGTCTAACTAGCCGCTGTCACTCTCTTGCTGCTTCCTGCTTTGTGATTCTTCAGAGCTCTCCTCAGCACCTGACATGCCACTGCCTATTTGCTTATTATTGCCGCCCTTCCAGGACATGGTAAGACCCCTCAGAGAAGGGCTGTCTACTGTGTTCCCACAGCTAGAACAGGGCCTGCCTGAATACGTGGGTGAGCACATGACTGGCCTGGGTGTGGTTGTGGAGATGGCAAGAGGATACCCTAGGCCCAGAGAAAGACCAGCAGGGCCTGGGCTGAGAAGGCAGGTTTCAGAGAGCTTACAAAGCAGTCTGAATGTCATGCTAGAGTGGTCAGTCTCTCTTCAGCAGACAGTGAGGAGCCACTAGGTTGCTATGCAGGGAAGAGACAAGATCAAGGTTGGCTTGAGAAGGATGAGTTTGGCAGCAGAGTTTGGAGGGATTAAGGGGAGGGAGGGAAGCTGGACTGTCATTCAGAGACTCTCCAGTTGTCCAGGGGAAGGTAGTATGGGTTTACACTGGGTCAGATGCACAGGCATAGGACAAGGGCATAAGGAGGAGGACATGGCAGAGCCGGGGCTTTGCCAGACATGCCTACCAAGTGACTGTGATATAGTGAAAGGGGGAGGGAAGAGTGTGAAACTCACCCATCCATCCATCCACCTGTCCATCCATGAGGGGATGGCTGGGGGTAAAAAAGCAAGTGAAGCTGCCAAGGAGTTGCCCATGTACCCCAGGAGGACGAACTCCAAGGATGGAGTTTGGGGGATACCTCTCTTGAAAGCTGAAGAGGTAACAGAGGGAACAGTAAGAAGTGGCAAGACGGGTAGGAGGAGAAGCAGGACCATGGAAACTGGGGCCAGAGCCCCAAAAGATCTACTGGACACCAATGTCAGCAGGTGCTGACGGTGCAGGAGGATGACAGCTAACTAGGAGCAGGTTGTTGCCCAGGGTGACATCAGGTGGCTCCAGGGACATCACGACACAGCTGGTGGTGTGGAGGCGTAGAGGGCAGCTAACATGGCATTAAGGTGGATGATGAGAAGGTGGAGGTTGATGACATCTTCCCTTCAGGCACAGAGGTGGGGTAGGAGGGAGGGGAGGGGAGGAGGAAGGCAGCCTGAGTCAGAGCCAGGGAAGGAAAGAATTGTCAGGATTGGGGGACTTGAGTCTGGCTGTGGTGGAGAGGAAGAAGTCCCAGCAAAGGAGAGACTAGACACGCAGAGGTGGGGGGTGTGGGGAACTGATTTAGAAAAGCCCAGAAAGGAGAGTCATCCCAAAGGGAAATATCGCATCTGCCCACTGTTAGCTCATTAACAGACCAGGGGAAAGGATTGGTGCCTCCAAGGTGAGAGGCGTAGGAGGAGGGGTGGGGAACCTAACGGGTCATCCCTGACCCTGTAGGACCAGACTATCATCAGGTATGTAGGGGGGGCGGGAGAGGAGGGAAGGACACATCTCCAGCATAACATATAACAGCCTCAAGGTGAGTTTCTGATTTAGAACCCTTGACCATCTCCAGAAACAGGAAGATAAAGTGTAGCTGTGAGAGCTGAGCCTGGGAGAATTGCTCCTATCTCCAAGGCTGCATCCCCAGTTGCTGCCTAAGTCCTTCCCACCCACACTGAAGGCCTGGCCCACAGCAACAGTGCACCTCGCCTTGCACCGGCCTGGGAGAGCCCTCTTGCAGGCTTTGCTGTTTTATAGCTGACTGTGTGACTCCTGGTCTCCCCACGCTGAGCTGTCCTCTGGGGTCAGGGCCCTCTGTGGAAGTTCACAATGCACTGGGAAGTGAACACCAAAGGCAACCAGAGGCTTCTGCAGAAAAAGAACTGCGAAACGTTGGACAGGAAGCAAATCCGGTTCCCTGTGGACCCTGGAGCAAGTGCCCACAGGTTATCTGAACAGTATTCATTCTTTCGACGGACATGTACTATGCCTCCCGCAGGCCAGGCACTGTTCTGTGAACTGTGGATTCTGTAGTGAACAAAATAGACAAGAATCCGAAAATGGTGACCCCATTTTAATGAGGGAGAGACCCCACGATAAACAAAATCGATTAGTAAATACCAACCCATGCTAGAGAGTGAAGAGCTCTGGAGGAGAGGCACGGGTGCGCCCCTGGAGTTGCTCTAAACAGGGTAGGCAGGGTGCTCTTGTCACAGAGAAGATGAACGAAGGCTCGTTTGATCATTTAAAGCGGATCCAGTCCTGGGTGGGATGTAAGGGCACGAGGCCTCCCCAGCTCCTTCGCTGGGCACCCTATGGGGGGACAGGGTGAGTTGGGCGGGCCGCTGCGGTTCTCCGAGAGCACCACGAGGGGGAGCCCGGACCCCTCCTAGCGCCTTCCGAGCCCTCCCGCACAGCCTTGCAAGCAAAAGTTTTTCTTAAACTAACAATGCCAGTGTAAGGAGGTGCTCGCGCCTGATTGGCCGGGGGAATTTTGCAGGTTTGATTCCTTGATTGGACAGGAGGTGTTAGGGGTGGGGAGAGAGCTGATGGTGGGGGATCCCGCTCCCTCCCGCGTCAGTCTGGCCGGCTCCGTCCTCCCGTAGGCTCCGCTGTAGCTAGCAATGTGACACCAGGACGCACTCGCTCTCGCGCGCTCTCCCAGGCTCGTTCTCCCTCGCCCTCTCTCTCTCACACACGCACGCACACACCCACCTCTCCCATAAACACACACACACACATGCACACCCACACCCACGCGCGCCCGCACCGCCCCACGCGCACACACTCCTGCCCACGCCCACGCAGCGCTCCGGGAAGTCCGGTCCGGGCGAGAGCGCGAAAGGATACCGAGAAGCCACCCGCGGAGAGCGCAGCGGCGCCCTGGGACGCGGCGCTCTCCCGGCGCTGCTGCCTCGGCTTGGTCTCGGCCTGCGGGCCGTCGGCCGGCGATGGCCCTGGATTATCTACTACTGCTCCTCCTGGCATCCGCAGTGGCTGCGATGGAAGGTAACGTACCCTCCACGGAGCAAGTTGGCTGCTGGTGCCGGCCGCCTTGGGACTGCTGTGCTCCGCGGTTCGCGGGGTTCCTCTGGCTGCTTTGCGGTGCAGGCATCCCGGGACCCGAGGGCAAGGAGGTTTGGGAGCCTCGGCCGCTGCCGAGCGCGGGGCTTGGGCGGCACCCACCAGAGCGCCCCCGGCTGGCTCTTAGCGCCCGAAACTGGCTCGCGAGTCCCCCGGCTTCCTCGCCCCGGCACTCCCTGGTAGCCTCGGTCTCCCGCAGCCCCCGCTCGGAGAGCTCGGAGCCCGCTGCATTGCGGTGCATGCTCCTTAGCTCTGGGGCAGAGCCAGAGCTGGGCGTTGGGGAGAAAGGGGTGCCTCTGGCCATCCGGCTCCTGGAGTACTGGCGCCCGTCTGCTCCCAGGCACGGATACGCTTCTGAGCAGCCGCGCGCCACCTCCTTTTCTCCAGCTCGCAGTCCACGGGCTAGTGGACTCTGCTTGGCGTGCAAGCACTGCGCGCGGGGGCCGGAGAAGCTCTGCCGTGGTATCCCGCAAGTGGCCGCCGAAGGAGAGGGGTGGAGTTCATTGGCCGTACCCTTGGGGACCAGTCTGGTGGTCCGGGCGCCTGCGGGACTGCAGGTTTCCAGGGTCAGTCGGGGAGAGGTGGAAACCCTTTTCGCCTCTTGAGCCTTGGAACAGGAGTGGGCTGGGGTGAGTGGTCGGTCCTACCTAAAGTCTCCCAGCCTCTCCACCACCCCGGAGAGGATACTCGGCGGCCGGGAGTCGTCGGGCAGCGTCACTCTCTGCCAGCTCAGACTTGGCGGTGCCTCCGGCTTGGTGGCTGGGAAAGCGCGCTCCAAAGACACCGTGCCCGGCGCAGCGGGGAGCCTGGGCGCTCGGTAGCGCTCGCGAATCCCTGTGGGAAATCCCGGCCCAGCTCCCCGCCTCCCGCCCCTTCCCCCGCCTCTGTTCTTCGCAGCCTAGCAGCGGCCGCGGCAGCCTCCTGGGAACACAGCTCCGCGGGAGAGCGGAGTTGGAGTTGTCGGGAGAAAACCAACTCTAGGGGTGATGCGCTGCCGCAGTCCGGCTAGCAGCCCCACTTTCCGGTGTCCTGCTCCGGATGGAACTCCTCTGGGGGACTCCAAGCCGGGGAGGAGCAGCTCTTGGCGACCGCGCAGCGTTCCCATCTGGGAGCTCGCTCCGCTTGTTACTCGTTCCTCGCGAAACTGTGACCGGTTGCCCAGTGGAAACTCCCCCAAACACGATGGTTTGGTGCCCCCCGCCATTCCGGAAAGCTCTGCCCTTCTGGAAGTGAAGCTGGAGGGGCATTCCGGGCCCTGAGGCGCGGCTAAGATTCCCTTCCCTTTTGGCGAAGACCACCGCATCCCACGTTTGTTCTGGTGGCGGCGTGGGGGTGCGGCGATTAATGCCTAGAAAGCTCTCGCTTGCTTTTCCGAAGGTGGCTTTTTGTCTGCCCTCAGTCTCCTGCTTCCCTCAGGGACTGCTGGGCTTTGTAGGGAGGGGAGCAAGGAGGGGTTTGCTTTTTGGAACGTGCAGGAGAAGACTGGAGCCGTGTGGAGTGCCGTCAACACCCTGGCGCAGGGATGCCTGGGTTTGACTTATTGAGAGACACGTGTGGGAGCAGTTGAAATTGGAAATTCAAGGGGATATATACCCCCAAACCGGGCAGGAAAGCCAGGGTGAGCGCATTTGCAAGGGCAATTCCAGACTGGACTTGCAGCATTGGGGTGGCGTCATGCAGGTCCGAGGCTCGGTCCGGCCCGCGGCTCTTTGCGCCCCCAGAGGTTCAGTGGCCGGGTCTCAGAGGAGATGGGTGCCCACTTTGGGGAGCGTGCTCTCGGCATTGGGTTCCTGTGCATGCAAGCGAAGTAGTTTGGAGAGCAAACGTATGGAAACACAGCAGGCATGAGGACGTGGTCAGTTTCCTCCCTGCCCCTCTTCTTGGCTAGCCAGAGGTCCCTGTCTGCTTGCCGGAAGCTGCCCGCGGGTGCCATTGTGTCAGAGCCCAGGCCTTCCGGAGCCACTTACCCCCGGTGCGGTGGCTTCCCTTGCTGCAGCCTGGAAACTTTGCCAGTGGCCTGACAGGAAGGAGCCTGACTCTGTGGGCTGAAAATCTCTCCAGCAAGGGTTAAAAGAAACGCGACATTCAGCAGAATATTAAAGCAGCCCCCTGGTCCCTACTCAGTACGCAGGGATATTACACACCATTCACTCCCTCCTCTCCTAGAATGAACACAGGCAGGCTCATTTTCTACTCTCTACACACGGAGCCGCCTTCCCGCCTGCCTAGCTGGGTTGGGGCCAGCGTTATTTGGTTCGTGATGAGTGAGTAATAGTGATCAGAAAGTGGATCAATGAGCTGCCTACGGAGAGCAGGTCCCTCCCAAACTCGGCTGTGGTCAGGGGGCGCCTCTCCCTGCTGATTTCAGACTCTCATGTGTCTGTCTGCTTTCCCCTGGGGTCTGCGGTGGAATTTCAGTGAGGCATTGCCATCCAGGGCAAATTGCTCTGAGGCCAGGCGGGCCCTCAGCCCAGGCCAGGGCAGGGACAAAGGGACAGTGACAATCATGGGCCAGGTAAGGAGATGTGGCCAGAGGAAGGCAGGGCCCTAAGACACCCCCTGCCTGGGTGGAAGGAGGGAGGACAGGGTCTGGTTGTTGGCCAGAGGGGCAGAGGAGGGGAGGGGAGGGGGCTCAAATTCTCATAATCAGGCAGGAGGACTGTTGGCTTAGGGTGTAGGAAACCCAGACTGAAAAAAAGCTCCTCTTCCCTCCTTTCCCCCCACACTCCCGCATTTCCAGCCAGTTCTGCTCTGTGAGGAGAGAGATGCCACTACAAGGAAAAGATCCGCTGGGGCTAAGTCTGTCTTCAGAAGGGAGTAAGGCAGGCTGTGGTGGCAAGAATGCTGACATCCTCCTGCCTTCTGGACACAAAGCCAGGCCTCTTTGCTCAGCGTCCTGACAAACAACTGCCTCTTCAAGCCCACCGGTGCCTTTTCCCACCTGCTCTGAGAGCTTGTTGAGAATGGGCTGCTGGTGTCTGTGAAGCGAAGGCAGCTGCTTGCATTCTCTGAGCTGCGTCTTGTCTTGTGCCCTTTGGGATAGGATCTGGAAAGCACATTGGCCCTCCTGGGAGGCAGCAACCTGAAATTGCTAACTGCTCATAGCATTCTCCCAACCCCACTCCCTGTGTCCAGGGAGTACCCATGCACCTGCAGAAGGCCTCAGAGTGCGGCACACTGGCTGATGGGAATACTCCCAGGAGACCTGCTCTTTTGTGTAGCCTATAGTGAAGTCCTGGCCCTGGCACCCTTGGATGTCCACATGTATTTGAGTAGTAGATTTCTCAAGGGTTGACAAGTAGTGGGTTCCCAGTAGGCATTGCTGATGCATGAGTGCACGACTAAATTACTGTGCCCCTTTGTGGCGTGCCCCAACGTGAAATGCTAGGGCACTGAATTTCACTGTACACATTTTGGACACAGTTACATTTCCATTACACGTTTGTGGTGGAAAACCCCAAACTAAGCCCACGTGTCTTCAACAGGCCACAAGGTGAGGCAGTGATTGGCTGTTTCTGCATTTTCTGTTAATATTTGTTTGCTGTGTGTTCATCTGTTTTTGGTGTCCATGAACGTGCTTGAGCCTACAAGCAGTAGCAGGCACCAAAGATTTTTAAAAATGTCTGAGAAAGAAAAGCAAATTTGAGAAAATTCCATGTATTAGCTGATTTTATTTTTTGTGCAAAGTGGAACGATCACCATTACTCAGTGTTTGTGGAGCTGCCTCCTCAAGCCACGCATGGAATGCTGGCGAGGGAGGGCAATGCAGCTCTGGGCAATGGCTTGGGAAAAGTCTTGGCAATGTAAACAACTGCAGAGGCCCAGACTCAGTCCCAGCTCAAACCTTCTGGGTTAGTAGAAGAGAGCTGCCAGCAGCTTGTGATGCTCCCGAGCCTGGGGAGGGCCTGCTAGGTCACACAGTGTCCGGCTCCAGCCCCTTCTGCCTTCTATTGACTTGTGCAACCCAGACCCAGATCTCAGAGCCCCTACTTTGTTTTTTCACAAGAATGGGTACCGATGACCAAGATGTGCTATAAGAAAAGCCCATGAGGCAGAGGCATGGTATGGTTCTCATTTAATTTTACCCATCGAGAAGTAATCTTTGATAAAGCAAATAGGACCAAAGAAGAAGGGTGATGCTAGGGGACACAGGACAGCACCATGACCCCCTCCTCTGGATCTAGCATGTGTGCTTCCTATTTAGTAGAAACTACATGTTCTTTAGTTGCTTGAATAAATTTTGTGAACTCGGGGCAATGAAAGGAATATATGGGTCAGGAGGGAGGTCTGGCCATGAGGATGGAGATGAAATCAACATGGGTGGTGACAGATAGCAGGATCATGAAGCCAGAGTACTCCACCTGCCTTTTCATCTCCCAGCTCTGTTGCTTGGAAAAATTACCCAGTCCACCTGGCCAGTGTCTTTCTTTGTTGAGTGGGTCATGTTGCCCACTTATTCCAACTATAGGAGTAGGGACAAGTAATACCCAATATAAGGACACACTCTGTACTAGATTAAAAAGAAAGTAAGATGCTATTAAAATCAAAGATATGTTTATATTACTAAATTTAAAATAATATATAGCTAATCCTTAAATGTTCTTAGTATCACTAAGGCTTAGATGTGTAGTGTTTTTCTAGCATGGGCAAAAGGTAGGGGCAATTTTGGAAGCCCAAAGAGGGGAATACCAGCTCAGGTAGTGTTTCCCAGACTTCAGGTAGTATATTACCTGGGCAGTTTGCTACAGACTCCTGGGTCCTAACCCTAAAAGCTCAGCAGGTTTGGATGGATCCTAAAAATCAGCATTTTAAGTGGGCTTTCCTGGAGATCCTGATGTATGTGCTTCCTGGAAACACTGCCAAGGGGAATGTTTCTAAACCAGGTTACAGTCAGAAGTCCTAATAGGTCTTGCCCAACTCTGCATTTGCTGAATCAGAATGGCCTGGGGATCTGCATTTTACTAAAGGGCCCCAGTGATTCACATGCAGACAGCCTGGCACCAGTATATTTGGAAACTGCTGATGAGATCTAATTCACTTAATCCTTACAAAACCTATCAGGTAGGTATTATTATAATCAACTCCTCTCCCACTTTTTAGATGAGAAGACTGAGATATATAATAGTTAAGTAATTTGATAAGGTCACACAGCTAGTAAGTGGCCAAGCCTGGATTTGAACCCAGGCAGTCAGGCTCTGTAGTCTATATTTTTAGCCACTTTGCTCCACCACTTTTGAAGGCTTTGCATGAAGGAAGACTCATATCAGCTGGAATCTAGGGGAGGGAAGGGTTCTAGTGCTGACTCTGCCATTGGGCATTGGAGACTTCATTGACTCACTGGGAGCTTAGGTTTACATGGTCATGCAAGAAGAGATGAGCAAAATGTTCAGACAACCTCAACACTTCAGATCAAGCTCCAGTTTCCATGTAGCTCTCTCTCTGCACCTTCCTCCTAACTCCACTATTCCCACCCCTATTGCAGCCCTATACACTCATAGACACAGGGCTGGAGACCTGTCCTGCAGCCTTTCTAGTAAGGACTGGTATATTCGTTCCTCTCTCTGCCCTGACCAGCCCTTCCAAAGAAGAAATGATCAGCAGAGAAGTGTCCCCAAAGGAGATGAACCTGGGACCCCTATGTGTTCTGGGGGCAGCGGAGGGGGCACACCGAACCCTTACCTGTCCTCCATTGACTGTCGAGAGCGTGTTCCTGCACCTGGATTCCAGGAGTCTGCATTCCTTGGAAGAGCTCTTTTTATGTTTCCCTCTTATGCACTAGCCACTTAAGCAACTTGAATATTTCTGTCAGATTTCCATGTCTCCAAAGATGGTGGAGAAACAGAGCATTCGATGTCTGCCCTTCTGAGGAAATTACTGTAATAATAAAGTAACACCTTGGGAAAGATTTCATATTTAAAAGCAAAATTTTGCATGAGAAATTCTTCAGCTTCTTCTGCAGATTCCATTTCAAGTGGCAGCTGTAGGTGGGGCCCTTGGGTCAGAGTGCTTAACTATGCTTGGGTGGGGGGCATTGAGTGGTGAGGTCAGGACCATCTGCTCCATCAAAGGTCCCTGATATCTGATGTATTAGAGCCACTTTGCTGGCTTTTGTTGATCATTCCCCTGGGGGTTAGAAAGTTGGGAACACACTTTCCAGGGAGGCCTGGAGGGCAGTGGGTTGGTTCTTCTTTGTTGATGGAAAACCACTTTCTATCTGACTTAAAGTACAGGAAGCAAACAAGTGCACAGTTAGCTCTGTCCTTCCTTGTGCCTCAGTTTTCTCATTGTTAAATAGACTGGAGGAAGGATCATTATGGTAGAGAGAGTAGCAGGGACTTGGAGTGGGTGCACACCCCAGGGTAGAAGCAGTGGTAGAAGCAGGGGCTGACAGGCCGGGCGCGGTGGCTCATGCCTGTAATCCCAGCACTTTGGGAGGCTGAGGCGGGCGGATCACGAGGTCAGGAGATTGAGAACATCCTGGCTAACACAGTGAAACCCCATCTCTGCTAAAAAAAACAAAAAAACAAAAAAATACTGTGCCACTGCACTCCAGCCTGAGTGACAGAGCGAGACTCTGTCTCACGAAAAAAAAAAAAAAAGAAGCAGGGGCTGACAATTGTAGATAAAGTCCAATCTGAGGCATGGTGACCCTTTGGCAAATCATGGGTGGGGCATGGATCCTCATAGCCTGTCAGGGGTTCTGTAGGAAGCAGCTCAGGATCTGATTTTCAGACATCAGGGATCGGAAAGAATGAGCTTAGCCAATATCAAGAAGGCTAAGTGCCCTCCATGAGAAAGCCTAGTGCCCTCCATGAGGAAGACTGTATTCTAGGGACCTCCCACTGGCCAGCAGCAGGCCCAGGCTTGTGCAGGTGGTACAGACAGGATTGAGGTCATGGTCCCCACTGGTACCATGTAGCATTATCTGCCAGATGCCTCTCACTGTAACTGGCTTGTATGTTTACTTCTAACTTTGTGAATGAGAAGATTTCATTTTGACAGCCTAGCAAATGAGTTCATTATGCTCCCAGCCTTCTAGGGCAGGAAAAGCATCTTATTCATCTGCTCACTCACTCTCCAGCAAGCATGGAGTGTTAGCTCTGTGGGAGGATGCCCAAAGCTGAAGATCTGGGGGCCCTTCACTACACTATAATGACCCTGCTGGTGATTGAGGTTTCAAGATGATCTGCTTGCGAAAAGAGGGAAAAGGTGATAAAGAAGGTCCTGTTTCCCCCTCCATCACCAGTACAGTTGTTTCTCCAGGTCAGGTGAAATCCCAGCACCTGCAGACAGCACCACTAGCAGCTGCTTAAGGAGGGTGCTCATGGGAGGTTCCCCCAGAGTTCTCTGTAACAGAACTGGGCCAATGTGGAAACACATAGGAGATTTTCTGAGAATTACCAGGACTCATTTCTGCCCACAGATTGCACCTGAGGCCCTGCGTCTCTCATCTCTCCCCTCCCACTTCCTGGCAGCAAGTGACAAAATGACTGTTTGAATTTAACCTCCTTGCTCTGCTTCTCCATTTCCCTGTGAAGGTGATAATGAACAGAGAAATGGGCAGAGGCAGGTGGCCAGAAAGGGAGGGGACAAGCGAGGGGAGCAGGGGTCCAAGGCTGTAGCTTGGCAATAACTTCTGAGGTCCCTGGGACTGATTACGGGGGCCATGTAAGCCTGAGGGAGCCAGCAAGGGATCAGGCTTGTCTGCACAGTCTTGACATGACATGTCAGAAGCAGGACTGGAGGTCGGTTTTTAGGGAAGGGAAAAAACTTTCCAGGAGTCCTACAGGCTGGCAATGCTGGATCCAGGATTAGATTATGCTCCCAACCACTCATTGAGCATTTGTCATGTGCTGGTCCCTTTATACATATTGGTCCCCATATCCTTTGTATCTAAGCATTTTTTTCTCCCATTTTACAGATGAGGTAGCTGAG
The DNA here is from genome assembly GCF_000001405.40 of Homo sapiens. Classification (NCBI taxonomy): domain Eukaryota; kingdom Metazoa; phylum Chordata; class Mammalia; order Primates; family Hominidae; genus Homo; species Homo sapiens. The sequence goes on from NC_000003.12 coordinate 134,803,700, forward strand.
GCTTTGAGAAGTTAACTGGCTCAAGAGCGAAGTTTCAAACCAAAGTTTGCCAAACTCCCTGGGCCTCTGTCTCCCAGTTCAGTCACCTTTTCCATTTAACTTTGCTTAGTTGTGAATTAAATCAGTGAGCATGTGTTACCCAGGAGCTGTCTATCCTTGTCCTGCCAGGTGCCATCAAAGGCACAGACAGTCCTGCTCTGGTGTCAATGCTCGGACCCTGTGGACAGGCTCTCTTCTCACTCTTTGGAGTTGTCCCACCTGTTCCACAGCTGGAGGAAAACTTTTTCCTTCTCGGTTTGCATTTCCCTGTTACACATTGCCTTTCCCATGTGCCCCTGCGAGTCAGACCCCCACTGTGGTCATTATTGGCTATTTTTTTTTTTTTTTTTTTTTTTTTTTTTTTTTTTGCTGCATGTCTGTATTAGTCCATTTTCATGCTGTTGCTAAAGACATACCTGAGACTGGGAAGAAAAAGAGGTTTAATTGGACTTACAGTTCCACATGGCTGGGGAGGCCTCAGAATCATGGTGGGAGGTGAAAAGCATTTCTTATATGGCAGTGGTAAGAGAAAAATAAGGAAGAAGCAAAGTGGAAACCCCTGATAAACCTATCAGATCTCATGAGACTTATTCATTATCACCAGAATAGCACGGGGAAAGACCGGCCACCATGATTCAATTCCCTTGGCGTTGGTCCCTCCCACAACACATGGGAAATCTGGGAGCTACAACTCAAGTTAAGATTTGGGTGGGGACACAGCTAATCCATATCAATGTCCATCTAGATATTGTCTTTGATAAGCTGTGTTGCTTAGATGGTTGCAGTTGGCATCTGTGCCTGGATCTTGGTGGGTGTGTGTGGGGGGGAGGAATCAGGGCACAGCGCAGGTCTTCTGGTACTCCCTTCATAGGCTCACCTTCCAGAGGAAGGGCCAGCTGCTGCTTTTTGTCTTTGGGCACTTCTACAACTTCTTCTCTGTGGACTGTGTCCTGCTTACCCTTGGCCTGGGGCCATGTTGTTTCTTGAGCTCTGGCTGCTTTTATCCATCTGGCCAGGTGCAGACTTACGACATCAGAGGAGGACACTAGGATTTGGCATCAACTTTGAGCGTGGAAGAACATGTGGGGGGATGTTGAGGAGAGAAATCCCTCAGCATCCTAGTCCCATTGGACAGTGGCCAGTCACCCTTGGAGCCGTGGCAGTGGAAAGGGCTGAGCAGGAGGATGAGGAATAATTGCAGGTGGCTTCATTGACGGTGGCAGCAGAGAGAATACCTTATCTGTGAAAGGCAGCTGGGCCTTGCAGTTAATTGTTCTGTTGTTTTCCTCTTGGTATTTTTCCAGCACATCAACATAGGACCTTTGCCCTTGGCTTTCTCATTGACGCTGAGGCTGAAGCCGGGAGGTGAGCTGGGGATGGGGGATTGGGAAGGGGCCTCATTCCAGGTGGTTTCACGTGAATTCTTGGTGCTGAACTATCTGTGCAGGTTCCTCCAGGGCTGTCTGCTCCTGGGGGCCGTTGTCACAGGACCAGAAAGCCCATCCGGGGATGCTCTCAGCTCCTTTGACAATGCCTCCAAATGGTTTGGGATGGTGGAATGCAGGCTGTAAACTAGATGGCAAGGAACAAGGTGTCAGTATCAGAAAATCCACCGCATTTTGGACAGGTGCTCAGAGGCCGGGGGCAGGCACTGGTCAGAACACACTTTGGGTGTCGAACCATAATGTAGTATTTGGTTTAATCCTGGTCACACCACAGGTGTGAATCCGTTGCTGGCTCCCTAGCACCTTCAGGGCCAATCATTGCAAGACCCTACATCACCTGGGTCCACCTTGCCTCCTGCCCTCCTGCCCAGCAGCACTTCCTTTCCCAGCTCCACACAGGTACATGTGTACACACACATGTCCACAGGTGCATGTGCTGCACAGCTGCACATGCCCTGGGCATCTCCTTAACTTCATCCACACAGAGGCCCTTCTGACTCATCTGTCCCGTGTGCCTCTGGGTCTGCACCTGCTTGCTCTGTTTGTGTTGCATGTCTTACTGTTCTTTTCTGGCTAACCCTAAATTATTCTTCAGAATTCACCACAGTGATCGCTTCCTCCTGGAAGGCTTTCTCCTGTCCCACACTCGATTGGGTTGCCCTCTGGGTGCCCTCACAGCCGCCTCTGCTTCCCTCTATGGGATCACATTCCACACTGGTATCCAGTTGTGTGTTTATTTTGCTGGGTACCCCACAGCTCCGTGAGCCTCTGAAGCATGGGTTCTATCCTGATTGTCATGGCATCCCCAGCACATAGCACCCCCAGCACATGGCACATAGGAGGTGTCAATAAGTATGACATAATGAATAAATAACAAGAAGGAAAAGATCAACAAACACTTAAAAACCTGAGATCATGTCCTATGTAGTCATTTAAAATATATCTACAAATATTTTATACTCTTCCTATCAAAATGTGGAGGCTCATTCCTCTCCCTTTGAATATGGATTGGCCTTAGGACTCACTGTAATGAATGGAATATGGCAGAAGTGTTTCTGCATAACTTTGGAGTGAAGTCATAGAAGGCAACACAGTTTCCACCTAGCTCTCTCTGTTTCTCCTGAAATACTTGCCGTTGTCACCCAGATACCACATTGTCAGGAGACCCAGGTAACATGAAGGGGTCACGTAGAATTTCTAGCCCCAGCTCCAGCTCAAGTCCCAGCCCACAGCCAGCATGAGAGGCCAAGTGTGAATGAAAAAGTCTTCAGTTTGTTGCAACCCCATCCTTCCAGGCACCCCTGCTGACTCTGAGTAGGGAGAGCCAAGCTTTCCTCACAGAACACTGTCCAAACTGCAGATTCCTGAGCAAAATCAATGTAGTAATTGTGGAAAACCACTGAGTTTGGGGTTGGAACAATTAATAACTGAAAATATTTTAGGAGGGGTAGGAGAACAATGGTTTAGATAAACCTAGAAAGGGACTTAGGGGAAGGGTGGGAAAGGGGTGGAGATATGATACCTCATTCATTCAACACTTAATAACAAATATTGTTAATCTCCTACTATGTACCAGGCAGTAGGCACAAAACCAGAAATATTACAGCCCTTGGGAGCATACATCCTATTGGGGGAACAGACAGGCATGAAAAAGACAAATAATGTACATATAATTTCAGGAAAGGGCTATAAAGGGAGTAAACAAGTGATGTGACTGAGAGTGATGGGCGCAGGCTTGGACAACTTAAAACGGGGAAGGGAGGCCCTCTCTGTCTGTGAATACTCGAAGGGCATTCTTAGCAAGTGGGCTTAGGTTTGCTCTGCACGGGAGATAGATTTTGGCTTGATTACAAAATTCTTTTCAGTCAAACTGAACCGAGATGGAATAGGCTGCCTTGAGAGATGATGCAGCCCCATCTCTGGGGTGTCCAGGTAAGGCCAGAGCCACTTCCAGACTTGAGAGCTCACATTCTACAGAGGCAAATGGGGAGTGAGAGCAGAGAGACCGAACTGCCAGCACTGCCTAGGAGCCACCAGTGTCACAAGTACTCACACAGAACACATTTATTGAGCATCTACATGAGAAGCACTGTACTCGGAACTGAAAACACCAAGATAAAGAAGACACAGACTTTCCTTCAGGGAGCTCACTGATTAATAGACTGGTGGGGGAGACAGAGCCACGCAGACTACAGGCTGTAATAGGGCACGTGATAGACTCTGATGGATGCGGTATAGCAGTTTCACATCAGCTGCTAGGAGAAACCAAATGAGAGGGTCAGACTTAGAGTGGGAAGGATTTGGGGAAGGAGTGTGTGTGTGTGTGTGTGTGTGTGTGTGTGCACGTGTGTGTGTGTGAGAGAGAGAGGGGAGAGAGAGAGAGAAAAAAAAAAGTTTGGGACTTTGGTTATGATTATATCCAGGGCAACAGTGCTGTCTCAGGACTGTCTCCCTGTTTTCATTCCTTAGTTCTGTGTCTGTATCTGTCAAGGTCCCAGCAGAAAACAGCACTCTCACAGGCTTTACTGAGGAGGGTTTAATGAAAAGACTCTCTACAGAGGTGTGAACAACATTAAGGGAACCAATAAGGATGGGGATGTACCCAGGGACTGACAATAGTGGGAAGCCGATACTCCCCAAAGCTCTCAGAACCTAGCAAGAGCCACAGTGTGACAGAGGAGCTCCCTGACGGAAATGAGACACAGAGAAATGCAGCTGCTGCCCAGATCAAGCATGGAGGGTGAAGGAGGAGGGTTTGTATTCCTTGAGCCCTTTCTCCTCCTCTTAAACATCATCTGCCAGCACCTCCCATGATGAATTCAACAAGAAGGCAGAGGGCATGAAAGTCTGGTTGATGAAGTTCATAGAGGTCAGAGGCATAGAAAATGGCAAAAAAAGTAGAGAATGGATCTGCAGGGATGAATGGAGACTAATCAGCACAGTCACTTATGTTGACTTCATCCTCAGATAGGCTTTCTCATGAGATGTTCATGTGGCTGCTGGCAGCCTCAAACTCATATCCTCTTGAAACTTCAGCAGAAACATAAATTCTCGCTCCCCGTAGCTCTAGCAAATGCTGAAGAAGTTTTGTCTCCTGGGCTTCCCTTGGGTCCTGAGCCTCTCCATGAGCCAAACTCCATTACCAGGGTGATTGAAATACACTCATTGGCCAGGCTTGGGTCATGTGTCTATGAAACTCTATAGCTGAGGGGGAAGGGCTAGCTCAGACCCATCAAGCTGCCTGGCCTGAGATAGGGGAGAGCTGGTCACAAAACTGTCAGGGTGCTTGTCCAGGAGAAGCAAGAATGAGTGCTGGGAAGGCATTCTTGCCATTGATAGGCCACACCTATCAATCTTCCTGGGACAGCTAAATTATGCAACCGAGTAAGAGAGATGGTATGTCCAATAAAGGAAAGTATATGGATTCTGGACAGAAGAAGGAGGTATCTGTGGCTGTGATGGTCCTGAAGATGAAAAGATGGGGAAACAGAAAGTGATGGGCAAGTTAAAAACCCAGGAAGGGAGGTCTGGAGACAGCTGGACAAATAGGTTCTTTCTTGATGGGATGTTCTGTATCTTCCTGAGCATCATGATCAAATTTAAAGTGCTGAATAGGCAGATAGCAGTGGTGTTTGGTTAAAGGCAAAGTGATTTTTGGATTAGGGCATCTCAACTAGACTGAAAGAGGAGGGTTCCTATTTAGGGGCAAGATGAGAAGAACAATGGGCGAAGAGCCATAATTTCTCACTGTAATCCCCTGGTTCCAATGTAGATACCAGAGCATCTGAATTTAACCACTGCATTTAAATTTGATATCCATTGGAGAGCAAGAATGAAAGAAATGCATACTCATAGGTACAATGAGCTGGCTCATTTCCCTTCTTTTTCACTATTTCAATCATGGCCTAGTCTCACCTGGAATTTCCATTTTGCATCAGTAGAATATTTATTCACAGTTTTTGATGTACTTTTTCCCCTAGGTTTTGAGTCTTGTATAAGATGGCAGATCTTCAAAGTCATTTGCAGACTACTTTTTTCATACCTTGGATATCTCTTTCTCATTTGAGAGAGAGAGTGATCTAAAATGTACTTAGAGTTTATCAGAAGAAGGCTCCATTTGCCCTTCCAACTTCCCTGCTCTTGGCTCCAACTTTCTTCTATTCCCAGCTAAGCAGAAAAAGAACAGATTTTTTTTTTTTAAAAAAACACAGTAGCACAATGCTGCTGATCTGCATGAAAACCCGTGGCTTTCTTTTCCCAATCAGGAGAAAGTAATTTTCCTTTCACTCACCTGACTAACTTGTTCAGAGCATCTCCTCCTCACCCTTTTCTGATATCTTGCTGCTAAGTATTTGGCAATTCATTTGCATTTCAATGGTTCCTTAGCAACTATCATGCCCTCAGGATTAGGTACAAAGCTACTCTCTGACACAGACTGCCAGGGCTACATCGCCCTCTTTTATGGTGCCTGAGTTACCAAACCACGCCCTGCCTAGACATGAAGCACATTTACTAACAGCATCACGTGGATTCTGAATTATAATGCCATTACTCCCTGCCTTATCTGAGCATGCAGACTTCTGAGCAACCCTCGCACTGAAATGCCCCAGATAATCCAGTGGTTCCTGAAAGCTGCCCTCTGATATGTTTTCAGAAAGAGAGTCACAGATCTCAGCATTGGAAGAGAGTCCTGTCTTTGGACAGGCAGCGAATTAGGTCCATTTAATGGATGTGGCAGCTGAGGTTCACTAAGGAGGAATGACTACCACAAGATCAGGCAGGCAATTGGAACATGCCAAGGAGAGATGAGAGCTCAGGGCACTGCTGCTTCCTAGTCCTTGCTCACATACTGCATCCTGCTAAGAGAGACCCATTTGTCAACTATTGTGAGCTTTCAACATAATGGAAGTTTTAACATAGGTATGTGACTCTGTTGATCTGAGGTCCTAGGAGATAAATCTTCTCACCTAACCAGAGCACAAGAGTAACTGCCCAAGTGAGTATGCAAATATGTATATCACCTGGTTTCTCTGGTTTTTGGCAATTAACATTCTTTCCATTCACGGGCTTGAAGCGTGGGTAGCACAGGAGGAGTGTGTGTGTGTGTGTGTGTGTGTGTGTGTGTGTATTTATGCAGATGATGTAGACAGACAGTGACACTGGACCATTTAGCAAATTAGAATATTCTGCCCTGAGTAGGTGGTGCTGCTTCTTTAACAGCACCAGGCCTCCACCACCAGGGCTCACTGGCATAGAACAGCCTGGCAAATGGAAGACGCTATTCAGGAAAGGACAATGAGAACAACGCTCATTCTACAGGAGGACTGACCTTTGCAACTCCCACTTCACGTTGTTATTAAATATCTGGGAAAAGACTGAGAGAACAATTATAGTATTGTCATAATGTATCAGCGTACAAAGCAAGTGTTTCCAAGGAGGCTCTGGTTCAGCTGAGCTTGACAAAGCCGGGGACTCAGCTATAGCACTTACTAATTTAGAAGTTGTCTTCATTACTTACACCAGCTGAAAACTCCGAATGTTTTGGGTGCAGTTCTGCCATCGTGGACTCCAGATAGGAATGGAAAGATAAGATGTTGGGAGCAAAGGGTGGGAGTCTTTGGGTTTCTATGTGTCTCTCTGCTAGGCTTGAGTGTGCAGTCCTAGTTGCAGCCATCTCTCTCTATATATTTAGCCTAAGCCTAGCAGGGTACTGGTTCTCAGGGGTCCTCCTGAGTATTTGCTGAGTTGAGTTGGGTTAAAGACTTTCATAGGAGGGAGAGTGAGCGACTGCTTTTCCCCAGAAGGGGAGTCCCATAAAGGACTGTGAGGGCTCGTGTGGCCCCTCCCCCTTTCCCACATTCCCAGCTGATCTCTCACTTCCCACCTAGACATGCCCACAACACCCTCTGCACAGGTTAGCCTCCCAGGTGAGAATTCCACTCTCAGGTCTGGGGGCTGGGGCTGTGGTGTCCAGGTTCTCACTATCACAGAGTTCTTGCAGCTAAACCAGCATTTCTCAACCTTATTCCTTATTCTCATAGTTGCCCCTACTAAGAAGGTTTTTTTTTTTTTTTTTTTTTCTGTCTTGCTCTGTCCCCAGGCTGGAGTGCAATGGTGCGATCTCAGCTCACCGCAAACTCTGCCTCCCAAGTTCAAGCAATCCTCCGGCTTCAGCCTCCCGAGTAGCTGGAATTATAGGCGAGCACCACCATGGCTGGCTAATTTTTGTATTTTTAGTAGAGACGGGGTTTCACCATGTTGGCCAGGCTGGTCTTGAACTCCTGACCTCAGGTGATCCACCTGCCTCTGCCTTCCAAAGTGCTGGGATTACAGGCATAAGCCAATGCGCCCGGCCTAAGAAGCCTTTTTAAGACTTTTTTTTTTTCCTGACCACCCCACACCCTGTGAATGTTAATAGCACAGATATTGTGGACATCTGTTCATGTACTGAGGCCCTTTGGTGGGCCACAAACCGTTATAAGATCTAAGACTTTTTAGTCTTCCTCCTTGCCAGGAATCAGTTTTCACCTTTGCTGAGAATGCATGATCTAAACACAATAAACCTGGCAGCGACTTAGTGGGCCCTCAGCCGAGTTAGAGCTCAGCTTTGCACCATCTATCTTTTCCAAATCAGTTTTACCCAGTATGGCCCTAAACAGTCGGAAAGGATGTCCACCTTAGCTGGTCCAGGAGGCCCCCTATTGAGCAGGTATTAGCCCTGCTGTTGGATATCCTAGGGAGATCCAGAAGGACCCAGATAAGGACGAGAGCACAGGAGTAACTCAGAAGCCTTGGGCAGGAGTGACTTGCCAGTAGGTGTGGAAGCATTTCAGGATTTTAACAAGTACGGACGGCTATGCCAGTGCCTACTCGCTGAATGTCTGCCCTGACTTCAAGGGATGTGAAAATAGTTACTTGAGTTGGGGTCCATTTTTGGAAAAAAAATAGGCTTTCTTGAAGCATAATTTACATATAATAGGTTTTAGATGTACAATTCCGTGAGGTTTCACAAATGAGTGTGGTCATGTAGCCACCCTACACACCTGATGTAGATCGTTCTCATCACCCTCATGTCCCTTCATGGTCATGTGCCTCCCTTCACTGCTGACCCTTGGCAACCACTGATAAAATTTCTGGTTCTATTGTTTTGCTTTTCTAAAAGCTCATAGAAATGGAATCATAGAGTATGTGCTCTTTATTTGTTTGACTTCTTTCACTTAGCATGAGTATTTGAGATTCATCCATTTTGTGGCATGTGTTATACTTTCTTTTTATTGCTGAGTAGCATTCCATTGCATAGATATCTCACAATTGGTTTATCCATTTCACAGTTGGTGGACATTTGCTTATAGTTTTTGGCTTTTATAATTAAAGCTACTGTGAATATTTGAGTACATGTCTTTATGTGAACACAAAATGAAAAATAGGTGTTCATTTTGTTTGGGGAAATACCTGGATAATATGGTAAGTGTAAGGTTAACTTGGTAAGATACTGCCAGTCTGTTTTCCAAAGTGGCTGAAGTGTCTTGCATTTCCTCCAGCAGTGTATGAGACCCCCAGTTGTTCCACATCCTCACCAGCAGTTGGTATTTTCAGTCTTTAAATTTTAACCACCCTGGTGGGTGTCTCATGGCATCTCATTGTTTGTTTTCGTTTGCATTTCCCTGATGTGTCTTTCATGTGTTTATTAGCCACTCATATATATTCTCCGATGAAATGGATGTTTAGATATTTGTCCATTTTTTTTGTTGGGTTTTCTGTTTTGGGTCTGCTTTCAACATGGACGGTTGTCTGGAGGTGACAGAGTGACCCCACTCACACTATTTCCAGACAATTTGGGTTGCCCTGTTGTGCCGAGAAGACATAATTTGTACCTGTGCTGGGTGGGTCTCATTCCTGGAAGTGGGGAAGAGTGGGCCATGATCTTCTCAACATGGATGGTGGTTTATGATCAGGGAAGAAATATGCCCCCAAACAGGGGCCAGGACCTCAGAAAGTGGGCTTTTGTTAGGGGAGTGTGTGCGCCTCAGCAGGAAGCCATAATTCACATGACCTGGGATTGTGCTACTCTGTGTTTATTTCCCATACATTCCCTCCAGTTCCAATCTCATCTCCATCACACTGCTCAGTAGAAAGGAAGGGCATTCTCCTGCCTCTACTTGGCATTGCAGGAGCAGCTGTACCTCCATGGTGGTGGCAGCAGAAATCAGCTAGAAATTCCCAAGGGTCCTGCTTCTCCAGGGACAGGTATCTTTTGGTTTGGGGCTTTCTTTTAGAGAAGAAAAGTATAATTTTTCTGCACAGATTGTCCTGTGAATGGTGGTCTGAAACCATGCAGAGGAAGCACCCCCTAGCCCAGCCCTGGACTCTCAGGACTGGGCCCATTTGATAGGACACTGTGAGTGTCCGAGGCTGTTCATCACCTTTTTCTCAGCTGCTCTGACTCCCAAGAGGTTTCCAGCTTTTCTGGTTCTTGTTGCATTCAAGCCATAGAGAATGCCTTTGGCTCATTTCTTAGCTTTCAATGACAGTCTCAGGATTCTACAGGCTTTCCAACACTGGGGATGATGTAGGCACTTCAGCCATGTTTGCTGTTATTTGCATGATGACAATCAGTGATCACAGTAATCATGGGGGAGGTGACACATGACAAGGATGCAAAGGCTGCAGTGGTACCATCAGGGCCCATCAGCTGGGCCCTGTGTCACTTCCCACAAGCACCTTTTATGCTCAAAAGCAAAGATGCAGCTGATGCTGACGCTGCATCACTTCTGGCTCTGAGAAAAGCAGGCACCCCCACTGTCTGAGACTCCCTGAGGGCCCCCAGAGTCTACCCCGGGGCCTGGCACAGAGTAGGCACTTAGTAAATGATGGATGGATGGACTGAACTCCTGTCACACTGCCCAGGATCACTCAGGGAGAGGCTGATGCGCATGCCACCGTGGCAAGAAAACCAGGGACTTGTGGCAAACAGAAGCAATGGAAGCATAGGAAACCTGAATGTCTGGTTGTGGAGATCAGACTGATATACCTGTTGCTGGATGGAGATACCTGAAGATGGTTCAGGCAAGGAATCTGTCATTGAAGAGACTTTTTGCTAGGGTATACTTATGGATAAGCTGGGCCTTGAACATGTAGAGGGGAGAGTGATGAGGATGCATATCATGAGTGAGAAGTAGCAGAAGCAGAAGCAAGGAGAAGGGAAAGAAAAGGTACCTGAAATAGCAATTACATTCAAGTAAGTGCTCCGTGATATAGCCAGGGGCTCGGTGATGTAGGAGGTCAGGGGACAGTTAGTTTAGAGTGGGCTATGGTAACCAGGATGGCTTCCTGGAGGAGGAGGTACCTATTGAAGGTATAGTGGATTGATGCTGATAGAAAAGGCAGGGCATAGGAATTCTCTTCTCAACAGGCTTCCCTGTCCTGGGCCAGAATCATCCGAAATGGGGAACCTGCAGAAAAGCCTTCTTCAGTGACTTGTGCCTCTCTGTCTTGGACTTCCTGGCTCTAGAAAGCCCAGGAGGAGTTCCTGTGAGGGAAGGCTCTGCATCTTGTTGCGTCCCAAGTCCCAGGGTCCAGTTGCCATTGCAGACGAAGCTTCATTCAGAGGAAAGCAAGTGCATCTTGTGGTGGTCTGGACCAGCTCTTCACAGACGGTCTTCTTTGGTGTCACCACTCGGTGTGTGGCCTTTGGGCCAGGGCTTGGGTTCCCATGGGAGTTTGTTAGAAATGCAGACCCTCAGACCTCACCTCAAAACAACTAAATTCAGTTGTGCCTGGATCGAGAGTCCCAGTCTCTAAACTTCTGCATCAGGGAAGCAGCCTCTTTAAATAAATTAACAAGCTTATTTTGAGCAATTTTTAAAAAGAGCTATCCTAGATTAAAGAATACTTAAGATTCATGACAAGTTAATGTAACAAACCCTATACTAAGAAATTGCTTTAAAGGATATGATTTGGACAACAAACAAAATTGGAATATAGCCTTCCAAAATTCAGGGAGTGGGTCTCCTTAGATGAAAGTATTATAACAAAATGTTAATATTTCCAAATTTGTAACTGCATTGTGGTCAAATAAGAGAATATTCTTGTTCTTAGGAAACAAATATTGAGGAATTAAGGAGTAAATGGCCATGATGTATGCTACCTGCTCTCAGGTGGCTCAAGGAGGAAAATAAACAGATGAATGTGTGTATATAATATAATAAATGTGTATATAATAAAATATATATGTAATATCATATTATGATATATCCTATTGTACCATAAAATATATGTGGTGAGGAAAGAGAAGATGAAAAAGCAAATGTGGCAAAATGTTAAAAATTGGTGAATCAGGGTAAAAGGAATATGGGGGTTTCTGGTTCCATTCATGCAACTTTCTTGTGTGATTGCTATTTCTTTAAAATAAAAAGTTTAAGAAAACAGTGCGCCTTGTTTCAAAGTTTGATGGATGTTGCAAGTTGCCCTCTAAAAAGGCTGAACCAATTTATATTCCCACAATGCTGTGGAGGGTTGGTGCAGCTGTTTAATGTAGCTATTTTTATTCAGCTATTTTGATGCCAGGGACTTTCTTTGATGGGGTCATATATCAGTTTTGACCTGGGGACATTTTGTTGTTTTCCAAATTTATTATGAATATTTCCAAAAGTATAGAAAAGTCAAAAGTATGCTGAAGTGAACACCCATGCCACAGCCCCTGCCCCTAGTTTCAACAGTTGTTGTTATTGTGCCATATTTATTTATCAGCACACATTTGTTTTTTGGGGGGCATGGAAATTGGGATGCAGAAAGATTAAGTAACCACCAAAGGTAAATGCTGGGGCCACACGCCGTGTCCTCTGCACGTTGTCCTTCTGCCTCTGAGGTACTTTTTTTCTTTTTTCTTTTTCTGTTTCTGTTTTTTTTTTTTTTTTTGAGACAGAGTCTTGCTCTGTCACCCAGGCTGGAGTGCAATGGTGTGATCTCGGCTCACTGCAATCTCCACGTCTTGGGTTCAAGCGATTCTCATGCCTCAGCCTCCCGAGTAGCTGGGATTATAGGCACACACCACCACAGCCAGCTAATTTTTTTGTTTTTTTTGTATTTTTAGTAGAGACGGGGTTTCACCATGTTGGCCAGGCTGGTTTCGAACTCCTGACCTCAAATGCTCCGCCCACCTCGCCTCCCAAAGTGCTGGGATTACAGGTGTGAGCCACCGTGCCTGGCTGGATTTTTTTCCTGAAGCAGTTGAGTGTTGGATTCAGACAGGTCTGGATTTGAATTCCACCTCTGACACTGAACAAACTACATAACCTCCCAGTTATGGCCTCTGTGTGTTCGTCCCGTAAGTGGGGATGGTGGTACTCACCTCACATGATCGTTGTGAGATAGATGAGATAAGGTGTTTAAAGCCCGTGGTAGTTATTAGTATTGTCATTTCTTCTGTATCTCTCTTTTCATTTGAAACAGATTCCCAGGCACCCTCCTCTGGGAAAATTGATCCCTAAATCATTCTTCTGCTTGCCAATACCTTGTCTGGCCCATCTATTGCTGGTGTGTAGTCCTTGCCTACTCCCATAGACTTGGAGGGCCAATGTTCTAAGCAGCTTAGAAAAGCTGATATTCAGGCACGTGTGCTGGGGCGATGTTCAGTAACCTGACATGACGTATCATGGCCAAGAGTCGCAGGCGTCTCAGTGGTTAGGCAGCAGGGCTTCCTGGGGCACTCACCCTCAGTGTGAGCAGGTCTGGACGAATTCCTAGCAGACCCAGCAGAGCAAGGAAAGGGCCTGTGGACCACTGCTGCCTTCTCTGCCGTCTCCAGGACTTCCTCCCATCTCACCAGGATTCCAGTTTGTGGGAAAAGGGAGGAACAGGGACTAGGGTAAGAAGAAGGAGGCAGCCACTTGGAGCAAAGTTTAAGGGGGCACTAAAGATTAATCAAGGTAAGTAATATATGAATGTAGTTTTTTTTTTAAATCAAATTCTGTAAACCATGGACTATGGGCTGCCTGTTTTTGTAAATAAAAATAAAGTTTGAAGGCCCCAGTCAGCCCATTCCCCTCTCTGTGGCCCCAGGAATTGGGGGGCACTGGACAGTGTACTCACTGACATTTTCTCTCCTCTGTAGAACAATGTCAGTATTGCCTGCAATTCTAGTCGTCACAGCTCCTTCACCGTTTAGAGGGCCGGGTGCCATGGCTCACCCAGCACCTGGTTCTCAGGCTTCTGGCCAGCGTGGCAGAGCTGAGGCCATGTGGAGGGCTGGAAGTGGGTGGCACACTTCCCTGTCCTGGCAGAGGAGTGCACATGGAGCTCTGTAGTTTCTGTCCCCACCGTGGCCTTAGACCTGAAGGTATGAATCCATGCAAGAGGCTGCTATTGGGAGTCAGAGAACTGGCTCACATTTACCAGCTGCGTGACCTTGGAAAGCCACCTAATCTCTCTGAAGTTTCATTCTCAGTTTCATTACCTGTCCATTGGGGATGATGTGGTCCAACCTCTTTCTCTTTGAGCTCTTCAGTAAGAGGTTGTTGAGTAGGAATCAGAGCCCATGTATGGGAAATGCTTTGTAAACTGGGATGTGCTCTGGAAACACAAGCTGTTCTTATAATGGTGGTTACGATTGATTCTGGTGGACAGCTCCTGGCCCAAGCCTGGTGGAATGGTCATCCATAGAGGGAAATGAGATCCAATATCCCAAGCCCCTGCCCAGAGGGGGAAAGCGCAATGACTGGCGGTCGGGAGAACTGTCTGCCACATGCAGCCAGGTTCACAGACACCTCTTGAGGTCCTGTGCCTATGTTCCTACCCACTCTTCAAACAGGTGGCTTCTTAATGCTTTTCCCCGCCCCACTCCTGGCTCAGCTTGTGGAGTTCTCCATTCCACTGACTTTCCTAAGAGCCATGTGGAGAGGAAAGATGTGAAGAGGGAAGGCATGTCCAGGTACTGGGATAGGCCCCTTAGGTGACCATCTCACACTCCTAGGTGATTGTAAGGCAATGACTGGGGAATTCACTTTCTCTACCCTACTTTCATTTAACCCTTCATTCAACAAGAAGAGAAACCTACAGCCAGCTCTTGGATAATGAGGTTGAAAGTCCTTGGAACCCTGTTTAAGAGGCTGACAGGCAGGCAGCCTCCTTGGCTTAGGATGTATGACCTTATGGTATGTCCATGCTGCTGGGGACAGTCATAGTGTTTCTTTTTAAAATTTTATTTGTCCATAAGTAATTGGGGTACAGGTAGTATTTGGTTACATGGGTAAGTTCTTCAGTGGTGATTTGTGAGATTTTGGTGCACCCATCACCCAAGCAGTATACACTGCACCATATTTGTAGTCTTTTATCCCTTGCCCCCCTTCAACTCTTCCCTCTCTTACCCCAAAGTCCCCAAAATCCATTGTATCCTTGTTATGCCTTTGCATCCTCATAGCTTAGCTCCCACGTATCAGTTTCCATTCCTGAGTTACTTCACTTAGAATAATAGTCTCCAGTCTCATCCAGATCACTGCAAATGCCGTTAATTCATTCCTTTTTATGGCTGAGTAGTATTTCATATTCTATCCTATATACTATATATCTATCACAGTTTCTTTATCCACTCCTTAATTGGTGGACGTTTGGGTTGGTTCCACGATTTTGGAATTCTGAATTGTGCTGCTATAAACATGCACGTGCAAGTGTTTCTTTCAAATAATGACTTTTCTCTCTGGGTCTCTTGAGAGCCCTCCAAGCATCTGGCCCCTCCCCTTTCAGGACTGTGTTTCGAGGTGAGCAGAGAAGATGAACAGAGGCTGAGGGCAGCCTGGCTGGAAACAGGAGGTGGAGGCAGGAGGTGGGAGCTGATTCAATCTTCAGACTATAATGCAAAGGTTAGTAGCCAGTTTATGAGTGAAGGGGGCCGTTTAGGCAGGATAGAAAGGGGTCTAAACATGAGTTATAAGACAAGATAATGTTTTGGCAGGTGGGATTTTTGCTGTATGCAGAGGTGAACTTCTGAGCATAGAGAAATGGACGTTAGGTAGGCATAAACACACCTCTGTCTAATCACTATCACTTCCATAATCAGTCGGAGCTTCTGTTTGATGTGTGTCCTCCCTCTCCCTATGCCTTAGGGGATGGCAGCCTCCCATTTGTGCATAGGTGTCTTTCACGGGGCCAGCAGGCAGTATGGGTTCCCTGCTAGTGAATTCCCATTTCCTACGAGGGAGGCAGAAGGGTGCCCATGTGGTGATCTCCCAGACCAGGTTCTCATCTCCACTTGACCAGTCTGTAGGTGTAAGCCTTGGAAGTAGCTCCTCTATAAAATGGGAATGAATCATATCCCATTATAGGGGCTTTGGAATGAGTAAATGAGATAACATAGATGGATTGCCTGGTACAGACAAGGCTTGGTATGTAGCAGACACTCAATAAATGTTTCCTCCCTTCTCTGTGCCTCTTCTCTCCCTTCTCAATGCAGCAGTGTGGGGTTCTGCTTGGAGCAGCTGAGTCCCTACCCTGCACATCCCTGTGCCTCCCCAGGCTGCTCAGACACTGCCCTTGCAGCTTCTTTTTGTGGGAAAGGTAGTTGCCCTTGGATCTTGTGTTCCCACAGCCAAAGCTTCTCTCACTTTTGTCTGCCTGGGAGGCCTCTGTTGCCTTCTTTTCTAGCCCGGTCTTGCCTACAGATGCCCCATCCCATACTTCTTGCTCTTCTGCCTTGCTTGGGTGGGCCCAGCGCAGGGGACACATGGACACCTGTCATGCCAATTTCTGATTTAATCAGTGTCAGCTAATTGCTGTAACACCTGATTCCAAATTTTTTAGCCCACAAGATAAAAGTTTATTTCTCACTCATATCACAGTCTGGTGAGGCCCGTGGTGGGGTTCTGTCCCCTTCCCCTCCCCTCACCCACCCCTCCTGTCATTCAGGGACCCATACTAGTAGACCCTGTTGATAAATGCTGACAGAGGAAAAGGCAAATTTACTCTTACCTTCCTACCTATCTCAGCCTGGGAGAGAAACATCACTCCCTCTTTCTTCCACTCCATTGGCAAAGACTACTCTCATGGTCCCATCTGGACCAAGCTGAGAAATGGAGGGAGCCTCCATGTCTGGGAAAAGCAGGTTTAGGGAGCACTTAGCAGTATCCCTGCAGGAAAACCACAACCTCTCCATAGTCTAGGCATGGAGACAAATGCTTCTCTGCCCCTAAGGGAGGCCTCTCTACCAGAGGGCTCAGAAAATTCCTTCCTCCCTCCTTTCTTCCCTCCCTTCCTTCCAGTGTTTACAGAATGCCCCCTTGGACCAGAAACTGGCTGCCTTTATGAAGAGAAGAATCGGGGGGAAGAGATGCTTAAAGGTAACTTTTTAGCCTCCAGAGGCTGGGCCCTCTAATCACAGGCACAAAACTATTAATATTATTCCATGCAGAGACAAGCAGCCAGAATAATTAGAGCTCAAGCAATTCTTTCACAGCAAGTTCTTGATGTTTTATTTTATTTTATTTTGTATTTATCTGTGTTTGCCTGGGTTACCTACAGTGCACACTCCCACCACTCGGCCCCAGGCTGCTTTCTCTTTTCTTGGAACTCTCCATGCTTCCTCCTGCCCCGGAACGTTTGCACCTGCTGTTCCCAATGCTGGTCAAAAGAAACAAAAACCAGATACGCTTTAAAAGGGAGAAAGGGTTTGTATTAGTCAGAGTTTTCCAGAGAAACAGAACCAATAGGATATTTATTTATTTATTTAAGATTTATTATAAAGAATTGGCTCACATAATTTTGAAGGCAGGCAAGTCTCAGGATCTACAGGGTGAATTGGCAAGCTGGAGACCCAGGAGAGCTGATGGGTAGTTCCAGTCCACATCAGAGGGCCTGAGAATCATGAGTGCTAATGGTGTAGTTCTGTCTGAATGAAGGCAGGCTAAAGACCCAGGAAGAGCCAATGTTTCAGTTTGAATCCAAAGGTAGGAAAAAAGCTGATGTCCCAGCCCAAAGGCATATTCTGGGGAAGGTCAGCCTTTTTGTTCTATTCAAGCCTTCAACTGATTGGATGTGGCCCACCCACATTAAGGGGAAACAATTGGCTTTGCTCAGTCCATTCATTGAAATGTTAGTCTCATCCAAAAACACCCTCATGGAAGCACACAGGGTAATGTTTGGCAGTTACTTGAGCGACCATGTTCCAGTCATGTTGACACATAAAGTTAACCATCACAGGATTTTTAAAGTTAAGGAAAAAATATTAGAATTAAGAATCTGTAAAAATAAAAATGATAGTAAAATGGTAAAAAAAAAAAATACCCAGGCAATTAATTGTTTAAAGGAATTAGCCAGTAAAGTGAAAAAGTTAGGGTAAAGATAAAAGGTGGATGGGGTGGGGAGACAGAATTAGTGGTGAAAAAAGGATAAACCCTTATGGACAAGGTAAAACATGAAATCCAGAAAGCTAAAATACTCAAAGGCTGATTGTGTAATAAAGAAGAAAAATGCAGAAGAAAACACTCCCAAACCATAGGCGATGAAGGGCAGAAGCCTGGCTCTGATGTTCAAGGAGGACTCCTATGTCTTTCTCTGCTGATTCTTGGGTGTGAAAAGATCTAATACAAACAGAAACGTGTTTGGGAATGGTGACACTGGGAGGCTGGGGGAGCCTGTGCTGTTGTGATGCCTTTGGGATACAGCCCTTCTCAATCTCCCTTTTTTCCAACCTGGGTTTGGTCTAGTTGTGGGGGAAAAGAGATCGGGGAGGTCAGAGCTTGAGGTCACACACCAAGTGGGTTAACAGCAGAGTGGCCCTTCCTGGACAGTTTCATCCAGGAGAACTTTGGTTAAACGCAAAGTGAAAGACAATGTTGAAAAGGAGGAGGAGGAAGGGAGCTCCCCATAAGTCCTTGTGCTGCCTGAGATGAGTATAGGAGGTAGGAGATATCTCTGCTTCATATCTAATGCTGGGGATGTGTTCCAGCTGTAATGGAGTGCCATAGCTGGCAAAGACGTCCCCTTCCCTCTGCTTGACCACTGCCTGGGACCAAGCTTTAGGCCCTGTGGCTCCTGGGGTCCTATCTGCCATGCTGCTACACTGGCTGTGCCCTGTGTTGCTGTGTCTGAGCGGTGACTCAGCACAGTAGCTGCTGTCCAGGCATGGTCAAACTCCACACACCACTCCCCAGCCTAGGCTTCCTGGGCCCCTGGCCTCTCTCAACTCCCGTGATCAACCACCCTTCACTCAGATTTGGCCATGAGTGAGCAGAGCTGGTGTAGGCTGATGTGGTATGCCGGGTGATGGGGGCACTAACCAACATATATTTATTTATTTTTCATTCCCATTGCAAAAAGGAATCACTTCCTAAAGTCAGGAAGTTGCCTAAACATTTTTGAGGAATGCCCACAATTCTTATTTAACATATTGCTTAAAGTTGTAGAATATAGTTCTGTTCTATTGGTGAGCAAAGACCACTCCAAGCCCTCCCTGGAGAGGCTTTCTCTATGCACCATCCTGCACCAAAGTGCTTTCTGTTTGTCTTTTGCCTCATTTTGCAAAGATGACAGATCTAAGTTACATTAGAGACCCTTCTATTTTAAAATAGCATTCTTTTGCAGTTAAATTTAAATTTTTTTCTGGTCACCTTGGAAGAGATTTGTGTCTTTCTCAGAAATGCTGAGATTGTTTGTGGGAGTTGGGGTAGCAGATTGTAGCTTTGGCTTGGCATAAACGAACCCAGGCAGTTCACACAGGGATCAGGTGTGGGTGACTGGCAAGGCCTGCAACCTTGCCTCAGATCTGGTGAAAAGGGAAGCGGAAGTGATTTTCCTATCTGTCAAATGGAAATGATAATGCTTAGCCTTTGGAGTTGTTGCGAGGGGTACATGACTCCTCAGGACCACAGGACTACAGGACCACCCAGCCTACTCATTCCCTGCACATTCCAAGAGCCCAGACCCTGGTTTAAAAGCTCCACTGGCTTTGCCTTGGGCCTGAGGCCTCTCAGATAATTGCTTTTGCTTAAAAGCCATTAAGTCACTCAGAAGAAGGTGTGAACTTGAGTAACGACTCAACTGCCTCCTTGATGGAGAAAGTCAGTTCAGAGAGAAGCCCTTTCTAGGTAGAACTAGCTTAGCTGGCAGATCGCAGGAGCAGTGGACAGTGAAGACAGAAGGACAGGAGAAAGAGGGAGGTGACAATGAGGGGAGCAAAGTCCATGTCATCGTGGTCCCCTCAGTTGCTCTCATCCCCATACCCTAATGTCTGCCAGGGGTTGTGCTGAAAAAGCTCACACAAACTCTTAAAGTTTAAGGTCTGGGGGTCTTGGGGAAGGAAGGCCTGCCTGGTGAGCACCTGCCTTCCCTCAGGCTCCGTAACAGGAAACTCTCATGTACCGCTTGCAACAACTCCAAAGGCTACGCACTATCATTTCCATTTTACAGATAGGAAAACCAAGGCCCAGCTTGGCAGGGTAACACCAGAGTCTCTTCTAGGTCCAGCCAGGTTTCTTTCTACTCTTCCCATGAGGCAATTAGCCATGCAGATCTCAGTAAATATTCAGGAAGCTGGTAAGTTTTCCACTCTCCTTCAAACACGGGAAGATCCATGCTGATGTTCACTCAGGAAATTGTCAATACAAAGAAATTTTATTGCCTAAAGTTAGAAGTCTATGATAGCATCAGTTTCCATGGCAACAGGCTATGATGTCACAGATGCCTGCAACAGCAGAATGAGAAGAAAGCAGGGAAATGGTGAGCCAAGGTGGGGAGGCTGTAAGACATGATCTATTAGCACAGATGCGGAAGGCCTTCCATCAGCCCTCCCCCTGCCCAGCATCTGCTGCTGCACAAAGGGAAGCACACTGACATTTGGAACAAATACATGGGTTTTATGAACCATGAATGCTTCAGCTTGCAAACTCAGAATAATCAAAAACAAATACAATTTCTCTGAGTTTTCTCTGAATGTTTACAAAAAGGATAATGCCCTTTTTTTTTTTTTTTTTTTTTTTTTGGTAATCCTAGCTCTTGCACTTGACTAAGTGGTAGTTTCTTGTGTGCCCAGCATGGTGAGGCTGTTAATTCCCATTGATATGGCGTATCAGGGTGGAGATGACAATGAGGCGGAGCCAGTCGGGGGTGAAGTACTGGGAGGCATGTGGGTCCCTGGAAGGAGAATGGGAGGCAGAAACTCGATGTTGACTCTGCTGGGCACAGTGCCAGTTGGTGCACACTGGGTTTGAAGGGCCTAGGTCTGGGTTCCTAGGGTGTGGCACACAGCAGCACATCACTAACTGATGACAATACTTTTGCTAATTGGAATCCTTCTCATCACATTGCTCCCTGTTGTCAAAAGCAGAGGCCAGTTATATTTTTCAAAGATGCTACAGCAGTTATCTCCCATCCAACAAGCTCTTTGGTGATGGGAACTTGCCAACCCAGAGTCTAACTTTCCTCCCCTTAAGTATGGATTGGACTTGATGACTTGCTTGACCAGTAAAATGTGGCAGAGGTGATGGTCTGGGACTTTTAAAGCTAGGTCAGAAGCAGCCTCACAGCTTTTTACCTGGATCTCTAGGGACTCTAGCTGTTAGAAAGCTCACTCTGGGAACCTAGTCGCTGTGTTGTTAAGATGCATGGAGAGGCCATGTATGGGTACTTCAATTGACAGCCCAAGGTGAGCTTCCAGCTGACAGCCAGCACCAACTGCCAGCCAGCACCAACTGCCAGCCATGTGAGTGGGCCATTTTGGCATCAAGCAGTAGTAGAGGCTTTGGATGACTGCAGCTCCTGCCAACATCTGACTGCAACCTCCTGAGCCACCCCAAGTGAGAACTATCCAGTTGGGCCTGGCCAACCTGCAGGACTGTAAGAGCTAATAAAACATTACTGTCTCAAGCCAGTAAATTTTGCGGGTAATTTGTTACACTCAATAGATAACAGGAACACAAGCAGTCCCTTGAATTTGCTATGTAAGATAAAACCCAGACAGGTCCAGGGTCAGTGGTCACAGTCCTGGCATGTGACTGAAGACCTCTATAATGGGAAGGGGATGGCCAGTGCAGGCCTGCCTCTTGGTGAATCCTGCCCTAAAGGAGGCAGGCTGGAGATGTTACGATCATCTGTCAGTTTTAGAAGCTTGGCAGTTGGTCTTCAGTTTGGCGACATAAATGTCAATCAGGCCAGGTCTATTGTAGCTCTAATGGGATGGTTTTGAACCTAAGTGTGCAGAACTGTTCATTTCATCTGGTTGGGTTTAGCCAAGCATCCCAGCAATTGAGATTGAATGAGTGTCCCTTGCAGGGTTTCATCTAAGCCTATAAAAATGCCAAAGAGGACAGAAGTAATATCCCACAGGGGATGCTGCTTCTGTTGGACCCTCTTTGGGTACCATTTTTCTGTGAGCTGTGAATTCACCAGTTTGTACTTGCCCTGGCCTGCAGTTCTCCATATGGTCCATTTCAGCAAGTGCTTTGCTGAAATCTAGGTACACCATGATCTTGTGTCCTAGGGAAATTTTCAAGAAGGAAAGGGAATAGGTTTGGTGGGGCTTGTTCTTACTCAACCCATGTTGCCTCCAGGAGCTTTCTATGCTTTCTCTGCATATTAGTATACTCCAGTCTCCTTCATCCACCATGGTTTGGCTCATGGCATCCTTTCACGATCCTTTTCTTCCTGAAAGAAGGATTAAATTTCCCCCTCCCAGTTTTCTACTGTCTTTCTCATCTTTTATCATTCCTTGAAGATGCCTTTCTTTTACCATATCTGCATTGTTTTTCTACATTTTATTTTACTTCAACTATCATCTATAAAAGGCAATTGAGACTGGGTGCGGTGGCTCACACCTGTAATCTCAGCACTTTGGGAGGCTGAGGCAGGTGGATCACGAGGTCAGGAGTTTGAGACCAGCCTGGCCAATATAGTGAAACCCCGTCTCTACTAAAAATACAAAAAAAAAAAAAAAAATCAGCCGAGTGTGGTGAAGCATACCTGTAATCCCAGCTACTCTGGAGGCTGAGGCAGGAGAATTGCTTGAATCCAGGAGGTGGAGGTTGCAGTGAGCTGAGATTGTGCCACTGCACTCCAGCCTGGATGACAGAGTGAGACTCCATCTCAAAAAAAAAAAAAAAAGCAATTGAAAATGTTTTTTAGATGCTGAGCTAAGAGCCAGAATACAATTAGGAAGTTCTTCTTGTTATCTGCTTGATATCTAGCCTACACCAGTCCAGATGCATTGCTGTCTTTTCTGGTTTCTCTTTCCCATCATCATATGGGGGAAGATACGGGCCTCTCCTTAGCAGTTCTGCTTTGCATATAATCGATGGATCTTGCTGTGTCCTTCATTTGCCTTCTCTGGTTGTGAATAAATAACCCCCAGTTCCTTGTACATTTCTTCACCATTCCTGTTTTTCAGGGCCCTAATCAGTTTTATTTCATTCTCCACTATAAATGATTTTTAAAGCCCCTTGGAAATATAAAGGTTGTCTAAATAATAAATCATCATTTTGGCAAATGATACTGAGACATTTAGAGAGATAAAATTAATCACCCCCTTGTAGCTATATAGCAGCTTTTCCACAGGGAGTACAAAGTAGTTTGTAGAGCTCATAGTTAATTCTTGTCCCGTTCCCGAGGGAAGAGGGCAAGAGTCATCTTTCTATTTTGTAGGGGGAAAGGCCAGGGTGGCATAGGTGACTTCTTATTCAGCATGCCCTGGTGAGCAGGGCACACAGTGTGAAAGATGCTTCAGCTCTCTTCTCTGAACATCTGACGCAACATCCATGGGGTATTTTACCACTTTTCAACCTGGATAGCATAGTGCATGCAATAGGTTCCCTGGGTGGCAGGGATCATTGGCCCCATCCTGCCTGTACAGGGCCTGGAATAATTTTCCCTCCAGTGAGTTCTCTGCTCAGAATGCTGCAGCATCTCCTGCATCAAGTACAAACACCACAGATTCCATTACTCAAGGAGCTGGCACTTTCACATGAGTCAACTCATGAATTATTATGCCCATTTTATAGATGAGGAGACGGAGGTTTGTAGAACCTAAGTGGCTTACTTACAAATTCACACAATTACTATATGGTAATGCTGGGATCTGGCCAGGTTTCTCTAACGCCTTAGTCTAGTGCTTCTTCTTCTCTATAATCTAAGCTTCCCATTACAATTATTTTGGTTTTGAGTGACAGGAAACAAAATCAACAGATGTGCGCGGGTGCGCGTGCACACACACACACACACACACACACATACACACACACTCCTTATGGGCTTCTGTGATTGAAAGTACTGTGCAGTACTAGTTTCGGGCATGACTGCATTTAAGATGCTATTGGGACTGTTCCTCTGTCTTCAGCCCCACTTCCTCTGGGTTAGCCTAAAGCTCTCCTATCATGATCATCAGGTTTATGTTGTGACTACAGCAGAAACAGGGAGACTAATTTCTTGGTAGTTCCTGCACAAGTCCTGAGGGTCATTCTGAATGATCCCAGTTTCAATGTGTAGCATGTTTAGTTCTCAACCAGTCAACATGTGTAGGGGCTAGAATTCACTGTTTGGCCTAGATTGCTCCTTTCCCTGGGGAGCTGGGGTGGAGGCGGCACTTTAAAGGCAGAGACTGAGAATGGGGAGGGGTGAAATTGCAAATCAAGAGTACACAGACAGTTAGGAAAAATAGGGTGAGTGGGTGCTGGCTGGCAGAAACCGACCTGCAAAGCCTTTCATTCACATCCCTTGCATTGCCTGCCTCTCTGCCTGGCATCCTCATTGTCTTGCTGGGCTGCTCCTCAGATGGGCAATCCTCTCTCCTCACCAGCATCTCTTTGTTTATGCTTTTTTTTCTGCCCTCATTTTTCACCCTTTCCATCTGAACCCTTCTGTACCCTTTGGCCTATTTCAAACTTTCCTGAACTGAGGAAGCCTTCTGAACTGCCTGGTCCATGGGTGGCTTCCTTCTGTGCTATGGACTCCTGCCTTCTCTTTTGTGGTGCCCCATTGAGGGAAGTTGGCCCATTGGATAGTTTCCATGAAGTAGGAATAAATGTGCAAAATTCACGTGTTTGGCATTTGGGGCTTTTGGTGAAGGGTTGTTGAAAATCACTGCAGCAAAGGATGTAGGTAAAACCAACACTGTGTGAGTAGGAACAAAAAAAGATCATGGAGTCTTAATAGACTTTGAATATAGTGTAATGAGAAGTTTGGTGTGGTTCTCACAGCTTCCCAAGTGGGATGAGAAAAAATGGAGCATTTTAGGCTGAGAGACTGTCCTTTTGCTCTTTTCCTGGTTAGTTAGAACTTTCTTGGAGCCTAGTCCCTAGTTGAGCCACTACACTTGAAAAATATGTGTTAATTCCTAGCATCTGCCTCAATCTATCATTTTATAGATCAGGAACCTGAGATCCCAAGTGGCTGAATTACTGCCCCAGGGTCAGGCAGTGAGTTTGGGGCACAGCTAGAAGTGAAGACCCTACCTGATGCTCTGCCTAGCGCTATTTCCATTCTCTGCAGTTGGCCGGGAGTGACTGGCAAGGATGGAGGATGGAGAATGGCCCTTTGAGGGACACTTGGGGATTGAAGGAGGCTGCAGGCCAGGGAAGGGGTCTAATGGTGCTTCCTGGAGATGCTCAGTGAAGTCCTGGGCATGTATGGGCACCAAATCAGGGCATAGACACCTGGATTGGTTTGGTGATGCTTCTCAAGTATGAGAAGTTCCTAGTTAAAAAGATGCCACCCCAAGATTTCCTGTATCTGCAGGGTCCCGTCCCTGGACGTGATAAAGGAGGAGGTCTGAGTGGCTGAGACATGAGCTGGAGGAAGCTGGCAGGGTTGGGGCCTTCTGATCACCCAGGTCATACCCTATTTTGGGGAATGCTAACCAATTCCTGGGGCTCCTTCCTTCTCTGAGTAGATGAAGTACTGCTGTATAAATGCACTGTTTCT
This sequence comes from Homo sapiens, assembly GCF_000001405.40. Lineage (NCBI taxonomy): Eukaryota > Metazoa > Chordata > Mammalia > Primates > Hominidae > Homo > Homo sapiens. Next base: position 134,829,079 of record NC_000003.12, read on the forward strand.
CAGACATGATTTGAATAAAAGGAAAACTCTCATATGGAGTGTGCTATTTTTAAGAGATACAAGTTAAGGAATAAAATTCTGTGAGACACACAATTATTTAGCTGTCTTTGTTTAGCAACATTCTTTTAATTAACCACCACTAGCATCTATTGAGATGCTGGGCAAGTGTGCTCTGCTCCAGGCTTGTTTTGGAGGGAAAAAAATAAATTCATGTTTTCAACCCAAATCATGAGAGTTTCCTCTCCAAGGTAAGACTTTGGGGGTGGGGGTGGTTGAGTGGAGGACTCTCTTTGTCCTGGGGCCGTGAGGACCTATCAGGAGAAGGCAACTCAGTACCTCTCAAAAGCTGTTTGCTGGTGGGCTTTTAGAACCCTGCGTCTCTGAGAAGGCATCCCCTCAATAATGCTTTCCTCCCCTGCACACCTTCCCTTCAATCCTTCTTAGAGCTTCTTTCTGTTTATCTTTGCAAAAAACTTTTAATTTTGAAATAATTTCAGACCTAGAGAAAAGTTTTAAGTATATTACAAACAACTCCAGTATATTCTTATTAAATATTGACTTGTGTCCCCCTAAAAAGGTATGTTAAAATCTTAATCCCCAGAACTTCAGAACGTGCCCTTATTTGGAAATAGGGTCTGTGCAGAATAAGCAGTTAAATTAAGATGAGGTCATACTGGAATAGGATAGGTCCCTATTCCAGCATGACTGGTGTCCTTATAAAAATGGGAAATTTGGACGCAGACATGCACACAGGGAGTGCGCCATGAGAACATGACAGCAGAGATCAGAGTGATGTGTCTGTGAGCCAAAGAACACCAAAGATTGCCAGCAAACCATCAGAAGCTAGAAGAGAGGCCTGGAACAGATTCTGCCTCACAGCCCTCAGAAAGAACCAACCCTGCCAACACCGTGATTTCAGATTTCTGCCTCCAGAACTGTGAGATAAGTCTCTGTTGTGAAAGTCACCAGTTGGTGGTACTTTGTTACAGCAGCCCCAGGAAGCTAATACAGCCCTTCACCTGCATTTCTCCAGTGTTAGCATTTTACCACGTTGTGCTCATTCCTCCCCTGCACACATATGTGCCATATATACATGTAATTGTTCTTTTCAGAATCGATTGACAATAAGTTGCAGACATATGCCCATTTACTCCTAATTACTTCAGTGTCTGTTTCCTAAAAGCAGTAAAAACTCTTACCTAGCCACAGTACAATAATCAAAATCAGGGAATTAACACACATACAATATTATTATAGTGCTATCTCACCTGTAGCATGCCATATTTCACTAATTTTCCTATTGCCTTTATTGCAAAATGATATTTCTTCTGATCTCTTTTATCTTTAAAATATTTTCAATTAAAATTTTAATTTTTATTAACATACATGCACATTGTCCTGAGGATGGTGGGGGAGTTTTGCAGGGAGCTTTGGGGAATTTTGATCTGGAGATGGGGGTCTGGGCCGAGGAGCATGGCAGGTGAGGGAAGCACTCAGAGAAAGGCAGCATGGTTGAAGCCACTAGCAAAAAGCATGAGCTTTCCTTGGAAGGGGGTGCTTATTATTATTTTTCCCTCTCAAAAACGAAACATGTGTAGGAGAGTGTTCTGGGAGTCCTTGGCAGGCTGATGGGCATGACCGTGTTCAAGGGTTCCCTTCTGGCCTGACCTCTGCCTGGCCTTGGGCCGCAGATGCAACCTTGCCCTCCCAGCTAGTGTCTGGTGGGCCATAAGATGCTGAAATGCCTTCTGCCCTGGACAGTCTGACATCTTTGTCCTCGATACAAGGGTGCTACAGACTGAGTCAAGAAAGGGTAGAAGCCCTGGATGATGAATGCCAAGTGGAAACCTCAGCAAGGGCCTTGAGGAAGGGATTTTAAACTCCTCCTACCCTCCATCAGCTTTCTCTCCATTCTTGAAATGGACAATGACTTCCTACTGTCATGCAAGCTCCCAGGAATATGTAGCTTCTAGCATCTTCCATCTAACCAGAGTGCTTCCCCTAAACCCTTCCAATAAAGAAATTCCAGAATAGTCTCTGGTGAGAAGATGAATCATAAGGGGGCCATTCATTAGTATAACTGAGACCCAGTGTCCTGCCCCTGGCAAATTGCTTCCCAGATTTCTGAAAACACTTGAAAATGTGGCCTCTAACCTGTCCTGGAGCAGAGGAGGGCAGCTGGGAGACCAGGAGTGGGCCCACAGCATTACAGATTCCCACAAAGGGAGCTATGGCCTGTTGAGCAGGACTCTGATCCCACGATTCTAGAACAGCTGCCCAATCCCACAGCTGGGCAGACTTAGGAACCAGCAGATACTCTCGGGCCATGGCCTTTCACACTTTCTCATCCTCACTTTCTCCAGCTTTCTTTCCTCAAGTTCACAAAATTTAGGGACCTTTCTGCCCTGTCTGATTCCAAAAAAGTAATAGAAGTTTGCTTCTGCCTATCCCACCCCTCGGATGCCTCCTCCTTCCCTTCAAACATCTCCATAGAAGTTCCCACAAGCTGCCGCCATGTCCTCAAAGACCTTTTCTCCACTTTGGTTAGGCTGACTCTCGATCCCTTCACTCTCCTAAACATTGCTTCTCTGCACATGGAAAGACAGCTGCTTTCCCTGCCTTCAGGCCACTGTGGCTTGGCCCAGTAGCTTTTTGTCCCGTTTTATAACATTTATTGCCTTTTCCTCTGGTTACAGAAGCAATACGTGCTTCTGAGATTTTCTGATTTCTCAAAGAGGAGATTCTATATTCTTCCTTGGTTCAACCCTATTGAGGGAGAACTGAACCTGTTTGGATATTTCTATGATACGCTTGAGAGAATGTGGGGCTGCTACTCTGAAAAAGAAAAATATCAATGATGCTTTCAGAAATTGTCCAATTGTGCCAACGTCTTGTGAGAGCGGCATTGTTCAGTGTCATGGCAGGGTGGGGTTGCTGGATAAAATACAGGATTGCCAACTAAATCTGAATTCCAAGTAAGCAATAGATACTTTTTAGTTTTAGGTATTTTAAGCACAAAATATTGTGTGGGACACACATTGACATATTGCATGCGGTATTTGAGGCATACTTATTCTAAGAAAATTATTCATTGTTTATCAGGAATTCAAATTTAACTGGGTGTCCTGTTGTTTGTTGGCTTGCTGAATTTGACAACCCAACATCAACATGCAAGACAGAGCTGGTCAGGCTGTAGAGGGCCTTCAACAGGGGTGCACAAGGGCATTTGTGAGTGTAACCAAAAGCCTCACAGAATGGAGCCAAAGCCAGGCTGGGAGCAAGGCAATGGCAAACAGAACTGAGAAGAAATCTGGGACAGATCATGAGGCAACTAAACTTCCAAACCTTCAAGTGAGGTGTCTGAGTCCTTGCACCACCCTGAGACCTGTTCATGGCGGTTGCTCTTCTGTCTTCTGGCTTCAGTCACCCAAGTATCACTGCTATGAGTTCCCCCTTACCCACATACAAACTGTACCATTATTATGTAATATTTTTCCTTAATTCACTGAAAACCTTAAATACCTGTATTTTTAGAAGGAAACTTGATTCCATCATTGTCAATGGAAAACAATCTCACTTATCACAAATTGAAAGTGACAATAAACATATGGACAATGAAGTTGATGTCATCGCACTCTAACTTTTGACTGAGTCTGAAACTGGCTCTCAATTCCTTAAAAATGAAATTAGCAAGTGGTAGAGAAGAGCTGATGATATACAAGTCTCCAGCTGAAACTTTCTGCTGTCATAATCAGAGAACCACAAATAATTGAAAAGGAGACAACTTTCTAACGCTGCAATTCAGTGTATTTAATGTTGCGTTCAATCACTCACGGTTTATGTGATTCTCACTTTTAGGAGGTACTGGTATTGGTTAGGTCTTAGCAATGACCAGTAATGCTGTTTTTTAAAAAGTGCTTTATAAATGAATTTTTTTCTGGTTGGAGAAGAAGAGTCTTGAATATTTGCAGGTGGAAGTCTGAGTTTCAGGAGTGCATGCCCTTGGTCACCTGATCCCAGCCCTGTGTGCTCAACTTCAGGGATAATGTCCTAGAGACCATGAGTCAACATCAGGCAAAAGCCATCCTGGGGTCCCATGGGACTCTCAGCGCCCCCATAAGTGAGGACTTAGGGACAAATCCACCTAGACTCCTTAGCTTTGGTCTGCCGGGGGTGCAACACTGACCCTGTGACCCTGCCCCCGTCCCCAGGCCCTCTGCTTTGATGGGAAAGACTGCCCAGGATAGAGTGTGCTGGATGAACTCATGTTCTTGTCATTAGGACTGTGAGTGGGTGAGCTGTGTCCCCAACAGGCCAGGCAGCACTTGGAACACAATTTTCCCATGGAAACAATGTACTAAAGGGTGGTTAGGTTTTATGGCGTGATTGGTTCAGGATAGTAAACTTTCATTGAGCACCTAATATGTTCCAGGCACTGTGCTGGGACTACAAAATGTGTAAAGCATTGTTTCAGGCTAAATGGAGTTCAGTCTCTTGGGAGATAAGAGCAGAGAGCAAATGAGCAGATGATGACAATTCAGTGTGATGGGTGCCAGGACTGAAGGAGGCAGAGTATGCTGTGGGGCCCCAGGGTGGGGACTGGCCAGGCCTGAGGGTGTCTAGAGGAGCTGCCTGTGAGGCTGAGTCTCCAGGCATGAGGAGGTGAAGAGCAGGGATGAAGGATAAAGGGCGTGCCTGGCAAGTAACCAGCCAACAGAAGGGCAGAGGGTCACCCAGCATGGTGTGTGCTGAGATTCTACTGTCTGCCCTGTATTTCTGGAGCACCATGTGCTGTTAGGGGCGTGGGCTGAGTTGAGTATAGAGGAATAAGCAGAGATAGTTACGGAGGCCCCCAGAGCGTGATAAGAGGATGGTTTCTCAACCTTAGGCAGGGGAACCACTAAAGGGTTTTAGGCAAATTTACCTGTAAGAAAGCTGCCCTGACACTTGGGTGGTGGAGGGGAGGCAGCTAAGATGGGGTGTGGTGGAAAAAAAGACTAACTAGACCAACTAGAGAGCAGGGAGGAAGACTATCTAGGCAGGAGATGAGAAGGTCCAGGGACCAGGGGGATTTTGAAACTCCCTGGAATGCAAGCCCATAACAAGGACCTTGATCTGTTTTGTTCAGACATATCCCAAATGCTTAGAATAGAGCCTGGTAAACAGTAAGTGATAAATACATATTTGTTGCAGGAGAGGTCAGATTGAGGGGAGATTTCAGGAGTGCAGCAGTTTGGAGATCAAACGCACATGTGATCTTCTGATCTGGATTCCTAACTCTCCCCTCTAGTAGACCTCCAGAGTTAAGAAAAATTGTTACCCCTCACACAAAACAAACTCCTGACTCTGGATAGTCTTTTGGAATATGACTGCTGGCTGTTTGGTCTTGTCTGCAGTGTGACATCACAGCTGGGTGTCATCCCCAGGGGCCACCCTTGGGTCTTTTGTGGGACTCATGTTGGCCAGCCCAAGTTCCTGTTGCTTGGTCCTTATCAAAGACAGAACAATGCTTTGACATCTTTTTATGTTCAGGACATGGCCCCCTCCAGCTACTTCTTAGATGACCCTATGATCCTGTGGCTCATACCCCTCGTTGGTGGTTGGCTTGTAATCCATAAGTTGAGGACATCCAGGTGAAGGTCTCCTGGCCATCAGAACAGTGTTGGCTGTCACCGGCAGATGAATATGAGCAGCTATGCCATCAGAATCTGTGATTAATAGACATAATCTCCACCAGAGCATTAATTTTGGGCATAATCAAAGCCTGCTGAATTATTTCAGTGTCAGACCTTGACAGAGAAGTCAGCCTGGGATTAGCATTTTGATTTAAAGTTCAATGGGTAGTATTTATCTTTATTTCTGTCACCTATGAGTGATTGACTGTCTGTCCTGGAAAATAAAAACAAATGCTACTTCCTCAGTCAAGTGAACAGGGGGTAATTTAGAGGCGCACTCTCATGGTTGGCTGGACCTGTGGTGTAATGGGTTGGCAGTCTCTCTTTCTTGGCTTCCACAAGGCATCTGGGAATCAGGTTCTCAATTCTGTCAGAGGCCAGGTAACTGCAGGAGTAGCTGTGTTAACATCTGAGCAGGTGTGTCACTCCTAATTGTAGTGCTTTAGCAGAGCTGTTGCCTGAGGTGAGAAATGCTGGCATGCACCATTGGAGGTGGTGGAAACTCCAGAGAAACAAGTTCCATCCCAGTGGGACTGGAGTCAGAACACTGGAGACCCCTTGCCTGCCTTGAGCTGGACAGCATTTAATGGTAGTAGATTCTGTATTCCAGCCCACGTGATTGCTACTTTCAGCCCTGTGGAGGGGTTGGTAGTGAGGAACACAGGCATATGCACATGTGAACATGACATTTACTGATGTGGATGGTGCATCCAGGCATGGTGCCAGTGCCTTTACTTGCATTGTTTTGAATCTTGACCACAACCCTGCTCCCCCAGTTATAGGTAAGGACCTGGAAGCCCAGAGAGGTGAAGTGATTTGCTTCAAGGCAAGTTAAAAAAGCAGGAGCCAAGATTCCAGCCCAGAGCAGTCTGGCTCCAAAGCCTATTCCAGCATCTGATTTATCAAGCCAGGTGGGACATACATTGGAGTTGGCAGTGAGAGGAAAGACCCCTGATCCTTGAGGGTGTCTCTGTGAAGGGAATAGCCTGAGTGGGGAGGAGGAGGTCTGGGGAAGTGAGCAGAAAAGGGGTGTCAAGATTTCTGGGGCTCCAAGGGCTCCATTCATTCTTGACCCCACATTGTCATTTCCTTCACCAGTACCCCAGGGCTCCTGTTTCCCTGCCCTGTGGGGTCCTTTGGTCATAGATTGGAGGCTTCAGGCATGGGAGCTCATTTGGTCCAAACATAGAAATGACTGGCACACTACCAAGAGTCAGCAAGCTTCTTCATAAATAAGGTTTTAGTGAAAGGCTGTATCACAGTCAGTAGTTTGTGCCTTCTGTGGACACTCCATTTGACGGCAGAAGTGAAGGCAAAGGGTATCTGGAGAGAGGGAGAGGATGGGCCCTCCCTCATGGAGAGCTATCCATGGGGCATCTGGCTGGGCACAGCCATCCAGTCCCATGAGGCCACAGTGGACACACTGAGCATCCCTTCAAGGCACAATTAGATTCCAGTATTCTCAGACTGATTTGACAGCAACAGTCAATGCAAGGCATGATTTAAACACCTATTATACTCAGTTTTCTCAATTAAAAAATTAAGTTTAATAATGGATTTAAACTCCTTGTTTTCCATAAATCAGATGCAGTTTTTGCTTTAAAAGATGCATTTAAAGAATTGCTTAATTTTCTAGTTTTAATTTTGCACCTGAAAATATAGTAATCTTTTAGGAATTTAATGTATTAACGCAAATTGAAGCAGATATTTATAAATTAAGAGGCCAAACCATCTTCAATGTAACAAGTATATATGACGTGATATATACTTTGGTGAAGTTTTAAAAACTACACTTCATTAGGTAAATAACGGATAACAGAAATAATAGACACTTAAATTATTGTAACTGGTTAAAATCACATATTCATATATTATGAATATTTACATTCAACAGAAGCACATTTTAACAAATGCACTGTTAGTATTTTAGTTATAGATGTGATACACAGGCTCTATAAATTAACAACAAATACAAATCAGCTTAAATGTAATCAAGATAGGAAACTTAAGGTCTTTCATTATGCAGCTACTTTGACATTTACTTTCTTCTTCCTGTTAATTCATTGACCGGAAAAGAAATAGGAGCTCCCCTGCTTTTTTAATTCCCTAGTGATTAATCTGGAATAAGTTTGTCTAAAGAAAGGAGACGTTGTTTTTCTGTCAATAGAATAGACTACTATTATTGGTTTTCATTTTAATATTCTGATAAGTTTAGATAAGTGACTTTAGTTGACTTGGATGACATTTTAAAATTATGCATCAGCAAATATCCATCTCTTAACATGTTCACTCTCAGCTTTGACACATGGAGTTGATATTGTAAAAGGATGATAGCTAGTCATTCATGCGGTTGGCTGCCAAGATGTCCCCTGCAGTTAAAGACTGATCCTCGCCCAGCTCTGGAGAATACGAGCAACCAGTGCATCAGGTGCATATTGGGACCTATTTGTAAATCTTCTCTTTAAAATATTAAAATAATCTAATCTTTTAAGCATTACATAACTAAAAGGTATACCCTCTATTCCATGATTTTATCTTGAAACTTCAGCTTATCTATTTGGTTACAAAAAAACAAGTTAATATTTTTTAAGTTGAAATTAATTTTAAACATGGATGTCTTAAAATCCAGTTTATTGTCAAAGAATCCTTGATTGTCATCCTGCTGGGTTCACATGGATGCAGAATTTGTTTCTAGAAACTCTAGGATAACCATCAGATGGTTCCCATTGAGTCCAGGATGCTTTGCAAAATGCCCTTGTCTGTCCTGGGAGATGGCGGGGAGGGGGCAACTACACCTTGTTGGTGCAGGGAAGGGGTAGGGCTGGTGAGACTGGGTGCCCTCTGGGCTGCACCCTAGTAGGGAGAAGAAAGGCATACTTAGCTGGGGGCTTCTTTAGGCCTTGCTTTCTTGCTCATATCTAGAAAGGCATGGTTTGCCAAAAGAACGAAGTCCAAAAGAATGCTCTGCTCTGGCCCTCAGATATTGAACATCAGCCAATATGAGAGAGCTAGGTGTTTGGGGGCTATTTGGTGGAATTTTTAACAGTTTCTATGCAAGGAAAATTTAAAAAGAAGGTGAGGAGAATGAGTGGCCTCATTCATGCAATTTCTTTCAAGATGCACTCTAGATAAGCAGTCATACCTCCTGTCTCTGACCCCAGAGCAGGCACTGGACATTACGTAGCCATAGAGAAAGAAGAGACAGTACCTGGATGGACCTTATGAATAGGCAGGGGGTGAGGGCAGGAGTATGAGAAGTGCAGAACAGGAGTGCTGCCTGGGTGGGCTCAGCTCCAGGATTATGTGGGAGGCTGTAGGGAATCATGGGTCTTGGGCCATGCCCAAGCCCCCAACACACTCATGCCCCATGGATTGTCAGGCTTCTCATTGCATAGAAATGTAACAAGCCTTCTGAGATTCTGGTCTGGGTGCAGTTGTCATCACCCAGAGGATCAGGCAGATGCAACAGAAAAAGATGTAAGATTCATGTTAGTTGAGGTCATGGGGGCCCTAAGAGATAATTTAATCTGTCATCCTCTTCTGCAGGAGTAGAAGGAACACTGAGGCACAGGAAAATTTGCTGATCTGGTCAAAGTCTCATGGTGTATTAGAAGCAGAGCCAAGAGGAAACCTTGGCTTCTTGATTTCCTGTTCTAGCATTTTCTCCCTTCACAGCTTCCCTGGGCTTATTTTGCCTCTTAGGACATCTCCCAAATGTCTTCCCCACGGATTCTCCTAACAGTTTATACTAAAATTTTATCATCCTGTGGGTCAGTCACTTCTTCCTAGTATCTGTCATCTCTTATGCTCAAATTTAAAACCACATTCTCTCATGCTATGCTCAAAATCATGGGAGAATAATTGCTTAGCACCCTTCTCTTAAAAAAATCCTTCACTTAATAGAATATTATAATCAATCACGTGTAGCCTTTATTGCTCTTTGAAAATTAATATCTGGAAAATAAATGGGTGTATCTGGATCTATTAATAAGACAAATCATGTCTTAAGTTTGGTGATGAGCTCAGAGCAGCCACCGCCACCTGGTGGCAGTGTACCCTAATTACAAGAAAAGTAAATAAAGAGACTGCTTTCCAGAATGCAACTTTGGAGCTAGAAAATGGAGGCAAACCTTCTACCCCTAGGCAGATCCAAATAAAAGCATCAAGAACAAAATAATTAGAAGCAGTCTGTAACATGTTCAAGTAAATTATTTCTTTTCTACTATATATTCATTAATTCATCAATTAATATTCAGGTAAAAGAACAAATATTTGTACACGACTGCCTACTATGTGCTAGGCATTGTATCAAGCGTTTTATATATGTTACCTCATTTGATTCTCAATATACGACACAAAATATTGTTTCTATTTTACACATGCAGGGAAGTTAACAGGGAAATCCACATGGTCAGGATGTGAAAGCAACTGTTCAGGCCAAGGACCAGACTTGTCTTTCTTCCCTCACTGCCTCCTAATTCTGCAGAGTCCTAAGTGTGCATAGTAACTGTGCTCAGCAGACACATCCCTGCCCCTTACCGTGCTTGTTACTGGCTGCTGCTTATTTCCATGTAGTTGTTAGATGACTAATCTGAGCTTCACCTGGACTTTTAGAGTCTGTTCCTTTGTTCCTTTGTTGTTGGAGGTTCTGGCTATGTTATCTTTCACTGCTGTGAGATGGTCATGGAAGAAAGCAAATCCTAGGGAGGGAAATTTGAGTTTGACAGGAGCTAAGCTGCCTCAGGTTAAAAGGCAGAGGGGTAGGCATGTCCTGAAAGCGCCTCTGCCCTTGGTCACCGAGAAGGCCCTGCTGTGCCATGCCTCAGGCACAGGACTGAGAGCGCCCAATTCTGCACCCCAGACTGAGTCATGACCTCCTGCCAGGCTGACTCTGACTGGAGTGAGAGAGGGGCAGTGCCCTGGGATAGGGTCTGGCATAAGACAGGACAGTGGTGAGTAATGGGGGATGGATCTCAGACACATGCTGAGTGTTTTCCAGGTCCCCTATTAGGAAGCCCAACTGCATAGATGATGGTACCTTTTTGGGTGGGGAGTGGAAAAGTTTCTAGGTGATTCTGCTGCATGCCCCAGAGGTACCATTTGTTTAATAAACAAGTGAAAGGCTGAATGTGACTTGATGAGGATTTGCTCAGGATGGGCCAGGACTGAGACCCCCTAAAGGAGTCCCTGAGACCCTGGGGCATCCCACAATGAGGTCCTGGGACAGGAGTAGGGAGCTAGCATTTATTTATGGGGACACATTATTCCACTGCCTCCTGGTAAGAAATCTCTTTTTTTCTACACTCCCCTCCACTTGGCACCTCCGTTAGTGATCAACTTGTATTCCTCCTTGAATCAGCTATTTCTATGCATCCTTCTGTCTCCCCAGGCAGCACACATCACTATGGCACAGGGCCCAGGGCTTACTTCCTCTTTCCCCATAGTGCCTGGCCCAGGGCTTTGCCTGTAGTAGACAATGTTAATGTTTGTGGTTGACCTACAGAAGGTGCTCTAGACCCAGATGCCTACTGGGGGCCCATAGGTTTCATAACCAGGTGAGGTTGCCTGGTGGGGACCCTGTGAATAGGTGAACTCCTGCCCCATCTAGATATATGGGCATTGCCTCATCTTCTGGATTTTCACTGGATAAAAATCCCCAATTTTTAAATGATGACAAAAATGCATTTTTTTTTCTTTTACAGCTCTGTATCGGCCAAATAAAATCAATCTGGCTCTCAGATGCATTGGAAACTTCAAATTAAAGCAGGACAAATAGCCTAAGTATGCCCTAATCCTTTAAAAATAGTTTCTCAGTGCCCATACCTAATTATATAGCTCTTGGCAATTGAACTGTCTTTCAAAGAAGTGAGTATGTAATAGCACCCACTTCATAAGAAAGAAAATTTTATGAAGTTGTTTGAGTCAGAACCACAATCCTAATAAAATGTATTTTATGAAGTTGGTGAGAATGTTGCAATCTGGGTGCCGTTTTACAGAGCACAGAACTGGTACACATTGTAAATATGAGGTCTCTGACTGGCCCTCAGCCTCTCTTTTGGTGACAGGTGTGACAACTCCTCCCTTTAAGAGTTTCCTGGGAAGCTTCCAGCACAGGGTGGGATTTAGTGACCTGGCTGCGATAACCCTCCAGCTCACTTCTGGATTGGCTCATCGCTGTTAACAGCAGTCTCCAGCCGGTCACTTAACAATGCAGGTGTTATTAAGAAGGGTGGGTTTTGCACCACAATGCCTGCCCTATCTTGGGACTTCTTCTGGGGTATGGGCCCCTTCCCTGGTTTCCCTCCTTCTCAGAGCCCCCTTCCTCAGCTACATCTACCCTTATTCCACCAGGAGAAGCTGTGTGTGTCAAGAAGTGGGCACTGAGTGATGCTGCTGTGGGACTGGTGGCTTCTACCACTTCCAGGGAGTTTTCCTGGTTTCCAGGAAAAGCTCTGATGTGGGTGGCAGGCAGTAGCCAGGACATCTCTAGAGCCTAGGTTAGATGCTCTGCCTGTCCCAGCCATGTTCAGACCCAGCCAGGAAGCCTTAGAGGAACAGGGCTTCCCATACCAGGGCCCTTGTTCAACCTGCTGCTCATGCTGCTGGTGTCACTGTTGTCCCTCAAAGGCTTATGTCCTGTCACTCTGTATGTGGGACAGGTGGGAGGTCTCCAGGTTGCTCACCACTGAACACTGCTGAGCTCAGGTATTTTGCTTTCTAGGGAGGCTTCACAAGGATGGAGGCAGTAGGATGAGAGATTCCTGAAAGGAGGCAGGGATGACTACATCATAAAAAGGTTTCCTCTATTTATTTCACTGATGTATTTGATTTAAAAGCTGACTCTTTGGAGTGAACACCCTCTCACTCAAAAGAGCTGACTGAAACTATGAGAAGAGTGTGAATGTTGAATTAGGCTCACAATCATTTGAATCCTGCTTTGGCTTAACTCTCTGCATAACCTTAAGGAAACGTGTCCTCAGTTTCCCTCCCTGTAAAATAGGTTTAATAAAATATTCCTTTCCAGCCTAAATGAGGGAACTTGGGGTGATTGGTATAGTGTCTGGCATAGTCTGGATTTAAATTCTCTTATTTCTTTATTCATAAGCGTTGTTTGCCACTTAATGATATTCCCCTTTGTTTTTTCCTGGCTGAACTCATTTCCAAAGAGTTTGAGAGCTGGGGAAAGGATAAAAGTAAGGGGACATCATAGACATCCCCACACATTGTTGCAGTGGTGCTGTAGTCTGATTGTGATCCCCCGAAATTCATATGCTTATGACTTAACCTCAAAGGTGATGGTAGTAATAGCTGGGGCCTTTGGGAGGTAGTTAAGTCAGTCATGACAGTGGCCCCTTCATGAATGGGATTAGTACCTTATAAAAGAGACCCCAGAGAGCTAACTTGCTCCTTCCACCATATGAGGACACATGGAGAAGTTGCTGTCTATGAATCAGAAAGTGGGTCCTCACCAGTCTCCAAATCTGCTGGTGCCTTGATCTTGGACTTCTCAGCCTCGAGAACTGTGAGACATAAATTTCTGTTGTTTATAAGCTACCTATTCTATAGTATTTTGTTATAGCAGCCCAAACAGATAAAGACAGTTGGGCTCCTAGGAGACCTCCTTTACACCAGCCTCACCCCCTTCACTCTTCTGTGCTAATGCCATCAGAGCCCTGTTCATCCAGTACCTACTCCATCCTGGGCCTGTGCCATTCCAATGCCTGCAGTCAGAAGATCCTTCCTGAGGCACCCATTAGAAAAACTAATTCTTCTAATTAAAAACAAAACCCAAAATCCCTCTAAGTTCCCTTTAATTGGGTAAAACCCAGTCCTATTTCCTTAGCTTGGCTTTCCGTGGGCCTCCTTAGCTACCTACAACTGACTTTTCTAACCTTTTCTATCACCAAGTAAAGTAAGACAACTTGCTCTTCTTCAAACATGTCTTTCCCATCTCCACACCTTTGATTGTTCAATTCTCTTTGCCTGGAGTGCTTTTCCCACTGTTTCCATCTTTTAATATCCCACACAGCTTTAATGAATGGGACGGTTCAAGTGGCTTCTCCCCCATGAAGCATGTCCTTACCCCTCCTTTGTGCTATTAATGATGGATTTATTACACTGATATATGATATAAACTCAACAATACGGTGTTATTAGTTTATATAATTGTATTACTTTTAAGGAAGTTAGAGAAGAATAGACTGTTCATATATTTACCATTTCCAGTGCTTTTCATTTTTTTTCCTGTGTTTTCAAGTTACCTTCTGGTGTCATTTCTTTTCATCTTGAATAACATTCTTTAGTATTTGTTTGTATTTTATGCAGATTTGCTGGTGACAAATTTTCTGGCTTTGGTTGTCTAGGAATGTTTTTATTTTTTCTTCATTTTTATAGGATAGTTTCACTGTGTATAGAATTCTTGGTTGATAGTTTGTTTCTTTTAGCACTTTGAATATCATTCCATTACCTTTGGGCCTCCATTGTTTCCGAAAAGAAGTCATATTAATCACATTGATGTTTCTCTGTATGTTATTTTCTTTTCTTTTGTGGCATTGAAAATGTTGTCTTTGTCTTTAAACATTTGACTATGATGTATCTAGTTGGGAATCTCCTCGTATTACCCTAGTTGGAGTTCATTGGGATTTTTGGACTTGTGCAGATTGATGTTTCTCATTAAATTTGAACTGTTTTAAACCATTATTTTTCAAATGTTTTTCTTTCCCCTTTTCTCTTTCCTATCTGGAAGTTTTTTTATCACATGTATGTTGATGTGTTTGATGTTAATCAATGGATTTCTGAGGTTCTGTTGCCTTTTACTTTAATCTTCTTCTCTGTTCTTTGGACATGATAATTTCCATTGATCTATCTTCAAATTCATTGATTTTTTTTCTCTTCAATCTTGAATTTTCTGTTGAGCTCCTCTAGTGATTTTTTTATTTCAGTTATTGTTCTTTTCAACTCCATAATTTACATTTAGTTTTAAAAATAATTTCTGTCTTTTAAGAGATGATCTCTATTTTTCTGTTCCTTATTGTTATACTTTCTCTAGTTATTTAAAAGTGGTTTTATTTAGGTTTTTGAGCATATTTATAAGAGCTACTTTGAAGTTTTTGTCTGCTGTATCTAATATCTGAGGGCTCATAGATAGTTTCTATTGATTGCTTTCTTTCTTGAGTATGAATTATGCTTTCTTGTTTCTTTGGATGTGTCATAATTTTCTGTTGAAAATGGGACATTTTAGATAATGTATTATAGCAACTCTGAGTGTTATTTTTTCCCCTGAATGATGATGTTGTTACTGGTTTGTTTGTTTGTTGGTTGAGTAACTTGCCTGGGCTAATCTGTGAAATATGTCTTCTCTATGGTATATGACCACTTTTGTGTTGGTTCAGATTTTAGCTTTAATTTTTGTTTTTATTTTTATGTCTTGCTTCTTAGAGGTCTGTGTGGGTTAACGGTCTGCCAATGATTAGACAGAGGTTGTGTTCAAGCACCTTGAGCCTCAAGACTTGCATTCTCTGCCATTGGATCTGTGTGTAGGTAGGAAAGCACATTCAAAATTCAGGTCATTTTGAAGTCTGCTCTGGCTTTGGCTTTCCAGTGGGATCTTCCACCTGTTCTATAAGCAAGCGTAGCCTTAGGGCTGGCCAGGAGTGTGTGGCTATGTTGGCTCCTCTCTGGACTTAATTGGGTATGTGCACATCCTCAGCCAAGTATACACTTGCCCCAGTCATGCCATGGTCTCACCTGCTGAGCACATCACTTCTACTGATACTGCTGCCGGATATGGCATAACCAACCACTCCAAATCAAGTGAGTTCCCTTTGACCCACAGCTTTGATGATCTTCATGTTGTTTCCTTCCCTAGCAGGACCTTCATATCAGCAGAGCTCAGGGGAGGGTGAGGAGGAGGGTGCTTTCCTAGGCAAGAATGCCACAGGTACCCACTATTCTTACTCAAACTCCCGTCTTTGATACATAAATACTTCTCAGATTGTTGAACATCTTTGGTTAATTTCCAGGATGCTGAGATGATTGTTTTTGTCATTTTTGCTCATTTCTGCTTTTTTCAAAGAGAGTTTGCCTGCCTCCTCCCTCTGCTCTAGCCACAAGTCTCTACCAGTTTGCATGTGTTTTGATGTGACGGACTTTTCCTGGCTGTGGAGTCCCTGGAGAGCCTGAGTTTCCTCCCCTACTTACCAAAGAGTTCCACCTGAATCCACTTCAGATTTGTCTGTGAATCTTCAATGCATGACATGATGCCTGGCACCAAGCAGGTGCCCAACAAATGTTTATTGCACTCATAATCTGAAAAATGACTGACAGAGAGTGCTCTACATTTGGATACTGGATGTGGAGTATTCTACAGACCTGGCTTTGGGTCAGTAGAATGCTATTGATCCTTAGTTTCTCATTTGTAAAATGTCAAAAATAAAACTCAATTCTTGGAGTAGTTGTGTGACTGAAATAAGATGCAGAAACCATCTAGAACAATACTTGTCATGGAGTAGTTTTTTTGTAACTATTAATTTCATTTCTTTCCATAAGATGTGGGATTGATGAAGATAATATGCCTTGGGTGATCTGGCTTATTCATCCATTCAACCAGCTGTCCATCTACCCATCCATCTTGCTGCAGATGCAGAGATAAATAAAATAAGATTGTATTCTGGAGAAACACATCTAGTGGCAAAGACAGGCATAAAAAATAACTTGCAAAGCTGTGGGCAATAGCTACAACTGGTATGAGTGAAGAAGTGCAGGCTCCGAGGCCAGAAGAGTGACATTTGGCAGAGGGATCTGCTGTCCATGCCTCTTTGCCGTGGCTTCGAGGTCTCTGATCCAGGGCAGAGAGTCAGGCGTGCAGAGAGACCAGACCACCCAGCCACATTCTGCATCCCACAGAATTCTTGTGTGAGGAGATATCCCAGCAGACCTTAGGCAGTAACGGTTATATACATGCTCACATTGCCTCTCTAGGAGGTATAATTTTATTTTTCCTGCCACTATCATTTTACCCACTGTTTTGCCCCAAAGCACTCACATGTCACAGTATTTCTGTGGAGTTGAGGAGCATCTAACAAGCTCTCCTTCCATTTTTCACAGAGGATGCACCCTGCCCTCTCTTAGGGAACTTGAACTACCCACACAATACCCCTCTGGCCCCTCTGCTTACACACACAGACACATGCTGGGAGGTGGAGGTTTTTTGTGCCCAGATCAAAGAGGTCTCATGATCATTTCTTTTCACGACTGCAGAGGGTCTTCTAAGGTGGTCACACCTTTGGGGAAGTGGGGCTGCCAGCCTGTGCTTGGGAGTTGCATCTCCTCTGATCAGTATGGTGTTGCATCCTTCAGGCACTGCCTCTCCTTGGAGGCCCAGGGGACAGGAGAGTGAGGAACAGTACACAAGTTTTCTCTGTGTGTTCACCAGGCACTAGGGCTTCTTGCTGTGTGTTAAGCCAGCAGCAATTTTTCTTTGCAAATACAGACCCATTTTAGAAGTTGAGTGCTCGGTGTTGTGGCCGAACAGAAGCCAATTATGAAGTGGTTCATTGCTTGCACGTTGCAATCTGCCGGGGCAGGGCTCCGAGGCCCCATTTGGAGGAATGTTAGTGCAGCCCAGTGGAGCCCAGGTTGCCCATAATGCTGCCTTTGCGATACCTTCCAAGCCTTGCATTATTCCCTCCACGCACATCAGCAAGAGCATCGCGTGGGTGCTCCTTTGCTTGCCCTGGGAATTTTATAGCCCAAATTTACTATTCATTATTGTTTCCAAAGTACATCTTGTGTGATGCCTGTTCGGTGGTAAAATGGCTTTTCCCCCTTCTTCTCCACGGAGTTGCTTCAAAATCTGCTCCTGCCTGAGGGTGGGGGAATGGTCCTCTTCACGAAAGTCTTTGCAGAGGGGATGGAAGCCTTGCTCACCTTTGCAGGAGGTGTTTTGGGAAGGAAAGGCATGGGGGCAGGGCAGAGCAGGCAGGCTGAGTGCTCTGGTGGGATGCTCAGGTGGGATGGACCCTGGTCCATCATTGAGGTTGAAACGGAAACCTCTGGGTATTTACCCAGCGAAGTCACCTGGATAAGGAATGGGCCGGGAGGGTCATGTGATGGGAGTCAAGGCAAAAACAAAAGAATCCATTTATTATCCTGGCAGGAAATTTGTTCTTTTGGATTCTGTAGCTGCAGACAGAATGATTTCATTTCCTTCGGTGGCGGGAGATTAATAGCCCTTACCCCTGGGCCTCTGTGGATTGCTGTTTCCTCCATTTCCCTAAGTGTCGTCAACTTTGGTATGCATTCCTTTCTGAGGGGTCAGAGGGTATGCGCCATTTCACGCTGATTAACAGAACGTGGCCTTCCCTGTGGAAGGCTCCAGGATACCCGGAGGTGACTCAGGTTAAAACACACACACATCATGGAAAAAAAAAACCACAAAGAGAGGCTGTTCATAGGAGCCCAGGACTTGGACAGCAGCAGGGCAAGGCGGGGCTCCACCTCCGGCTTCAGATGTAGCCACTCACCCTGAGGCTGGAGGCGTGTGCTAAAGCAGGGAGCCCCAGGAAGACAGCTGGGACTAGGACAGCCACCAGCCTATTAGTTGTGTGTTTGGCACAGGATATTTAAGCTCACTGAGCCTCAGTTTACTCCTCTGTAAAATGTGGACACTCCACCTACTTTACCAGTCCATGGGGAGGATTAAGTGAGATGCTGTGTCTAAGTGCTTTTAAACCAAAGTCCTCTGTGGGAGTGACAGCCACACACAACACACCTTCTGGTGGCTGCAGGGAAGACAATTCCTGATTCCTAATCAGCCTTGTTTGAAGACCACAGTAAGGTGCTGACTAAGTCTGTTGGTCTGCCCCAAGATGAGGACAAGAAGAAGGCAGGAAATGGGAACCAGAAGGTCTTGGCCAGGGTGCATCCTCACGAGTATCACAGAGTCACCCGAGGGAGCTATTTCCACCTGGCTTCAGTGTTCCATATTTTCCAGAGCAGAAATCGCATATGTGGAGTCAGATTCCATGTTTGGATAAGCATAAGTGTTGTGTTTTTAAAAATCAGACCTAAACAATTTTCCCATTGTGGCTGAAGATATCCTGTGCCCTGATACCCTGCCTGGAGACAGCGTTTAGATTGTGTGGTGCTGTGGTTTCTACCCACTGAGCCTTGCACATACTTGGTGCTTAATGGCTATTTGTTCATTAGGAACCTTTAATTAACGAACCTTTGCATTTCAGAGAGATGCAAAGTTGACTAATTTGGGGGCATTTTTGTATTTTCTGATGCCTCAGTTTCCCATCTATGTCTCATCTCCACCCTAGCCCACATTCATAGTGGAGACTAATGAGTCTCTTATGCTCTGCATAAAGAGATGTCAGATTGAATGAAATGAAATGAAACTGGATTAAACTGCAGGGCTGTTGAACACAGGAATGTGTGACTGGGACCAGGGGTTGTCTGCTCCCTGGAGACCCTGGGAATAGAAAGGGGTTATCCAGAGAGGTTGGTTCTGGGACGTCTTCCTGGTGGCAAGGGCATGTCTCCATGAAGCATTGCTAAAAAATAAGTTAAATTTGGATAACAGAGCAATTTTAATAAACATTTTACTTTTAATATGTTTATAGTGTTGTTAATTATCTCTCTAAGTGGAGAAAATAGAAATTGTAGCACATTGAACAAAGATTGCTGATTAGGATAATAAAATGGAAATTTTAATCAAGACGATAACTTTAAGTCAAAGGAGGTTTTCTCTGAGGCTGCTGGAGCTTTCGTCTTTATTAAACACCCCATTTATCATCACTACTTCATTCATCGCAAGCATTAGATTAATATTGACAATTTAAAATAGAAATAACTTTTTATTGCCATTATGGTGCTGGTGTGATAATGGTGCTAGAGACTTTGCGGGAGCCGTTGCAGGCTGTCACGCTTTCTCTCTGCTGTAGTTGGTAGGCAGTCTTCAGCCCAAACCTCAAGGTCCCAGCCACTCAGGGAGGGGATCCGGTAGGGGGAGGGTTTTCCTGCCATCAAGCTTCTTCATGACTTGCAGCCCACTAAATCTTGTATGCTCTTTATTGAGAAAGCAAAAGGCTTTTGGTGGCTTGAGGTTGTTTCTTCAGTGGTAGAACCATGCCCAAAGGCCAGGGGCCTCTATTTTTCAATCCAATACAAGAGCTGTATTTTGAGTATCTGCAGGGTAGTGTGGAGATGCCAAAAGGCAGGCAAGACTCAGCCTTGTCCTGTGAAGATCACACCTACGCACAAGGCGGGAGCCTGAGTTTCAGATGAACAGGAGGGACAGAAGTGCTCCAGAGGTTTAGGGCAGTGGTTCTCAAAGTGTGGTGCTTGGGCCAGCAGCATCAGCACACACACTGGTCATGGAGTTCCACGGCCCTTAACCAGTGGTTCTCAGACTTCAGCATCAGAATCACGTAGAGGGCTTGTTGAAACAGATTGTTGCTCTCCACCTTGAGTTTCCGATTGAGTAGCTTTTGAATGGGGCCTGAAGAACAGCATTCTGAACAAGTTCCCAGGTGATGTTGATGATGCTGGTCTGGAGACCACACTTTGAGAACTACTAATTTAGAGTGAGGAGAGACTGCTAAGAGCAAAGCCAAGAGGACTTCATGGAGAAGAGTCCTTTTGGCTTTTCCAGGGGAAACAGAATCTCATCAAGTAGAGAGGAAGATGAGTGCCCTGGAAGGTAGAGGATCAGAGTCAGAAATGGGAAATTTGGAGGGCATCTGGCCCTGGGAAGAGGGTGTTTGGCTTACGAGCATTTGCAGTTGAGATGGAGGTGGACTGGCACGTGGAGCCTGTAGTTGGAGATGGGGATCTCTATTGCCAACTCTGGAGGGGGTAGTGGCACATGAAAATGCAGCAAGCACCCGAGGACAGAGCTAGGAGATTATGGGTCTGTCCCTAGCATGGGTTCTGTCCCTGGATCAGGAACCATTTGTGCCAGCTAGACAGTGGTACCAGCCCTCGCATGGCTGCCTCTTGAGATGCACTCTAGGCTGGGCCACCCCAGAAAGACCTGTGGGTCGGGGTCTGTTACCCCGTTCTTAGAATCTGGCTTAATTGCTTTTCGCTACATATCTGCCTTTACTGGGCTGGGCTGGGGGGATATGCCTCCTTTAACTCTGCTCCAAGAAGCCTCTTATTGTGGGGAAAAGGACCATCATCCTGGGAAGAGGACCACCACCTGCCCATGTTATGTCTGCTGGGTCTAGCTTTGAGAGTCACCAGCAGCAGGTGGCCTTGACCTTTGGGGTTCCTCTTCCAGGAGTTTCTCAACTGCTTCTGAGGGGCTGTGTACTGTGGCTCCAGGGAAGACAGGGCTGCAGACGAGCAGAGCTGCCTCATCTTTGGAGCGGCTTCTTTCTTCTACCTTCTCCAATCCTCTAGGGCTCCTTAAATGTGCTACATTCCTTTCTTAAAAGGCCTCTTTCTTTTCCTTGATCATAAAATTGCCAAGGAACAATAGCTGTCATTTAAAACAGCAGCTTTAAAGCTCCTTCCCCACCAGTTACTGCCATTGTCATATCTGTTCCACATCAAAGCAGTAGGAGCTCCCCAGAGAGAGAGGAGAGGTGGCCTTAGTTCTTCTCTGTACTGTGGGATGAGCTAGTCTGCTGGTGCTTCTCCACGCCTGACCTCTGGCTGGGTGAGAGCTTCTCTGAGAAAGAGGGATGTTTCCAACCTTGCCCCCTGGGAATTCTCTCCCGGCCTGAGGGAAATGGGGCTTCAAGGCCCACAGGGATGGGGACTTGACCTCACTGACTGTTCACCGTCGGGTGGGGCAGAGGATGGGGAAGTGTGGGGCAGGAAGAGGCCTGTGTCCCAGGCATGTGGTGAGAAGGGGCTATGGGTGAGTCTGGGGGCTAACTTAGGAGTCTTGGTGCGGGCAGTTCATGCCAGCCCCAGAAGGCTTTGGAAATGTGTGCCTGAGCAAGGAGGAGCGGCTGGCATTGCCTGCTCCCATGCTGGCTGTGATTCTTCATTCCCTGTCATTACCCGCTTCACTCTCCATACCCTGGGAGCTCTTGTGGCTACTCTGAGGGCACGAGGGAGGTGCAGACAGTGTCCCCAGGAGCAGGGTCAGCTGGAGCAGATCATTCTAACCTGTTGGTGCAGAGCCAGGGGGGCATTCATCTGCTTCCCCATGGGGGCAGCAGATGCAGCTGGAAGGGAAATTGCATCACAATGGAAGGATGGGCCTTGGCCAGGGCCTGGACCAGGAAAGGCCTTTTTCTCCTCTTCCTGGTTGGACCATTGCCTTCTTTCCTCCTGGACTGAAGATCTGAGTGTGTTTGAAGGGAAAGGTGCTGGTCCTGTGTCCCTCCAGTGTCTGGCTGGGTCCAGCGAAGGGAAAGAAAGGCTGGAGTTCTCAGGGCCAGCAGGCCTTGTCTGGAGGGAGGAATTCAGGCTGCAGAAAGGCAGAGCCCAGCAGGGCACACCTGCCTACTTTATGCTATGCAAGCTTCTCAGGGACAGGTTTCCAAAAGTGACTAGGTCTCTGGAGAAACTCATTTCCAGGCCTCCTTTGGGGTCTTACTGTCAAATCCTTGCAGCCTTTCCTCCCTGATCCCCAGTGCCCTTTGACCCGGATCCCCATCTCCCCTCTCCTCTTTGCACTTCCCCCTCTGCTTTGTCCCCCACTTCCCATTTGCTCCCCTGGGTTTTCCTCCCTTCCTCCATCCCTCCTTCCCCTGCAACTCCCCTTGCAGCTTCCCTTCTTTCTGTAGCCACCCGTATGCACTTTGGACTTTGTATGCATTGGTTTGCATGGGAGGAACACCTGGGCTGTCTTGGCCTCTGCAGTCTTGTTCCTTGGGCTACTGCCAGTCCCTCATGGGGGCAAAACCATGCTCACTTGCCTTGGGTGCCCTGACCTGTGGACACTGTGGCCATTTTCCGCTGCCTGACAAAGGAGAGTTTTTTCCTATCTTTGAGTTTTGTTCACATGTTGTCTTGTAAAAGAAGGTATAGCTATTAAATACTCTTTGTTACACATTTAATGAGTTATGTTGGCTGAAAACCATAAAATGGTGCAAAATCATGATAGCCTGGAAAAATATTGTAATCTTCTTACTGTGTTGTAGCTTTGTCCATGTTCAGAGCTCTGCTATTGTCTTTTCCCAGGCCCTGGAGGCCTGGTGTGCTTCCATGGGCCTTAGGATGAACCTGAGATCTTAATGCATCCTTCTTTGCTGAATGTCTGTTTTGAAACTCTGTCCAAGGGTGGATTTTCAGTAGAATCCCAGGGCTACAAGGGTTTAAGTTCAGATTATGTGCCCCATGTCCCTCCTGGCAGTCGGCTGTGCACTTTACCCACCTCGGGGCGTATTTCTACCTGTTTTAAGTGGTCACAACAGGAGAGTCCATGGCCATCTCGTTCCATCCACATGTCCCCACCCCTCACCACTGTCTGCCTCAATGTCCCCTCCTTTTGGTTGCCCCACCCCTCTGGCAGTCTGCCTTGACCCTAAATCTATAGCCACAGCATGCCCTGCCACTCCCACCCTGGCAAGCAGCTTTTCACAGATGGCTCTGTCAAATCTGGACGGGTTCCGAAGATGTTATTGGATTTCTGTAGCCCTCTTGTGCCAAGAACATATGGGGCTGCAGGAGAGAAGGGGCAGAGGGTCAGGCACTTATTCCTTCCTCTGCCCCATATCGCCTTTGAGCACCTCCTTCATGGTATTTTAGTAATTCCTTGGTGGTGAAGTGATGGGATTTTGAAGAGGATTTTTGTAGGTGCATCCAACTGCAACAGAATACATCAGCCTCATCGGAAGGAGAATGGAAGGCCTGAGAACGCACAAAAGGAGCATTTGGAGAGGGTAAAGTCACATTCCTCTGACACTTTGGGTGCAGGTGTCCGTATCTGTGCAGTAAATGTGGGGTGTGTGTGTGTGTGTGTGTGTCTGTGCATGTGTGTGTGAAAGAGAGAAAGATACATACATACTTATGCAACCTAATTATCGACTGGTATTGTGCAAAGAATGACTAGGCCTGTCTTCAGCACCAGGCCACTGTCATGGGATAAGGGACAGGGGACAAGAAAAAGCAGCAAAACAGTGAGGTATAAGTGGAGGAGTGCTGGACCAGGTTGGGGTATCTGAGCCCTAGGGCTGACTGTGCTGCCCACTGCTGTGAGAATGTGGGTGAGTTGCTTTCCTCTCTGAGCCTCACAGTCTCCTTCCATACTGTCAGAGGGCAGGTGGGGTCACTGCCAGCTCTGACTTTCTATGACTGTCACATCTGAAGAAGAGGAAGCAAGTGGAGCCCGAGTCGGGAGGGAGAGAAAGAAAGAGAACAGAAATAGACAAAGCTCAGAAGTGGAAGAGAAAGAAGTAGAATAGAAAATGAAAGCAGAAGTGAGAGAAGTGGAAAGAAAAGGGGAGACAAAGGGGAAGGCGAAAGCTTACCTGGGGGACTGTTGTCAGCAAAGGCAGAAGAGGGAAGCACTTGTGAGCTGGTGAGTGCTGCTGCCCCGGTGTGGCTCACAGGGCCTAGCCCTCCCTGGGTCACCCAGAGAAAGCCAGAGGAGGCTGTGGGTGCCCCTGGAGACTCCTCAGGGCATGTAGGGGGTGGTGTGAGCAGCCTCTCACAGTGGAGCTGGAAATGGAGAGAAGTGGCAGACATGTTTTGGGGATAAAACACACAGATTTTAGTGATAGGTTGGCTGCAGGAAGAAGGAGAGAGAGAGTTACCAAAGATGGCATCCAGGTTTCTGACTTTTACAATTAGTGGATGGTGGTGTCACTTGTTGAAATGGGAAAGATTTGAAGATTACCACTTTGGGTTGACTTTGAAATGGCTGAGACTTGCAAGTGACTATTGAGAAGGAGATTGGATATATGGATCTGGAGCTCGGAGGAGAGGTCTGTGTCTGAGTTCAAGATGGAAGGTGGTAGCCACAGTTACACAGATGGTGAACCTGCCTGCAGAAGCACCGTAGCACAGCAATATTCTTGAGCCCTTCCTGTATGGATGGAGAAAAGAGAAGGCTTTGGGGAGGAAGAGAAGGCTTTGGTCTTCCCTGCCCAGGGCCAAAGCAGGGATGGAAAACAGAGACAGGGGTTCCATATAGGAGCAACTTCACATCTCCTGCAGTGCATTGTCCTCATCCAGGACAGAGAGCCCATCCATCATGGAGTCCTTCCTGGGAGCCCATACTCAAGCCTCCAAATCATCCTTCGCTGCAACCACCCAATACCAAAAGTGAACATTTTTGGTGTGTGAGCAGGCACACATGTTCTTCTCCTGCCCTGGAGATTCACCCAAGGCTCCAATGCCAAAATATGGTGTTGTCCTTGCTGCAAGCCCTGAGGTGATATTGGGCTGAGCTAGGTTGAAGCTCCAGGCATATGACGGGTCTGGTATTACTGGGAGTAATTGTGCGATAGGAGAGCACAGGGCCTGGCTCACAGTAGGTGCTGCATGAATATGTGTGGACTGAACAAATGTCTGCCGGAGTCAGTTTGACTGCAGCCTCTTGTGAGTGGAGGAATAGGATTCTGCTTGATGATTTAGGGGCTGAGCCAAGCCTGAAAGGAGCCGTTTGGGAGGAGGAGATGATCTGTGTCCTGGTCTTAATCCTCTAAACTCTCCCTCTGGATTAAGTCAGACCCACCATGAACCTGGCTGCAAGGTTTCCACTCTTCAAGGATTTGCTTTTATTGCACCGCATTTTGGTGAGATGCCATCAGCCCGCACTGAGGAGCTTTAGAACAGCCTGTGAAACTCGGTGGTGTTTACTGTGAGGGTGTCACTGACAGCATTCATTGCATCACAGAGTGTCCTCTCCATGGGGCCCCATGGGAAGCGTTTGCCTCATGCTTCCATAGCAGGGACAGCCAGGCTTCTCTGAGTAATCGCTTTGTATGTCCTGTGGACCCCGTGACCCGTGTAACTGATCAGGTTTTCCTCATCCATTGACTGCTATAAAATTGAGCTCCAAATGCATGGCTTGGCCATAGAAATTCAGTTGTTTTAGCCTCATCATGGGCTTCAATTTATGTCTTTACGCTTGGTTTGGCTTTCTCTTTCTCACCTATTTTTCTTTAGAGAATTTTTGTTGCCTTTTTTCATATTGTAAAACAAATATAGATTCTCTATAAAAAGTTAAGAAAATATAGAAAAGTATAAAGAAAAAAATGAAGTGAATTATAATCCCCTGCCCACTCCTTGGGACAATCTGTTAAATTTTTTGTTCAGCTTACCTGTCTCTCCTATACATGAGTGCACAACACACATATGTGGGCATATACATATATACACATGCGCACTCACAATAGTCAGAAATTTGACCTTATTATCCGTGGTGTTTAGCAACTCTTTAAAATTTTAGTAATACATATATATTTTACCTGTTTGCTTATATATCTTTCAGTATTTTACATAATCCTTGTAAGCTACCTTAAATCTTCTAAAATAGAATGGGTTATAAATATAAAATGTAAGATTTAAGACAGAGACTTCCAGGCAGGCTTTGAAACCCAGATGGAGGAAAAGGCTGCAGCAAAAACCTAGAGAAGAGTCTGGAGAAGCTCCCCAGAGGCCAGAGGCTTTGGACTGGGGTGATGGAACTGCCCTGCATGGGCTGCCTCTGGTCCTTGAGGGGGTTTCAGACACACTGGAGAGAAGTTCAAAGGTGTCCATTGGATTGCACAGCCACACTGGAAGAAACTCAACTGCTGGACCTGTAGACAGAGCCTTGGGGTAACTACATGGTGATAAAGATGTAGCAGCATGCACCCTCTGATACCCACCACTCATCTGCACAGAGATATCAGAAGTCACCTCAAAGTAGCAAGATGGCTCCTGGTGCAGACTGAGCCATAACCTGATTGAGTAGTAACTATTATGGGGATAATATCTTAGAAATTCCTTCTGATACATTTTTTCAGTATCTGTAGGCTGTTTTCCTTCCCATAGTCCTTCCACCAATGATGCCATAGGAATAGGGGGAGGAAATATACCCCAGAACAGGGAAAAAGAAAGCTAGGACCTAGAGCAGCTTCTGTTGCACTGCAATAACTCGTGGTATTGAGCCCTCAAATGGTGCCTGGCACTCAACTGAGTGTTTTATGTGTTTTCATCATTTAATCTGCAAGCAGCCCTATGGGATGGCAATATTATACCCATTTTATGGATGATCACATGGAGGAAGAGAGGAGTCAGATAACTTATTCAAGGTCATGTAGCTACTAAAGGGTGGAGTCAGGATCCCAAGTCAGGTGTCCTGACTATAGATAGCACCCTTAATCCATGAGGCTCCAGGGCTCACACAGGAATACAAATAAGGAAGCCCTTCTGGTTCCTAAAAAATGGTGGAAAGCAGGAGAGGAAAGCAAGTTTGTAACTGAGTGCTAGTGTCCCACCACCCCACCTTGGGGTTGGGAAAGGTTGTGAGGTGTCATGGGCTTTGAGACGTCTAGACAGGTTTATGGGCACGGGTGTGTGGAGAACACCAGCAGACAGGACCAGGCCTGGAAAGGGACTTCATGGGGAGCAAGGTGGCAGTGTATAGGCACCCCATGGCCCAATGAACTAGGCAACCCAGCCTCCCCTCAGTGTGAGTGGGGGCAGGAGCTGACAGCCACATTTCATGTTCCCCACCATGAGGATAGCTAGGCTTTCCTGCACCCCACTCCTTGAGGTTGTAGAAGAGAGTGCAAATGATCCTGAGTACATCTGCAAAGAGATTCTTTTTCATGGGAAGGAATGGAATTTTTTAAAACTTTACTGTATATTTCTGCCTGCCATCGATAGAGCTGGAGGCTGATGAACAAGAAATCAAACTGTAGAACTGTTTTACTCAGTATGGTAGCCACCAGCCACATCTGGCTGCCAAGCAGCTGAAATGTGGCTAGTCGCAACTGAGAGGTGCTGTCGATGTAAAATGCACCCTTGTTTCTGAAGACTTAGTATGAAAAAAACAAGAAATGTCTTGACAATTTTTAGTCTAATTATATCTTTAAGTGGTAACACTTTGGACATACTGGAATAAGTAAACTAAATCGTTAAAATTAATTTCACCTGTTTTTACTTTTATTGATGTGACTAAAAAATTTTAAATCACCTATGTGATTTGCATTATGTTTCTATTGGACAGCACTGTTTTAGACAAGGAGGAAGGTTGTAAAAAAGGAAAAGAAGGAAGGTGTGCTGTTTGCACATCTCACTGAACTGTGTGAATCTGTATTGCATAAAATGCATCTAAAGAAGGAATGTATCCTTCCAGAGGCAGTGTTTAGGCAGGTTCTTTTTGTTGTGGGAATTGAGACCTTCTCAGGCGACTGGGGTGGGGTGTCGTGGAAAGGGCCTGATGCCAGAAAACCAGGGGAAGCCAAATGAGCCAGCCTTGGGGGGCAGGGAGGTGGAGGGCTCAACTAGGGTGGGCTCCTGGGAGGCCAAGTGCTGACCCCACAGCCAGCATGCACCTTGGAATTTCTTTGTGCTCAGCCCCTGTCTGCTTCCCACTGCTATCTGTACTCCTCTCCGTATATTTTCCTTCATCTGAGCTCCTTCCTCTTCTCTGCTTGTCCCAGTTCTGTCTTGTGTCTTCCCTGAGCCTGGGCTTCTCCTGCTAGCTGCCTCACACTTGCAGGTCTTGGTTCCTACTTTCGATACAGGCAGTCTGGTTAGTGTGATTGATTCACTTTTTCACCAGGACGCGTATGGGCCACTGACAGGCTGCGGGTGTCAGCCCTGGGGTCCGTGCCCACTCCAGTCCACTCAATAGCTCCTCCTGTGCAGATTTCAGTTTGGCATGTGCCTCTGAGCAGGGTAAAGGAAGTTGGGCCTGGTGGGTACTGTGGTTGATTGGGGGTGAAGGTGGTTACTCACGGGAATAGAAACAAAGACTTCGTCCACCCCAGGACCATTCTGGGAGGCAGTGCTCACCCCAAGTGACACCTGTCCCAAGTGACACCAAGTACATTCCAAGGGTGCAGATGAAGGCACAGCCCACTGGAGCCTGGGCCACTAAATCTTTAAATTTTATCCTTTATTCCCCTCCTCTCTGTTGGATAATGTGAAACTCCATGCAGGTGGTCTACAGGGAGAGGGATGTGCTAGTGAATCTAAGTAGGTATTCTGGCTACCTGGATAAGTACTAATTTCATTCAAAAGCAACACATTGGCATCTTGGTTTACACATAAGTCTTTGTGAATGTTGTTAGCATGAGTCAACCCCCCTGTTACCACAAGCTGTGGGTCTGACCTGGTCAGGGTGGTTTCATGAAGCATGGCACCACCTTAGCAGGCTTCCCAGAAGCCCTCCAGGAGGTCTTAGCTTGTGATACTCTCCACCTAAGATTTAAGAACTCCTTCAGGCTGAGGACTCTTTCACTTGCTCTCAATGGCAAGTTTTATTGTTCCATCATCATCATCATCATCATCATCATCATCATCATCATCATCATCATCTCTGTTATCTCCAGAATGCTCCTGTAGGTTTGGGTGATATGCACTCCTTGCTTGTGGCCCCAGAAGCCTATTCTATTACCATTCTAAATGCTCATTTTTTCCCCTGTGTGGTAAGACTTGATGCCAGTGCTTTGTATGTGTGTCTGTGAACACTGGCAGTGGCACGTGGGAGGGCGTGTGGGTCTGCCATAGCTGAGTAAACAGGGAGAATGTATCTGATGTCCAGGTAATTACTGCCGAACATCTGTTAAATATGGGGTCTCATTGATGGCTGGCATGTTAGTCAGGGAAGTGATGGTGTGTTTGCAGTCAACATGGCAAGGGATGATTTAAAATCTGTTTCCATCAGCAGCCCACAGAGCAGCCCCAACGTAAATTAAGGAGCCTGGAGCTTATGTAACCTGAGTGCCAAATCACCTCCAGAAAGGGCTGCAGGAAAGCGTCTCTGCTCTGGAAAGGCTGCTAAAAATAACACTACGGAATGATAGACCCCTTGGAGCTGGTCGAATCCACTTATCCTGCTGTTGAGGACACTAAGGTGGAGCAGGGAGGGAAATGACCACAGAGTCAATGACAGAGCTGGAACCAAGGCCAGCTGGCCAGAGTTTCCAGCCAGGACAGCCCCACAGTGGGTCCCCAGAGCCCAGCCTGCCTCAGTAGAGTCCCGCAGGGGCACTTGCTGAAGATACGGGGCCCCTTCCCACTGGGTGAGTGAGATTCCCTGGGGTGGGGCTTCAGCTGATTCTGCCACACCACCACATATGGGGAAAACTGCTTATATCACAGCCACCCTGCCCTCACGGTGACTGAAGTGAGCTGAGATAGTGGGACCAAGGGAAGCAGGAATTAAGGGAGATTTATTCTCCAGTTTATAGGGCTTTTTCTTTTTCCTATCTACTTCTGAGAGGTGGAAAAACACCTTGGACTTCTCCCTGGTTTCTTGAGTCCTTCTTATCAGGATCTCTCAGTTAACTGGTTTAGATTCTGACACAGAGACATGCAGTATGATATTTTCTCTGCTCCTTGTCTCTTTAATTGCACCTCCTTCGATCTCATTGTTTGATGGTGACCGACCGGCAGAGAAGAGTTCCTTGCAAACATGATCTCAGGGGGAGTTAATCAGGAGGATTAAGGGAAACTCACCTTGGGCAGCAGCCCTCACCCCCACAGCCATCCTGCTGGATGTTAACTTGGGAGCAGAAAGAGATTTCTAGCTTGTTCAAGGCCATTCTGGCCAAGGTGTGTAGCAGATCTGGGTCCTGATCTGGGTCCAGTGGTCTCAGACTTGGGATCTCTAGAGGGTTCATCCCAGGGTGTTGCTCTATGAAACCTGGTGTCCCCACCCCCTGGCTGAGACCCCGTTGAGCCTTCTGCTGGAACCTACAGTGGCTAGTCACAGGGCTTCATAGCATCTTCCCTCTGAGCTTCAAGACCCTGGCTTCTGTCCTCATGGAGCCTGCCAGCTGCCCCATTAGGACTTTTAATTTCTCCTACCCAAGAGCAATCATTCATCCAATTAACAAGCAGTTATTTTTGTTTGCCCTTTTCAGGTTAATGATTTTGGTCAGAAAATCGCTAAATTCATTTTTTGACTCCTCTTCCATAAATTGTATAAATTTCTAGGTGCATACAAATTTATACGGCCGCAATCATAATTTGGTATCTTGCTTTTATTCTCTTCATCATTTTGTTGTTAATCTTTTCTTTGCTTTACATAACCTCTATAATTTTCATTTTTTGATGTCTTTGTAATAGCCCATCCAGTGGCTGTATAATATTTAACTATTCCCCAGTTTTGTGAAACTGGAAATAAATATATTATGTATTTCACCTTTTTTCATATGGTTTTTTCTTTTGATAAACACTGAAGATTGTATATTTTTTGAACACTTTTTAGCTGTTGAAAGTGCAGAGCTGTGTCATATTCAGCTGTAACAAAAGAGAAGGAAGGGACACACACACACACACACACAGACACACACACACACACACACACACTCTGGGAAAGGGGCACAGGGATCAGCTGACCCCTCAGCCAGTCTCCTGTTCTGGGAGCATCTCCGCCATACTCAGTGTTAAGGACTCTTGTGTTAAAGATGCGTGGTTTTCGTGTTCTCTGGCACCTAAGTGTAGACCAACTGCTTCGTCTGGTACCTAGCCAAAGAAAGGGGCCATCTGTTCCTAGGCTGGTTGGAGACATGGAAAGATAACACATTATCTCCAGCACAGTGCCCTCCTTAGGGATTTTCAAGGGCAGTTTTGACTATATGCACCTTCCACCCTAACACTGGCATAAGAAGCAACTCCACTTTACACTTTAAAAAAAGATTTCTTGGCCGGGCGCGATGGCTCACGCCTGTAATCCCAGCACTTTGGGAGGCCGAGACGGGCAGATCACGATGTCAGGAGATCAAGACCATCCTGGCTAACACGGTGAAACCCCATCTCTACCAAATATATAAAAATTAGCTGGGTGTGGTGGCAGGTGCCTGTAGTCCCAGCTACTTGGGAGGCTGAGGCAGGAGAATTGCTTGAACCCAATAGGCAGAGGTTGCAGTGAGCCGAGATTGTGCCACTGCACTCCAGCCTGGCCAGGTGACAAAAAAAAAAAAAAAAAAAAGATTTCTTGACGCTGTCCTGTGACTGACATTAGAGCATCTCATGAGTCATTGCAACCCCCAGTAGACCCTGGCTCATCCCCAGATTTAATAGGTGAAAGTAGTACTACAAAGTTCACTGTTTCATTTGCACGTGTTTGCTGCACGTTTTGTTTTACTATGTGTGCTTCTCTAAGAAGCACTTAGTAATTGCCTGGATATGGAAGATGCAGTGAGTGGAAGAGTACAGGGAAGAACAGGGCCCCAGGAGGAAACTGGTGAACTGTAACGCCAGTTAGAGGGCAGGGCTAGGTCTACAGATGTTGGAATCATAGTGCTAAGGGCATGAGTGTGGTGAGGAATGTAGCAGGGCATAGGCACATATGTACAGAGTGACATTAGTGTTGGGGGGCAGGAAATATGAAGAGATGTCAAGTAGAAAGAAGATAATGCCATTCAAGAGTTGTCAAGGGCCAGGATATTTAAGCAGAAAGCAGCTGAGTACATTACATCAGATGTGGCCAAGACAACCAGGGACAGAGAGAGCAATGGCCAGGAGACAACCTTGGCAGGCCTGTTTCCTGGCACAGTGGTATGGACTCCACATTTTGGGGGATGAGGAGGGAATGTGAATGGATAGGGAGGCAGTGAGCCTCCAAGTGTAGACTTGAGACTTTCAGCAACCAGACATAGAGAATTTGCAGTACCAGCTAGAGGAGGCAGACGGATTTCAGAATAAGGAAAGTCATGCCAGCTTCCAGAAAAGAAAAGCTGAGGAAAAACTGTGTGAAAGAGTTACGGAAGGGATGGGAGCGGGGAGAGTGTGAGGGACTGAGAGGGAAGATAAGGAAACAGGGGGAGAAATCAGACCCCACAGAGGTGGGAAAATGTGTTTAGTACTGTTAGGCTAAAATAATAGCTTGTTTGGCATCGGGGGAGGGAGAGCATCAGGATAAGTAACTAATGCATGCAGGGCTTAATAACTAGGTGATGGGTTGATAGGTGCAGCAAACCACTATGGCACACGTTGACCTATGTAACAAACCTGCATGTCCTTCACATGTATCCTGGAACTTAGAATAAAATAAAATTTAAATTAAAAAAAAGAGAATAGCTTATGTGTTAAATGGCCCTCAAGCTTCTCCCACAGCCAAGCTTGGGTATTCATTTTGGAGGGGTGAAGAGGAGCCCTGAAACACATGAACTTAGCAGCCTCCCATGAAGGCCTTAGGGTGGGGCTTTGCTGCACAGGGATTCCCGAGAACATTGATCTTGGCCTTCCTGTGCCCCTGTGCTCAGCTCTCAGATCCCCAGATCTTCCCAAGCATCATAGGTGAGGGAAGGGGGATGGAGAGGCCCATGGGCAAAGCCTCCTGAGTATCTAGCGCTGGGCTCAGGGCTGGGAGAAGCACCTGGCTTGCTGGGCAGCTCTTTGGAGGCAGGAACAGTTGGTGCAGGTTTGGGGCTGGTGGGGGATGATGGAGAGGGACAGGGAGAGAGGAAGAGCAGTTTGAGTTGGGTCCAAAGAGGTTAGCGTACTCCATGGGTGCATGGGTGTCTTTAGTTTGTCTTCATGGAGCCCTAAAACAGACTTTCATATGATTTAACCACAGTTCTTTCTCTGAGGGTACAACGCTGCTTGGTCATGGATTTATTTTTCTGAACAAGCTATTATTCCTCATTTTGTTCAAATCTTGTAAGCTCAAAAAAAAAAAAAAGAAAAAGAAAAATACTCAATTAGAGTAAAACTTTAATTAAATCAAAACACTAATTAAAATATATTGTCAATTACAATAAAGCACTGATTAAAGTGCTCCTAACAAACAGCAGCCAATACTGCCCAGGGGTGGAAGCTCCAGCCTTGGTTGCCGTGTGGCTCAGAGGATCTGGCTGGACATGTTGCCGTGGCCATTGGTGTTTGGGGATCAAGAATCTGAAGGCTGGTCTTGGGCCCTGGAAACAAGACATCCCTTTTGCTGTGTCCTCCAACCCCACAGCACAGTTGATGACCCTCCTGTTCCTCCTCCTGGAGCCAACAGGGGCTGTCCTTTTGGGGCCCAGTGTAAGAAAGACTGTACGTCACACACAGGGCTTTTTGTGTGCCACGCCTGGAATGTGTGCCACACTGGTGCCCAGTGGAATTTGGGGCCATCCTCAGTGGTACGGCTTTTCTGAAAACCACTCTGTGTGTGTGGCTTTGCTACAGGGCTTCCTGGAGAGAAGCTGGGGTGGATCCTGCGTTCCCTTGACCTGGCACTCATGGCCTCATGCCACCTGGGTTCTCCTACCTGTCTTCTCTCATCTTCCCCCATGCCTGTGCACACACTGTGCACACTGCCTCTATTTTCTGCCACAGAGGTTTCCTAGCTAACTGGTAAATTACTGGAAGGAATAAAGACGTTTCTTTAAAGCTATCCCTGGCCACAGTGCTCCCCAAGGCCCTGTTAGGTGCATCTTCCCATTGTTCTTGTATATCTGCCGGCCTGGACTGGCCTGTTTCGCATCATACTGCAATTGCTTATGTACACAGCCAGTGAAATATCTTTGTAGAAGTCAAGAGTTTAAGTTAAGAAATAGGATTAACTGGCCAGGTGTGGTAGCTCACACCTGTAATCCTGGCACTTTGGGAGGCCAAGGCGGGCAGATGTGCCTTTCTTTTAAACCTCATGTGCGCTTTCTTTCAAACCCAGTCCCCTTAAGTGGCAGCAAATGCCAACTGGAACAAAAGAAGGAAGAAATTAGGTAAAAGGAGAATCAATACTGGTGCTAAGTTTTTAAAGACTTAACAGTCTTTTACTATACTTGGTTTGAGGGAATGGTAGCTATTACTTCAGGGCTCTTGGAGCAAGTTTTTAGAAAGAAATTCAACATTTTTTCATTTGCTCTTTCACCACAAAGCCTGGAAATAGAAGAGGTGGTATAGCCTGCAAAGCATGGCTCCTTCTTTCTTGCTAATGTTGCATTGTCGTACCCAGTTTCATATATAAAGTGGAGCTCAGGAAAGCCAGGCCTGCCGTGCTGGCATCCTGTTCTGTCCAGCTTCCTATGCCGTAGACTGCTTTCTAGCCCTGGCTCCTGGGGAGTTAAAGCAGATAATAAAAGTGGGAAACTTGGCTACATCCTCTTCACAGCCGCACAGTAATTTTCATCAGGGAGGCTGGTGATGGTGGGGTTCAGGGACAGAGGGGTGGGAAATCTACAGCATACCCGCTGGTGTCAGGATGATGGCTGTCTCATTGGAAAAATGCTCTCAGGAAAGTAGCGCATCCTGTCCTCTGTCCTCTAAGAACAACAGAGACGATGGTTCAGCTGCAACCCTGCTCCCTAGCACGGGGCCTTTGTATGTTTTATGTGGCTCCACCAGCCTCTCTTCTGAGCCATCACTGCAGTTCATGGCTTTTGTGTGGGGTTCTATTCACCTCCTTTCTTTTCATCCCGTTTTATGGGTTCTGAAACATGCTCAGCCATCCTAGTGTCAGGAGAAGGTTCCCAAAGGCCAGGGGTCTCATTCCAGGCCATTTGGAAGTGTCTTGACTTCAGAAAGGGGCTAGCCTGTTTTCTTCCCTCAAGAGGCAGCTTGCCTTCCCTCTGTCTGGATACCTGGGCACACACATTCCTGCCTTTGCAAGCCCCTTCTGCTCTCCTGCTGTCCTTGGCCTTTTCTAAACCTTGTCTCAGGACTGAATGACAATCCTCTCTCATTCTGTTTTGCCCTGTCTCCCTCCCTCCCTTTTTCTCTCCTCTTAATAGTTCTATTTCTCTACTAAGCCACAGAGTCAGAGTAAAAAGACATCAGTGAACCTGAAGGAGGGAAATGAATTATTTTATCTCTCTGAAACCTTTTCCTGCTTTTGCTTTTCTGAAACCGTTTTCTACTTGCTTTCCATAAGAACCAAAATATTGCGGCAAGTGGGAGACAATCTCATCATGGCTGTGAAAAAGAGGGAGGCAATATGTCAGGGGGTAGCATGGTTTGTTTCTTCAGTGGAGCAGATGTTTTTGCAATACCCATTTCCTGCCAGCCCAGGCTGACCGTAGGGGAAGTGAATACAGTCCACAGGGCTGTCCCGGAGTGGCTCACATCCAACTCCCAGTGCATCCCACAGACCTGGAGTCCCTGAATGGGCCTCTAAGAGGTCAGGGAACTGAGATGCTATGTGTGTCAGTGAATGTTCCACGAAGAATTTCTACAGTTTTCCTCAGATTCTCAAAAAGGTTCAAGATCTAAGGCTGGTTTTCAAAAACTTTTGACTATGACCTATAGTAAAACATACGTGTGTGTGTGTGTGTGCATGTGTGTGTGTGAGAGAGAGAGTGTGTGTGTGTGTTTTCTGGATAGATATCTATATATCTGAAACAAAATTCCCAAAACAATGCTTACCCTTTCTACATGTAAATCAATGTGGTATTTTCTATTTTGTTCTCCTTTGATTATATTATAAACTATCTTATTTCATTGAAAATACTAATTGCAACCCATGAAATGGATTTCATGTCTCAGTAATGAGCCACAACCTGCATATTGAAATACACTGATCTAAAGGAAAATGTTAGGAATCACTGATCTGGGGGCTCTCATACATCACTAGTGGGAGTGTAAATTAGCACAGTTCTTAATAAGGATCTTTTGGCAATATCTATCAAATTTACAAATACATATACCCGTTGACCCTGATGTTTCATTTCTAGTAATATATCTTACAGATATTCTTATACTTGTACAAAATTATATTCAAGATAATTCTTTGCAGCATTATTTATAATGGCAAAAGATTGGAAACAGCCCAAATGTCTATCATTATAGAATTAGTTAAATAAAATGAAACATCAGCACAATGAAATAAATCTGCAGCTGTTTTAAAAAAAAAAAAAAGAAAGAAAGAAAGGGGCACTCTCAGTGACCTGACTGGAAAGATTGCCAAGATGAATAAAGTCAAACAAGCAAGATGCAAAACAGAGTGTTTCATACGTTACCTTTTGGATGAAAAAGCTAGTAATTAAGACTCTTTATTCATATTTGTATGTATTAGGTTCAACCATTTGAAATTGCCATTTTTAAAGGTTAAAACGGTTGGATATTGGGAAATTCATATGGTTCAACATAATATATGCTTATAGGAAGGGGAAGTTAAGAAGCTACGTTATCTGGAGAAAGGTAGGAGGAGACTTCTCACTGGGACTTGTTAAAAATAAGGAATCTCTGAGCAGATGGTTAACGGGAAAGGAATGGGGGTCACCCTGAGCTAAGGCAGAACCAAAGGCAGCCCCATGCCAGAGTGAGGGGTGAGCAGAGGCTGCCTGCCCCTGTCCTGATTCTCCTCTCCTGATGCCTGAGTCCCAGGGAAGGTCAGCCTTGGACAGTGGGCAAGAGGCTGGGAAAGCTGGACCAGCAGCTGAAGTCTGCTTCTGTCTACCTCCTTTGTCATTTCCTCTTTCTAGATGTATGTGGAAGATATGGTGAAAATGATTGAGAAGTTTAACTTTTCCAAATTTGAAATTTTGAATGCAATTGTATGTGACAAAGAAAGAGTCACTCGAGGAGTACTGACTGCTCTCGGCTGGAACTGGTGTGGCTCTTTACTTCTCAGAGGTGGGCTTAAGAGGGTCCAAGACTCCAGAAAGCTGCCCAAAGGCCATGCCCACTTCTGTCATGCCCAGTACCTGCTGCCTGCTGCCCCTTCCTGATGGTCAAGCTCTGTGGGATTCCTAAGGTCCTAGGGTCATCTGGGAAGGTGTCTTGAGTCATTGGCCACTGCTGGAGTGGGGGTATGGGGACACCTGGGAATAGGGCCTGGTCTGTCCACTCCAAAGCCCTTGCTGATGTCTTTTTCAGGTTTCCAATGCCAAGGAGGAACTCTGGGCAGCTGGCAGGGTATTTAGCTAGGTTTTTGCAGGACATGCAGCAACATTTACCAAGGCACTTCACCACTTTGATGAAACAAATTTGTTTTCATCAGCATGTGGAAGACAGATCCATCTCTCCAGGGGCAGAGGCACATATCCTAGGCTCCCAGAGATTCACATATGGGCCTAGCCCCGTTCCTTCCTCACCCTGGGAGCAGAACTGCTAAAGGGGAGCAGATACCCTCTTGCCCACACATCTCTTAGAAAACTCCACAAGGACAGAAAATCAACCTCAGAAGGCCTTTGTTAAGTAGGAATCTGAGCTACATGGGCCAACCTCTGGTCATTGAACACATTGAGCAGCCCATCGTGTCACTAGATACCTGGGGGCTGATCCCGTCCACTGAGAACGGACAATATGTTTGTATAGATGGGAGGGGGTGGCAGTGCTGGGAGGGCCACAGCCTAATTGCCTCTGAGAAGCTTCTTTTTATACTCTAGGTGTAGGCCAATCCCTCTTGTGGGTCACATTTCTTCATGAGCCTTAGGTATGCCTTTAATTCAGTTACAGTTGATTCTAGTGGACAGAGATCTTTAGTTTCCCTTCAAAAACACTATGTGTGGATGTCTAAGTTATTCATTTAGGGGAGGTTTTACTCTCCCTCTCATTTTCTGCCTATGTCATACCTAACACCCCACTGCTCAAATGATGGAACCAGCATTTGGACTATGCTCAGTAAAGGGGTTGGTGCCATCCCAGTGGGTCTCTGTGCAGTTAATCAGGACATGCTGGGCAGATGGAGTGGAGCGTGTAGGAGCTGGGCAGGGGCCAAGTAGGAGGCTGCTCCAGTGAGCAGCCCAAGGGCCTAGGTGAGAGGAATAAGCAGGTGACAGGGAGTGAGAGGTGCACTTGGCCTGGGGAAGGAAGAAGCAACAGGCTTCAGCAGTAGAATGGCTATTAGAAGTAAGAAGACAGACATGACTCCAGCTTCAACTTGGTGATGGAAAATGGGATGGGGAGGAGTCTTGGAGAAAAAACACCGAATGAGTTCAAGATTGTATTCCAATTTGACTTATGATGGGGATGGAGGTTCCCATTCTCCATCTCCCTCAGCCCCTATTACCCGCCCTTGGCAGTTCACTTCAAGTTTGGAATTGGAGAGTAGATTGGCCTCCCAGGTCATTGAGGGAAATGCTGTGGGAGTTGTGTGCTGGAGTTCTCGCCTCCTGGGCTCTGGAACCAACAGTTTCTTCAGTCTGTAATGGAAAAGGAACTGGGAGAATTGGGAGAGAATTGGAACCAGCAGAGGGTATACTCTGAGGACAGTAAGTAAAGACCTCTAAGCATGAAGTTCAGGGAGATTTGAAGAAGGGACTCTGATTCCACCGCAGCCATGGAGAAGACTAGGGTTAGATGAGTCACTGATGGATGAGTTAAGGTTTAATGAAAAGATACCCAATTCTACTTAAGTGCTTATCTTTCTTTGCCTCTTGTTCTTAAATTATGTATCAGATTTTTAAATGTGGACATGATTAATGCTACTTAAGATCTCTGGTTGGCTGCTCTATCAAAGAGTTATATTTTAACTTAAAATGCATAACTGAGAGGAGGCTCTTACCATTTTTTATCAGTTAATCACTTGTGCATAAAGCTCAGCTGTTTGGACCCTAAGGCCATAGATGGGGGCACCACTGCCCTATGGGTGGTAATTTACCCTCATTACCACAGGGTAGTTTGGAGAAAATGAACTACCCCCTAAGTGTTGCTGCTGTAATGTGCAATGAAGGTTACAAGGAATACAGAGGATCTTATGTTCTTCCAAGAAGGAAAATTGATTTGGAAGGTAAAATGGGAGAGAGGAAGTAAGGTGCTTATGCCAGGGGAGGGGGTGATCTTAATCTCCAGGCACATCAGGGAGAGGCCATGGAGAAGCTGATCTTTGAAGAGGGAAAGGATCTCAGAGGGCTTGAGAAATGGAATACTGAGTGTGAGACTGACTCAGTTCAGTTCAGTAGATATTTATTGAGACCTACTATGTGTCAGGTTCTGGAGATACAGACAAGAAAACAATAAGACATATTCCTGGCTTCAAGTTGTGCACCAAATTATGGGAAAAAAAGCTGACAAACAGTGAATATGATACACTTGTGGCTTATGCAATAATAGACATTTGCACAAGGCACAATAGGGACCTCCAGATGGGAAAATAATGAATCCATGCAGTGGGCCTTGCTGTCGTGCTGTGCCCACTGCCATCCTGTACCATTGCCGCTTGATGCATTTGAGGTTCTAGGCCTGCAGGGCCTGATAAGCTCTTACCTGAGACAAGAGTAATTGGATTCAAATCCTATCTCTGCCTCTTACAAGTTTTGTGGCCTTGGGCAAGCCACTTAACATTTCTGTGCCTCAGTTTCCTCACAGTGATACTTCACAGGGTTGTGAGAGGATTAGATGGTGTTACATAGTGTTAGCTTTGATGATGATGATGATTTTGATGTGGAGGAAGAAGAGGAGTGGAAAGAGAAATAATCTAGGAAGCAAAACTGGAAGGGAGTTTTTAGAGGAGAAAAAGCCAGGCAGGTGATAGAGAGCCCAACCCACTTGGCTTAAGCAAACAGGGAATTTATCAACAGTACACTGGGAGGATTAAACAGTGCCGTGGATCTGGTTTCTTGTTGCACCTCTGTTGGTTGCTCTCTCTGGGCTGATGCCATTCTCAATAGACTCTGCATGACCTCACCATGATGGCTGCTTCCTGGGACTACACCTTCCGGGGGAATTCAGTGGGAAATAATAGCAACAGTTTTTTTCATGCTCTCCCAGGAAGAGCCCTTGGATGGACCGTGGGAGGGTTAAGTCTATGTCCTATGCTGAACCACTCGCTGAGGTCAAGGGGATGTGATGCCCTGGTTGGCTGAGTGATTGGAGGCCATTCAGCTCTGGTCATCTGAAACACACCCTCTGCAATTTCCACCTCTAGCTTCTTTTAATAGAGCAAGAACTTTAAGACTCTAAAGCAATTTGAGTGCAAACTCTACTAGATTTTTAATGACATTTTGTTTCTGATCTTTTAGCTTTGTCTTACTCTATACAAAAGTGATAGCAGTTTTTTTTTAGCAACTTGCATTTGTTGTGTCTTTCCAAAGCATTCAATTTATTATCATAGAAGCCACAGCTCTTTCTTTTTACATTCATGCTTTATTGGTTTATTAATATTTAATTAAATTAAGTATTTATAATGACAAATACAGCTGGCAAACAGGTGTGGGGACAAACACAGCAGACCTTGGGTAAGCATTCTATTTAACTCATGGGGCACACATGCAAGGCTATTCTCGAGCCATTGCAGGGCTGTGAGCACTGGGTCTGTGCATTTTACAGAGCACAAAGAAAGAGCAGATAAGCAGAAAAATCAGGTAAGGATATTTAAGAGAGTTATTAGTGCTTGGGTTTCTTTTGGATGGCTGGCATAGATGGGTTAATTGCAGTGGTTGTTGAGAGAGTGAGCTGGGTCTATATGGGAGAGAAGGTGAGATCAGGCCTTCCTGAGGTGAGCCAAAGTCCAGAGAGAGGCAAGAGGACTTCGGCCCACATCTAGACCTGATGACCAGGGTCTTCGGCCATCTAATCTGAGCAAGGAAGACACCCCGGGCAGAGTTCATAAGGTCAGGGTGGGGTTGTTAGGAAAGCATAGATCCCAGCTTCCCCACTCTGAGTATATTTAATCAGGGCATGAAGAAAAGGAGAAGATACCATCCTCTAGCCCCAGATAGCAGAACAAAGCAGGAAGTAGCCCCAGTTCACAAAGGGGAGTTTTCCTGCCATCAACTGGGGAATATTCAGAAGCCCACTTAGAAAGGCCAGGAGAGAACTGATTCTTTTCCCAGGGACCCAACCAGACACAACAAATTCTGAATCGTGCTGGACCGTGGACACAGATCAGCACCATGAACGCTGGCGTTATCTAATGCTGCCCCAGATTGGCAGCACAGCCTGATATCAACTGTGACATGCTGGGACAACCTAACCTCCGAAAACCCCAGCCACAGGCTGAATAGACTCAGAAGTTCTGTCAATACAATGGGGACAAAATACCTACTGCACATAGTGTTGTGAGGGTTAAACGAAATGCGAATCACCAAGTTTCCAGTACAGAGTAAGTACTTAGTATCTGCTCCCTCTTAGCCATGTCTGCCTGTTTTTATACTGTGTGTGGAAATTGAGGCTCACAGAAGTTGAGCAGCTGCCTTGTTTATATGGCATAAGAAGCAGAGTAGAGTCCCAAAGCTTCCTCTTGTCTTTCAAGCCCCTGCTTGGTCCCTTATACCAGGCTGGCTACTGTCTGTCTAATACCTTGGGTGCCCCTTAGGCCCCTGGAGTGGGTAGCCTGTGAGCCCTTTACCATGGGTTACTACACACTGAGAAAGGTCTCTGCTTCATAGTGTAGTAGAGATTAGAAAAGCATAGGCTAGAGGGAAGTCATAAGAATACTTTGTCACTAAAACAATATTGGATAATGACCTTTTAAGCCAGCTGCAGCTCAAGGAACCTGAGAGCAGTCCAGTAATGATTACAGCTCAGGACCTAATGAAGAGACCATCACTTATTTATAACATTGCTGCTTTCTTGCTTTTATTGCTTGTGTGCCCCTGTGTCTAGGCAGGTGGATACCTTTCATAATCTGAGCAATAAATGAGTCAGTTTGGCTGATTCTCTAGGCTGGGAGGGCACCTGGGGTGAGGGAGTGAGGTGTTTGGCAGGTGAGGTCCCCAGGCACTGGAGTGAGGGGAAAGAACTGCAAGCTCTGGAGCTCCCAGCGGCTGGCTCGAAGTGGATTCAGTTTCCAGAGACAAACCAAGTAGATGTGAGGTTGTTGTTCTGCTTCTTCACCATTATAATAATAATGACCATATTCATTATTTATTATTTACTATCATTATTATTGCCTTTATTTATTGAGTGTATTGCACTTCATGTTCCAGGGCTTTCTGGGTGATCTCAGCCAATCTTGGGACTTTAAATACCATCTAGACACTGATGACTACCAAACTTACTTCCAGCCTAGTCTCTTCACTCACTGCAAACACGTAGCACCCCTTTGTCCTTAGATCTCTCTGCTGGGATTTCCAAGAGTCTCCTCCGCCATGTTATGTCCAAATGGGCGCTGCTCTTCCCTCAGTCTTTATAACACTGTAAGTGGCACTATGTTCTACTGGGTTGTTCTAGCCTCCAAACAAGGGTCATTTTTAATCTCTCCCTCATCCAGAGGCTCTGAAATGGAGCCATGTGGTAGCCAGATAGCTTCATAGGAAGCACAGGATGCTGTGTTTTCATGTGGTGACACAGGGGTGGTCAAACTGCCCTTCCCTCCACCTCTGTTACTTGCACCTGCTCTTGCTCCCCTGTAGAGGGGATACTTTTTTGCTGTAAATTTCTTGACTTTCTGGTCCTACCTCTTTGTTTTCCCTCTGGTACATTCTGTTTGTTCTGAGCCTCACCTGATGTCTGAGAATAAGGGACAACCTCTCACAACAAATTGACAAGGGATGCCTGTGTTCCGGGTAACTGTTTTGCCTCTCCAGGAGGAAGCTGATACTGTGTCTGCTTAGGGGTCTCCAGGATATCTCATAGAGCACAGCCTCAGCGTGGTTAACCCGGACTCTTGTAAGCACATTTGAAAGATAATTCCCATTCGAGGGAGAGGCCCTTTGTGAGCAGTCTTAATTCTCTTTCCCATTGCCTCTTCTATTTCTTATAATTTGGATCTAGTACAATTAATCAGACTGTAAAGGAGTCCAGGAACATTAAGCAGAATTTGCCATTTTCATGCAAAGCTGAAAGACATGGCTATTTCACATGTAGTGATTAGACATTTTTATAGCCAACCTGTCACATTACACATCACAGATTTCCAATAAATAAAGCAAAGCTAGAATGGGGGCTGCCAGTTGTATGACAATCCAACTAACAATATCGTGGACAGAACAGTGCTTTCTTGACATCCAATTTACTCAATTACATGAGTGATCATGTCACTCCCTGCTTAAGCTCCTTCAATGTCTTTCCATAAATTATAATGAAGGGTGAATACCTTAGTACTTCCCCCTCCCCACATCATGCACTTATCACAGAGCACTGTAAGAGAATATTCTTGTATGCCTCCCCTACCAGACTGGGCACTCCACGAGGCAGGGAATACACCTTATTTTTCCCGGTATCCCTTGTCTAGTACGGAGCCTGGCATCCCAAGAAAACCCAGCAGAGGTTTGCTAAATGAATGAATGACTGAATGATCAATTTGAGATACTGTAGACAGGGACGGGGATGGACCGGGGAATATCTCATGGACCAGACATGGCTCATGTTTTAGCCACAATTCACACAGTGACATTTCTAGATGTTTGATACATCACCTGAAATTTTCTATCTCAGCATAGACTCTTAAACTAGAGCCATTAAATTAGAATTATGCCATTTTAACTACCCGTGCTGTGACAGAGATTGAGAGATCATGCACAAGAGAGAAAAAGGAAGGAGGGAGGGAAGAGAGCAAGAGCGAGAGGTTATGACAGCAGGCTTCAGAGTGAGTAGGGGCAGGCAGTGATTCCTCTGTGTTCTGATTCCCTTGTGCTTGTGGCCTGAACATCTTGCTGCTCTGAGTGCTATTAAGGATTTGTAATTTAGACTGGGCTTAGAACTGAATTCACCCCACCCATTCCCCAAGTAAGAGAAAACTCTTCTAGTGTGTATCTGACAAATTTATATGACCTAGATGGTTTGGGGATTCCTGCTGGATTTATCAGCATTCTAATAGCTGACAACTGTAATTGTCTTTTTACCTAGTCTGCATCTCTGCAGTAATAGTGTATATATTTATTGGGGAAATATGGCTGCGGGGACTTGTTACACGCTGTTGTTAATTTACAAGGTTCTTCTTTG
This sequence comes from Homo sapiens, assembly GCF_000001405.40. NCBI lineage: Eukaryota > Metazoa > Chordata > Mammalia > Primates > Hominidae > Homo > Homo sapiens. Next base: position 134,873,580 of record NC_000003.12, read on the forward strand.
AGCTGTCTGTCATGCACCGAGTTGATGGTCTTCTCCTTAGTTTGATTTAACTCCAAACCCTGCTTGCTGCCCTTCTAGAGAAGCAGGGTTTGCACGGTAGTGCCATGGGCCAGAGGGCCCTGGCCACGCATCTGTGTTAGCAGGTGGGGTCAGATGGCATGTCCTGTGATGATGTTAAGAAGGGAAGTTGGTATGAGGTTTAGGGCAATGGAGGGGTCTCCAGTGTGGGTTGGAGAACAAAAAATAAATGTGAACAAGACGTGATCTCTCTTCTACTCAACTTCAGGTTCTAGTTTTGGTGGAGTAATCCTATTGTGAGGTCATGGGGCAGTAGTTTGTCACTCAGGTTAGCAAGGAGAGACTGAGAAAGGAGAATGGGGAATTCTCCTCTCCACAAAAATGTTGACATAAGCAGAAATTCAGCTGCTTCCTTGGGTTGGTTCTTGGTGGAAACTTAAACATCAGCAGAGCTGGACAGACTGTGTTCACCAGGGTGGCTGAGTGGGCCTGTGGCCACAAGATGATCACAGAAGCAAACAGACAGAACTTTGGATATTCTTTAATGTAATCTCAAAATTTGGGTTTTTTGTGGAATACTATGCAGCCATAAAAAGGAATGAGATCATGTCCTTTGTAGGGACATGGATGAAGCTGAAAGCCAACATCCTTAGCAAACTAACACAGGAACAGAAAGCCGAACACCGCATGTTCTCACTCATAAGTGGGAGTTGAACATTGAGAACACATGGACACAGAGAGGGTAAAACAAACACCGGGGCCTATTGGGGGGTGGAGGGTGAGGGGAGAGAACTTAGAGGATGGGTCAATAGGTGCAGCAAACCACCATGACACACGTATACTGCAAACCTGCATGATGTGCACATGTATCCCCCCTTTTTTAAATAGAAGAAATAAAGGAAAACAAATTTTGGGTTTTGAAGTAAAATATTCACTTGAAATATCGGCAACAGATTCTAAAAACATTACCCACTGCACTGCCATCCCCCAACCCCCTCAAGGTCTGTGAGCAGCATTGGGATGGTGGGTCCTTTGGCTCCTGGAGGCAGCAGGCTGGCCTGGATGACCGGCAAGACTCCTGCATTGACAACCTCGTGGGTGGGCAGTGACTCTCCACTTCTCACCAGAAAGCACAGAGATCACTCCTAATGGGGAGACATGTGCCTCTTTCTTCTTGAGGATTGTCAGGAGGAGCATTCCCAATGTGTGGGCTGTGTTCATGATTGTAGTTACCCGATGGGCTATTTACAGAGTGTGGGCCTCTTTCTCTGCAGTCATTGCTAAGCCCTCCCTCTGCCTTCATACCAGGCGGAGCTTGCATTGCTATCCGCCTCTCTCAAGCTCAGAGTCACTGATTCGGTTTGAGGGAGACAGTCACTTTGTTACCTTTTCCCATGGTTGTCTGATTTGGGTAGCCAGTGCGTAAGGCTTTTGCATCACTTCCGGGGTACTTTCTAGAGCTCAGTCCTGGCATACTTAGGAACTCATCTCTGAAGGAACTGGCCTCTTATGGTGCTTGCTGGCACCCTGACAGAATCTCCAGGGGTGGAGGGCCCTGACTTGTTGTGCACGGCAAGGAAGCCCAGCAGCTCAGCTCAGAGTCCAGGCATGTGGCTGTGCTGGTTGGAGAGAAGCCAAGTGTTGTCCCTGATCTCTTTCTATTTGAATCAGCCAGAAACAACTGACCTGCCCACCTGGTGTCTCACCAGGGCTTTGTGTTGGCGGACAGAGGGGAGCAGAAGGCCAGCTGGGAGGGAGAGATTGGGCAGATGGAGGCACTACCGGCAATGGAGACGGGCATGTGGGCAGTATGAGAGGTCTCAGTCCCTGTGTCCCCTGTGGAAGGCAGGAGCACTTATGGAACTGCAGGGAGTGAGGAGCGGTTGATGGCCTTTAGAAGCCCCCAGGGAAACCCGGATGGCATGATACTGTAGAACTGTTCTGCCCCAAGCCTCCACATTAATGGTGCCATGGTCGCAGGCAAGTTCCTCAGTACTTCTGAACTTTAGTTTCCACATCGCTAAAATGTGGATAATAACTACCTCTCAAGGTGGTGATGAGCTAATGTTTTTGAGCGGGCTGGAAACACCATAGATCGCTGTACCTAAGTGAGATGATTATTGTGTTTACCTATTTTTATTCCATTTCTCAAGTACTTATTTTCCTTCCAAGTCTTTAAAGCAAAAATTTTAAAGACATCCCAAATAGAATAGGTCAGGGAAGTGGCCACAGGGCCTCTTTTGAGCCTTGTCATCTCCTCCACCCCCTCAGTAGCCTCCCAGCATCCCACCTGACATCCCGTGAGCCAGCCTCCACTCAGCTGCCAGAGGGAGCTTTCTAAACTGCACACTTGGTCTTGTCATCATGCTGCTTTGCAACTTTCAATTCATAATTCAGCTTTCGCATGGGAAATATGCACTGAGTCGTGTGCTAGGTAGGGAGCTTGTAATGAGAAGATGATGGGGCATAGTCCCATCCTCCAGCATGTGGTCTAGGGCTCCTCAGTCCCTGTGGGATAAGTGTCATGACTCCCATGTCCCCTGCCCACTTCCCCAGCCTTATCCTTCTCCACCCCTTCCTCACCCACATCTAGGTTAAACTCACCAGTGATGATTGGATAGTGTGCTGTTCTCCAACCATGTTCAGGCTGATGCTGGCCTCCCCATCTTTACCTGCACATCTCCAAGATGTCCTTTCTTCCTCCTTCATCCCTGTTCATTTGTCAGTTTCTTGCCCAGCCTGTAGGGCTCAGCCTCTGTAGAGTTGCAAGTGATGGAAATTCAACTCAAAACAGCTTAAAGGAAAAGGAAATTTATTGCTTCACAAAGCTGAAAAAAATACATACTTTCTGACACTGCTGGATCCAAGTGCTCAGGCAACACGAGGGCCTGGACTCTCCCCTCCCTTGGCTCTGCTCTCTTCTCAGTAAGGTTCATGCTTAGGCAGGCCCCTAAGGCAGTGGCAAAGACAGCCACCCAGATGTTCAGATTTGAAATGGAGACAGTACATGTCTTCATAGTGCCAGCAAAAGGCTGCAGGGAGAGGCTCAGTAGGCTGGTTTGGGTCATGTGGCTAATGGTTATGGCTGGGGTGATAGGTGAGGATGGCGCCAAGTGTTTGGGGTAGGTTGGGGAGGGTATGAGCCTCACTGAGTCACGTGGACTGAAAGTGGGAGAGAGTATACTACCAGAGTAGAATCAGGCACTCCTCCTAAAGAAAGGGGCTGTCAATCCAGGGCTGGCAAACACATTTGGTTCTAGCAAACCTTCTTTGACTGCTCCCACCTTCCCCAAGAGGTCTGCATGCTTCCCACATGCCTTGGTGCTGTAGGAATGAATTCCCAGTGGAATGAATTTTTCCTCATGCACATGTGTTACATTGAGCTCTGAATCCTACCACACGCCCCAGGTCCTACACCCCATGGGGCCTTGGTACCTGTAAGCCCACTGAGTGCATGCCCAGTCTTAGACTCATGCATAAATAGAGCCATGCTGAGCAGAGTCTGGAGTTAGATGGCAGACCTGGGGTCATGGTCCTGGCAATAGGCGTAGACCCTTGATGAACACACTGGTCCAAATCCTGTGGGTCCTGGGATCTAGGAAGATCCACCATTCAGGGTCACTCCTTTGTGGGCCAAGAAAGTCATGTCACAGACAGGACACCTGGAGAGCCTTAGCTTCAGATGGTAATGCAGTGCAGCAAGGATAGCAATCCAATAGCACAATATTGTAGGCGCTGGGCCCTTCCCTGTTATTTTGGGAAGGAAGACAGTCAACCCTGTTGCTAAGCCCCCTGACCCCCACAGCAGGGTCAGCCCTGAAGCTCTATCTCTTTGTTTTTGAACACCTGTCCTTCTTTTCCTATGACCCTCAGGCCTCCATATTCAACCAGTTGCTGCTGGGTGGTTTGCTGAACATACCCATGACACCAACTTTCCCAAAGACACTAATTCCAGAAACAGGGTCACCATCGGTCAGGAGATAAGCCACAAGAAAATTGTTACTGACAACAAAGAAACTAGGTTTGTGAATAATTTACTTCTCTTATAAATGGTAAGGGTTCAAAGTTGTTCCCTATAACACCTTCCCCCTCTCACTGCATGTGCTTTCCTGGTTGGGAAAGAAGAGGGTGTTTCTGCTATAGAAAGCTGGGGGCTGTGTGTTACCTGCAGCCTGTCATACCCGTGGTTTCGGCCCCATAACCTGGAGGGCCTGGGGATGCTGTGCCAGGCTTGTCAGTGTCACCCCAAGGCAGTGAGTCAGGCCAGATCCACTCTCTAGACCTTCAGCAAGAGGAGTCCTCTTCCACTGAGCTCCCAGAGCCTCCAGTGCTATCTGGCTGGCTTCCAGGTGAAGTCGGAGTGAATCCCACACAGTCCCTGGGAGCGGTGGCTGAGGGAAGGGTGGCTCCTCCTGCTCTGCCTCCTGGCCTGGGCTCTCTCTGCATGGAGATTACCCCAGCCTTCCCCCGGAGGGCAGGCACTGAGTGTGACAGGTTTTCCAACCCCAGCTGAGGACGGCCTTGGGTGCTGAGGCTGGAACTTCCTGGGAGAATCTTCTGGCCCCATCTCTATGGAGCCTTCTGAGGGATATTTGTATGTTATGAATTAAGAACAAGTTTTAGGCTCTTCTTTAAGCAATTTCTTAAGAAAATGGCTCAGGTGAAATATAGCTATTCTGAATAATTCATTTTCTTTATTCCAAACTTAAATTTACTCTACTCTTAATGGAGAATTAGCCAGATGTGGGGCAGGGATATTTGGCAGCTCATATTAACATTATCAAAGAACAAAAATGGCTGGAAACCCTTTGAATTAGAAACCCTACTGACTATTGATAGAGGAGACTGGCTGAAGAGGTCGACATCGTCATCCCCTGCTAGAGAGAAGATAGCTCCTCTCCTAAGGTTGGATGAGTCCTCAGTGCTGAGGACTGGGCTCCTGGGGACAGAGCTGTCTCTGCTATGGCTTCCTTGGCTTCCAGGGAGCTGATGGAAAGGGAAGATTTGGCCTCTTTGTGACAACTGTGATTATAGAGATAGACAATTTTATCAATCAGGAGTCTAGATGCTTAGAACTGGGAGGGACTTTTGGTGCCATACAGCCCAGTGTTTTCTGAACTTCTGTTCACACACCAACCACCCTGATGAATTTTTGCCATATGGGTTTATTGTCTGTACCATTATTGATTCACTTTTTTAAAACTTCAGTGTGTTCATTTGTAAAACAGTCACTATGGTACATGGGAAATTGGACATATGCAATGAATAGAGGACAACTTTTGATGAAAAAAATAACACTCGCTCTTACTAAAATCTAAAGCCTGCTCTCTTGTTTTTGGATAATAAGTGTTTGAGAGGTGTTAAAGACACACCATACTCCTGCCAAGACTTTCTCCGTTAAGATAATCAGAGGGATGGAAAAGGAAGTTGAAAGGGGCATGCCACTCCATGTGATCTTGTCTGGTGCACAGTAAAATCACTTTGTAAGTCACTAGTGGTGCCTGACTCCCTTCCTGCACCCAGGAAACCCTCCTCCCCTTTTGCAGGAGGCGTGACTAAGGCTCATACATGGAGTGGCATATCCAAGGTGCTCAGAGCTGGCTAGAGGCAGCACAGAATAGAGCCCAGCTCTTAGGATTCTCTAAGGAACTGAAACCATTGAATCACTGCTCAGCCTGAAAAACCAAAATCTGATCCAAATCCCAAGCCAAACCCACTTGCCAAGCACAGATCCTATCAATAAATGAAAAGAATGAAGGCCGGGCATGGTGGCTCATGCTTGTAATCCTAGCATTTTGGGAGGCCGAGGTGGGTGGATCGCTTAAGCTGAGGAGTTTGAGACTAGCCTGGGCAACATGGTGAGACCCTGTCTCTACTAAAAATACAAAAAAATAAAATAAAATAAATAAGTGGGTGTAGTGGGGTGCAACTGTGGTCCCAACTACTCAGGAGGCTGAGGTGGGAGGATCACTTGAGTCTGGGATGTGGAGGTTGCAGTGAGCCCAGATCATGCCACTGTACTCCAGCCTGGGAGACAGAGCGAGATCCTGTCTCCAAATAAATAAATAAATAGAATGGAAATTCAATGGAGGAAATTGGTCCTGGCATTAGAGCAAGGGAATCTAGTTTGGGCAAAGTTCTGGTAGAGATAAGACAGGTCTGTAGTGTTGCAGAAAGGTTTATATCAAAACCTAGCCTGATGCCATCAAAATCAGCAAAATCAAATTAAAAAAAAGTAGGGGTTGGTGAAGTCTAGTCTTAAATAAATTTCTACAAAGATAAAGAAAGTCAGAGAAATAAAATAAATGAGGCCAGAAAAAAACGATCAACATACCCTAGAGGATGTCTCAGACTTAAAGAACAAATAATAAAAACATTCTTTGAGAACCCTGGGCTCCAGTTGTTTTATTATCAATGCCAAATGCTGGAGTTCAGTGGCCTTCCCTGATGCTGCACTTTCCTCTTCTTTCTCAGCAACTGCACCTTTTGCTCAGAGGCTGGAAGAACCCTCTGGGAAGAAGCACTCTGCTTCAGTCTGAACTGGCCCAAGGGCAGCTGGTCAAACATTACCCATGGAGCAAAAGGGAGACAACAATGGTGCTATTCTCCAGCTGTTGAACAGCTGACTGGAAAGTGTGAGGATGTAATGTGACAGACCCGGGCTGCTTTGCCCTGGGAGATCTGTGGAAGAGTGTTCCTTCAAGACACTTCATAACACCTTAGGATTATAAAAAAGCTCCTGGGTCAACAAAGGGGCTTTGGTGAGGATACCTTCAGGGCTGGTTTGATGACTCCATACAGGGTACTTGCTGGGCACTTCCTATAGGAGGTAAAGACTAGTTCTGCTCTTTCCTCCTTTGTCCATTCCTCTTGTCACTGGCCTGAAATCAGGGCAGGCACTCTGTGGCAGCTGCCTGTTGTCATCCTAACAAGGAGTCCCTTCATGGAGACTGCTGTAGCCCCCCGACACAGCCAAGAGATGACCCCAACCACTTCCAAGGGTGTGGCATTGAGGGCCCATCACCAGAGGCCACAAGGCCAGACAGCTGGGCTCATACCACTGCTCAGCCAAGATTCATGTTGTTGGACCACCCTCTGAGCACCCAGCCAATGCTTGGGCAGAGCGGTAGATGAGCATCTGGGCCTTAGAGCCAAGCTGTGAGGCTGAGGGCCTGCGGCCCTTCCAGGCACACTCAGAACTGATGAGAATCCCAAGTGTGTCTTCACACGCAGATTAGGCAGCCAGGAATTGGGTTTCTGGGTCTTCCTTTTAAGAGGGATGGAATATTATCGCTTTATCTGTGAGAGGAAGAGATGATGTGAGAATTACATGGCCAAGGGTTCTGGGAGTTGGGATGCAGTTAAAGTGAATAAAATTGTTTCTCACTGGAGCGGCACCATTTCCACACTCACCTTGGCAGATCAAGGATAGTAGAGGGGACTTGGTCAAAAAAGTCTGAGCACTCTGTTCTAGTGGGGGATTTGGGGTAGCCAAATCCCCCACTAGATGTGGGAGTTGTGCTAGTTGTGGGAGATGTGCTAGTTGTGGGAGGATCTTTTGTTAGCGATGGCCCAGAGCCCTTGTATGCTGTTTCCAAAGCAGGAAACAGCATCTCCTGGGAGGCAGAGGCTCCAAAGGCTCTGTGGGAAGTGTAGGTGTGTGTTTCATGTGTGGATGGGTATGCTGGGGTGTAACATATATGTTGCAGTATGTTGTATGTAGATGTGTGCTTGGCAGGACAAGACATGCAGGTATGTGCAAGCAGATGGAGGCATGGAATTGTCAGAAAGGAGAACCCGAGAAGCAGAGCAAAATGCAGACCCCAGGCTGACTTGAGCGAAGGTGCCTTAGCTGGTGCTGGATAAGAGAAACCTCCATTCTAAAGCCGCCTCACCTGGGGCCCCACCTGCTGTCTCAGACTGATGCAGCTATTGGAAAGACCTACTAGTGGAGACTGATGGATAAACAGCTGTAGAGCTGGGTTGAAAGGGGTGCTATTCTGAAAGGATCTCTCTTTAAAACAGGCAAGACTTACAAGAGAAAGAGGCCTGACAAAGGGGTGCTAATCGGTTTATGGCCTTCAGCAGACATCCACTTTAGAGTGATAAATAAATGAATAATTGAAAGGGAGGAAGAACCTCTTAGACTACATCAGTCCCTTAACACAGGCATGGATCTTATTTTTAATCCCCAGAATTCTGACTTTTTAAAAAGAACTTGGCTTGGCAGGCAGTAGAAGAAAATGTGTGAGTGACTGCCATGACATCTGACCATGGTTTCATGCAGTTTCCATCAAAGATGACTGAGCAAATGGAAATAAGGGTTCACAGAGGGTTAATAAAGCTTTATTGCAAAAAACAAACAAAAAATTCATGGAATGAAATGATAATGGGAGCTGTCCAACAATATTATTTGGGATGCATCCAAGACTGTAATCAGAGGCAAGCTAATTCAGTACTAATTTCAGGAAAAAAGATGGGGAAAAAATTGATAATTAGAAAAGAAAATGGAAACACTAGAGGAATCATATACACATAAATTAGGTCCCAAAATACTGGCGCAATTAATCATAGCCAGGGGTGAATCAAGCCTCATCCTATCAGGAAGAACTGAATATTTCATAAGGTAGACAAAAGAGGAATGAACTGAGAGGAATATAACCAGCCATAACTAAAAGAAAAACTTGTCAGAAATTAACAACCAAAATGTGAGAGAGAAATAACATCTTCGTTAACCAGTGGGGATGAAAAATGGACTCAGAAAATACAACAAATGCTCATATTCCTCAAAGCCCCATCTTCTTCTATTGAAATTACAGCCATAACTTTCAAAAATCTTTTTATCTTTTCTCTCAGGACCAGAATGATTCATTGTATATAAAAAAGAAAAGAGAACAGAGGAAATAATTAAAGCTATAAAAAATTCCCAATTATGAAGCATCAGCGTCCAGATGGCCATAACACTGTTTAACCATGAGGAATCAACTTGTGGGTAGGGGGAGTCTGCTCTGAAATGATAGACTTCGAGACCTGAACATGTCTTTCTCTTGCAATCTTTCTCTCCTTCCTTCCTTCCTTCCTTCTTTCCTTCTTCTTTCCTTCTTTCCTTCCTTCCTTCTTTCCTTCTTCTTTCCTTCTTTCCTTCTTTCTTCCTTTCTTCCTTCCTTCCTTTCTTTCTTTCTTTCTTTCTTTCTTTCTTTCTTTCTTTCTTTCTTTCTTTCTTTCTTTTCTTTCTTTCTTTCTTTTCTTTCTCTCTTGACTGTCACCCAGGCTAGAGTGCAGTGGCATGATCTCAGCTCACTGCAACCTCTGCCTCTTGAGTTCAAGCGATTCTCCTGCCTCAGCCTCCCGAATAGCTGGCACTACAGGTGCGTGCCACCATGTCTGGCTAATTTTTTGTATTTTTACTAGAGATGGGGTTTCACCGTGTTAGCCAGGATGGTCTCGATCTCCTGACCTTGTGATCCGCCTGTCTTGGCCTCCCAAAGCACTGGGATTACAGGCGTGAGCCACCATGCCCAGCTTTGCAATTAAGCTTTCTTAGGATTGAATGGGAATATGAAAGGTCCCTTGCTTTGCTAATTCCAACATGTTGGCACTCCACTTTGAAGAAGGCAAAAGAAACCATTGTCTGTTTAGAGAAGCAGAAACTGGAAACATATCCAAACATAACATGAAGAAATGAGGACAGTCTGAGACAAAAGATCCACAGGCAGACATGAGTGGCCATAAGGAAGAGGAGCCCCTCATGCAGAGTTTATACCAAGTCCCTGATTTGAACCCAGGCTGACCAAAAATTAAATGTCCTGCCATGGAGGGTGGTGAGCATTCCGTCCCACACAGAGATGGCACAGTCTCTTGGCAGAAACCTTGGGGAAGATTCGAGAACTGGATTCAAAGGTCCTATTTAATCCTTGTGTTTTAAAATTCTAAGAATGCAAGCCTGACCAAATTTAAAGCCTCCCAGAAAGTTTAAGTGATTTAAGTTGTGTTTTTTTGAAGGAAGAGAGGGTTCCTGGGCTAGGTTTTAACAAGTGGCCCTCAAGGTATGAGCCCTGAATTAGCCATCAGAAAATAAAGTACACTGCTTCATTCAGAATGTATCCGGGTAAACAAGGGGATCACTTCTGTTCTGAGATTAGACCTTCCTGAGTAACCTGTGGTTATCATGGAGGCTCTGTAGCAGTTCCCAGTGAGGCCGGAGACTCAGAGGGCAGATACTGCCCTGCCTTAGAGGCAAGAGGTGGGTGAGTGGTCAGGGTGAGCACTCTTAGGTACCTTCTTGGTGCTGGGCATTGTACTAAATTCACTTCATGCATCATCTCATCATAACTCTGTGAATCATGATCCATTTCCCCCAGTTTAGGAGGTGAAGAAATGCAGCCACCATGAATTTAAATGACATAAGCCAGGCCACACCAAGGTGGCAAGCGGGATGGTATTTGAACCCAGGTCCATCCGTGCTAGAGCTGTGTGCCCTGCCCCATGCCACCACCCATTCTGGCCTCCATCCCTCAGCCCCTGTGACTATAGTCAGACTTCCAAGCCAGTGATGTCAAAATGTCCAAGCAGCACTCCAGTGTGAGTCACCACTGGCTGAGTCCCATGTGCTAAGGCTGGGGGAAAGCTGAGGTACCACCTTGGAGCATGTTCAGAGAGCAGGGATGGTGTGGAGAGGCCGGGAATTTGAATGCTTCTTGTTGGGTAATGTACTGCTGGAAGAATTCTGGGCATGAGTGATCATAATTCTATTACTTTATTAAGCCTCAAAGAAGCCTTTTTGTATGCATATGCTTATTATAAATAAATGAGTACAACTTTCTTTTAACTCTGAAAGTATCTGCTTGAAGCCAAAGCTGCTCAGATGCCATTCCTGGGGATTGAGAAATTCGTTTGATCAGAAGGTGGTCTATTTTTGCTAGAGAATATGGTGGCTTATAATTAGTTGGGATTCAAAGACTTAATGAGCATCAGACACATTTCTGTTAGTTAAGTAAAATATCAAAAATTGGCATAAATAAGCAACAGGATAAAATTTAATAATACTCTTTCCTTTGAAAAGACTTGAATGACCCAGACCACATTTCCTTTGGTTATTCTGAATCCTTGCATTTTAAGAGAACAAGGTATGGGGCACGGTGGAATACTGGTGTCTGTTTCCTCTGTTATGTGGATTGAGCTGTGCTGCTGTGTGTGGGCACAAGGGAGGCACCAAACTGATGAACCACAATTGAGCAATCTACCTATTTAAACCTGATCTTAGGACCTACAGTCAGTCAATCAGCAAGCATTTATTGAGTGTGTATGTACATACAGGCATGCTGGAGTTGACAGTGCCTGAGCGGAAACATGGAGTGGATGTAATGACTCCTTTACTGCAGGTCTTAAAGGGTGATTTTGTTTGGAATTCCCCAAGTCATTGTAGTAAAGTGTTTTGGATTCTAATGGTGCAAAGAATTTCTTCTGCTTTTCAAAAAGTTAGAAGAAAGCATAAGCCATGGTAAGGAGAGACAGCAGATATTTTTAAAAGGTCCAAATAGAACATCTAGAGATGAGCATCTGAGATGAGAAATGTACTGGATGGGATTGATGGAAGATGAGGCATTGCAGGAGAAAGGATTAGTGAACTTGAAGACATCACAATAGAAACAATCCAAAATGAGACACAGAAAGATAAAAGGTTGAAGAATAATGAACAGAGCATCAGTGAACTGTTGACATTAAACAACGACAACAAAATAGTATGTGTATAATGTTAGGAAACGCAAAACAGTAGACACCACTGCAGAATGAAAAGCGATGAATGGCCTCTCTCCCTAGTCTTCACCCCCATTCTTTCCCCAGTGATTATCATTGTTCCCAGTGCCTTGCAGTTCCTTGCAGGAAACTAAATATGCCAACGTCCATGTATTTGAGAGGCAGTCCACCCCAGGTTTGAGGAGAGTTGACCAAGAGGCAACAGTCAGATAGTTTTCTCCAGTTCTGTAGCTGTATAACTCCCTAAACCAATTTCCTTCTATAGCATCCAAGGAGTTTTGTGGAACATAATTGTGAGAAGAAAGGGCTCCATAGCGGAGAACATTTGGAAAACTTCTGGGTCAACAGAACCCAGGGGGCTTAGTTACTGTTGTCTAGGCAGAGCTCCGGACTCTGGTGGAGGAGAGAACAAGCAGTACTTCCCAACCTTCTTTGACCAAGGAACCCCTTCAAGGAAGGCTATGCCCTCTCATGACAGACTTTTGGAGAATGAGTGGCATCTACAGTGTGGTGCGTGTGAGCCTGAAGATGGGCAGCATGAGAGAGAGCACAGGTGCCCAGACCAGTTGAGAGCTGGCCAACAAAGAACCCAGACTGAGCAGTGTTGGAGGCTAAATCCACATACCAAGTGATGCCTCATGGAGCTGAGCATCGGTTTAAGAGTTGGTTAATTAAAAACAAAAAGTTTCCTTGGGGGAAGGTGGTGACTCAGCAGCAGTTAAAGTTAGTTACAGAAAAAGGAAAGGTGAAGTGTAAAGAGGCAGGCTCTGCCCCTTGTGGTCAGCAGAAGCAGGAGGATGTGGGGGCCCATTTCCACAAGTGTGACAGTAGCAAGAACAGAAGGCATGCTTGTTACCTGTGTGGTCCTGTTCACGTGTCTTATGTTTTCTGAGCCCCAGCACCATCATCTGCCCCAAGGGGATTATAACCTGTTACTAATATCTTTTGAACACTTACTCTGGCCAGTCATTCTCTACGTGCTTGACAGGAAGTAACTGATTTCTTCTTACAACAAACCCAGAAGTATGCTTTTTGAGAAAACTGAGAGACACAGAGAGGTTAAGTCATTTAGCCAAGGTCACCCAGCTTATAAATGGCAGTGATGAGAATCAAATTCGGAGATTATTTTCTGCCATACCCATCTGGGATGTTGCAAAGGTGAAAAAAACAAACACGGATCTATCGGATCTATGGCACAGATAAAGTGATCCCTAAAATGTTAGGGCTTTCCTTCCTGTAAATAATAATTTTATGGAACACTTAATGAAGGTATTACTTGAATAAATATTTTACAGCTCTAATAGCATGTAATATTTCTTGAGTACTCACTATGTGCTGGGAAGTGTGCAAACCTTTTGCATGTTTTATCCTAAGCTCACAGCAACCCTAGGTTGGCACATTAATTATCCTGTTTTTTTTTTAAATAGGTGAGGAAATTCAGGCAGAGGGTGAGTTTGAGTTTCGTATCCAAAGTCACACAATTAGTGACTGATGGAGCTGAGGAGGCATCATGATTTCTGTCAAAGACCAGAGACTGTTACAAATTGATTAAAATTCTGAATCACACATCTTCCCAAAGAGTGAATTCATCTGGGAGGAAATAGGGAAATAGGAAAAAAAATTGGAGATATATAATCATGGAGCAACAGATATGGGGCAGTGGTTCTCCATTGCTGGGCAACACATCATCTGCAGAATTAGTGGCTTAAAACAATAACAGTTTATTCCTCATTATTCTGTGGGTTGGCCAGGTCGTTTCTCTTCTGGTTTTACTTGGCCCACTCCTGTAGCTGCATTTAGTTGTAGGGTTGGGAGCTCCAAACTGGTCTCACTCTCAGGTCTGGCAGTTGGCGCTGGCTGTTGGCTGGGGCCTGCGTTCTCCTCATGTGATCATCATCTTCTAGTAGACTCCACTGGACTTCTTCATAGCATGATGAGCTCAGGGTCCAAGAAGACAAGACTGGAAGCTGTCAGGTCTCGTAAGCTCCCAAATTCACATATCACTTTCACATATGCTATTGGTCAAAGCAAGTCACAAGGACAGCCTGGCTTCAGGAAGATGGAGAAATATCATTTTTGGAGGGAAGAATTGGGAAAGTCACATTACTAAGACACATAGACATTGGGAGCCATTATTATAACCATCTACCATGATAGATTAGGGACAAAAGGCAGCCAGGAAGAGAATGGTATTTGCATAGAAAGAACAGGAAGTATTTGTTTCCATTTATATCTTTTGATACTAACTCAAAGGATACCAAAACACCTCATTATAAATCTGAATAATGAAAAAGAGTTGTTTGGGGAGTGATGATAAAGGAAACTCAAGCTTTTGTTGTTTTATCACTGTAGGATGATTCATTTTATAAGTTAAGAAAAAGTTGAAGATTAATGAGACCATATCCATGAAGTATTTAGAGCTCCTTGTAAGGAGAGAACTACATCAATATTAGAGTAATCATCAAACAGCTATCAAAATGTCATTTAAGAGAAGACAGGTACTATTTCCCACTTGGAGGAATTATCTTCTGATTTTCAGGGACCTTCCAGCCTGGATTTGTGTTGATTCACTTTGCCCACTTCTCTTGACAAGGAGTAGAGTGAGAGCTTTTGCAAGTTTAGCATTTACAAGTGGCTTTGTACTAGGGAAGGACTTGAGCCCCTCTTCCCAAGGAGCGAGGGGTCAGTGTGTATGGAAGGCTCTATCTCTGGTGCGGCCCCTCTCCCTGTCCTTGAAAACGGGTGGCGAGGCAAGCTGAGCAGAGGGAATCCCTTCTGAGGGTGAGGAAGGACCCTTGACAAGCAGTAGCTGCCCTTTCATCACAGGGGCAGCCAGCCAGAGCACTGGGGGTCTTCCTTGACTGAGTCGGACTTGGGGAAATGCACATTTTACTGGAATTGAAACCCACACAGATCTCAGTTCTACACTTACCTGGAAGGTCTCTTCTGTGAGCTCCAAGCCATGAGGGAGGGGGATTCCTGTAGGGCAGCTGAGGACCTGCGGTGAAAGCTGTTTTGTGATCTGATGTGGCCTATATCCCTAGTCCCTTCAAGAGAAACATGCCTTTTTCTGGGCCGGGTGTGGTGGCTCACGCCTGTAATCCCAGCACTTTGGGAGGCAGAGGCGGGCACATCACAAGGTCAGGAGATCGAGACCATCCTGGCCAACATAGTGAAACCTCAACTCTACTAAAAATACAAAAATTAGCTGGGTGTGGTGGCATGTGCCTGTAAGCCCAGCTACTGGGGAGGCTGAGGCAGGAGAATCGCTTGAACTAGGGAGTTGGAGATTGCAGTGAGCCGTGATCACGCCACTGCACTCCAGCCTGGCGACAGAGTGAGACTCCATCTCAAAAAAAAAAAAAAAAAGAAAGATAGCTTTTCTTCCTGAAAATCATAAGGCATATCTTCCCAGAGGGCCAGTGTAATTTACATATCCATTAAATATTTGAGTGGCACCATGTGCTGGGCACTGTTCTGGGAATGGAGGCTCAGCCATGGGCAAGGTGGACACAATCTCTGCTCTCCTGGAGCTTCAAAGAGTGCTCTGGAAGGGGAGGGGGGCCCTGCAAAAGTTCTGAGCCTGGAGGAGTTTGGCAGATTCCAGTAGCAGAGGGATGGTAAGTTAGTAGGGACTGAGGACTCAGAGGTGGGCTGAAGTAGACCCATTAGCAGCCACTCATAGGTGCTGGGAAGAAATTTAGATTTTCTGCTCAGTGCGATGGAAGCTGTTAAAGAGTTTGAGGGTGAGCAGATATGATTCACATGTTTAAAAGGTCCTTCTAAGCTGTTGGGAAGGGAGGCAAGAGAATAATCTGGTAGTGAAGACACTTTTGGGTGAAGATAAGGCGGGAAGGAAGAGATGCAGGAGGCTCAGCTTGGTGAGATGGTGGCCTGGGCTAGGGTGATTACAAACCAAGAAAGTATCTCTTTTTTTTTTAGTAGATTGCAAATTCTGCACTCATTTCAACAGCATCACTAGAGTCTTCAAAGAAACTTGACCCTCATGATGGGCCACTTTGGGCTGTGGCTCCAGCCCCCAAGTCCTGCCACCTTATGGTAAGGGAGACGAGGTGAAGACTGACAAGCACTGTTGTGCAGAAACTATTGTGTTAGGACAAGTAGATATCCCTCTGGAAAAAGAAATAATGGGGGTATTTCTAAACTGTATATTTTATTCCATTAATCAGTCTCTTTTTATACCACTACCACATTGTTTATACTAGCTATGGCATGATAATATGTTTTAATATCTGCTAAGACTATTTGCCTCTTACAGCTCTTTTTTTTGAAAGTTTTCCTGGTTATTCTTGCCTATTTATTCATTTATTTATTTATTTTGAGACAGAGTCTCACTCTGTTGCCCAGGCTGGTGTGCACTGGCGCGATCTCCGCTTGCTGCAAGCGCCGCCTTCCGGGTTCATGCCATTCTCCTTCCTCAGCCCCCCGAGAAGCTGGGACTACCGGTGCCCGCCACCACACCCGGCTAATTTTTTTGTATTTTTAGTAGAGACAGGGTTTCACCGTGTTAGCCAGGATGGTCTCAATCTCCTGACCTCGTGATCCTCCCACCTCAGCCTCCCAAAACTTATTTATTTTATATTAAAATGATTTAAAAATGTTTCAGACCTACAAAAAGTATATGCAACACTTCAAGAAAGGAAAGAGAGATGTGTTGTAAACACCTATCTACCTACCACCCAGATTCTGAAATATCCCCAATATACTCTACAAACGCAGAGGAAGCCCCCATCCACCTCTCCTCAGTCACTACCCCCCCTTCCACCAGGGGTACCCACTGACTTTGACGTTTTGTATTTCCATGCATTTTATTCATGTTTAATGCCTGTGCATGTGAACCTAAGCAAAACAGCAATCCAGATGTTTATAAATTTTATATAAATGGTATTATGTGATATATGCTTTTTTCTGAATCATGTCCCCTTTCTTCTCCACTAAATAATATGTTTGAGAGATCCATCCATGTTGAGACAAGTTGCTCTAGTCCATTACTGCCAAAGCTTTATGGTATTTTGTTGTATGGAAATACCTCAATTTATTAATTTTCCTCTAGATGGGCATTTCCTGTTGAAAATTGATGTATGCAGTTTTTCACACTAACACTCTTGCATGTACCTCCTTTGTACATTTCTGAGAATTTCTCTTGGCTGTCTTGGGCATATTGCTGGGAATGGAATTGCTTGTTCATGGGATATGTACTTGTTCAGCTCTCCTATATAGAGCCAGACTGTTCTTTGGAGTAAGTGCACTTGTTTGTTTTTGTTTGAGCTTTAAAATTAGCTTGACTATTCCCTAATGAATGTATAAATAAATAACACTTTCATTGGGTTAAGTTTATGGATTAATTCAGGAAGAAATAAAATCTTTATGATGTTTAGAATTCTTAACCAAAAACATGGACCTTATCTTTTTTCTTCTTAAGTATATTTTCAAGTATTTTGTCTCTTTTGTTGCTATTATAAGTGGGGTTTTTCTCTTTCAATTTATCTTGTTTGTAATGATAAAAACCATTGCTTTCTATATATGACTTTAATAGCCTGCCTTTTTACCACCTAAGACAGATTGCCAGTTAATTGTCTTGGCTTTGTCACATGTATGATCATATTACCTACTAATGTTGACCATGCTTTCCTCCTTTCCAATTTATACATCTAATATCCTAGGCTAATTGTTTGCCTACTGTTCCCACAACAATGCTAAACAATCATAGTAAATGTGACATTTTAATCTTGTTCTTATATTTTTTTTAAGACAGGGTCTTACTGCGTCACCCAGGCGGGAGTGCAATGACATGATCTTGGCCTACTGCAACTTGCACCTGCCTCCTAGGCTCAAGCAATCCTCCTACCTCAGTCTCCAGAGTAGCTGAGACTATAGGCATGCGCCACCATGCCCAGCTAATTTTTGTATTTTTTGTAGAGACAGGGTTTCACTATGTTGCCCAGTCTCGTCTTGAACTCCTGAGCTCAAGTGATCCACCTGCCTTGGCCTCCCAAAGTGCTGGGATTACAGGTGTGAGCCATTGCCCCTGGCCTATTCCTAATTTTTCCAGGAAAATTTCTGATGTTTTTCATTAAGCATTTTGAGTTTGAAGAAGATATATTTCACCAAAATAGAAAGTATCCATGTACTATTATTTTATTGTGAGTTTTAAAAAAATCAAGAATGGGTGTTAAATACTATTAGTTGCCTTTTTGATGTTCATTGAGACACCTGGATAATATTTTGAATTTATTAATATGGTTAATTATATAATAGATTCTCTATTGTCAAACCATCCTTGCCTTATAATAAATTTTACTTTGTCCTTCAGTGTTTTGTTAGATTCTCCACCAATAACTTACTTAGGACATTTGCATTGATATTCATAAGCAAGATGGATCCAAAGGTCTGTTTGAGGGTTGGGAAACTGTGTATGAAGCATCCTGGTAGGATCTGGGTGTTAGAGCCCTCCTTACAGCTTCAGCATTTACAGTAGGAACCAGTTTTCTTCTCTATAGTTCCGTCACACTATGCCATGTTAGATAGGAGGGAGTTTACTCAGATTCCTTGGGAATGACCATAGACTGCAGCCTCCTACTGTAGCTCATATCATTCTCTCTTTAGCCAGGCTTCTGTTCTTATAAGTGAGTTTTGGAGAACTGTGATGTAACTGTCTCAGCAGATCCTCTCCAAACTTTTGCTACTCCCATAGAAGTACTTTGCAGTTTTAAAGCAGGTTCTTTTTCAGAGTTGAATTTATAAAGGAGCTACTTGGATGTGAGAATGTACTTTTCCACAGAAAGGATGTTCTAAGTGGTAGTTGAGCTGCTTCCTCAACATGGCCTTGGAGCCTATTTATTGCTTAATGTCCTTGCCAGGGGTGTGGGCATGACAATACCAGCCACAGCTACCCACTAGTTGTCACAGTTCTTGAGACAGGAACATGGGCTTAGTTCCATGCTTAGACCCCAGAAATCCATCTTTCCTGACTTTGGCCCGGCAAAAGGGCCTTCACCTCCAAAAGGGCAGTTGTTTCTGAGGGATTCCCAGGCTGGGATGCATACTTGCAGCAGGGGTACCAATAACAGGTTAACTCTGTCTTAAGAAGAGGTTCCCAACTCTATTTGCGTGAGAAAAGAGAACTATGAACATTTGCACAGGAGAAAGTAACTGCCCATCAATCACTCCCTAGGTGACCCCTCAGGGGAACAAAGAGCAGTTGGTGTTTAAAGTCAAGTGTTTGTAAGTTAGGGGTTTCCAGAAAATGGGATCTCTCTTGGTAGGAGTCTTTTCTTTTTCTTTTTCTTCCTGATGGACAAATTAGGCTCCATTTTTATTTCTTTTCTGACTCTAGACATCTCTGTAGGTCTCTATTCTCTGGCTTTCCCTAGGCCCTTCCTTTTTATTCTCACTTTTCCCAATTGGCCACCACTCTGCCCTCCCCTCCCTCCCTCTATCCTAACTCTTGGTGTGTAATTTGTTTGCAGTCAGGTTGTTTCTTTGATTTACGGGGCCTCTTCTCGGCAGAATTATAATAAATGGATTGCTTTGCTGAGCCCCAGCTAGTTCAACACCATTTGCTCGGACTGGGTCAAGCCCCTTGCAAACAGAGGATGCATCCTGCACAGAGGCACATGCTCACACACACGGTATCAGCCCTCTGCATCTTTCTCTAGCCAAATATAATGAAAAATCTCCTCATCCATCTGAGAACCAATTCAGTTACAAGAATGTAAGAAGAGATATCCCCAGTACGGTCCACCTCCCTGTAATATGGCCCTGGGTGCTGAT
This sequence comes from Homo sapiens, assembly GCF_000001405.40. NCBI lineage: Eukaryota > Metazoa > Chordata > Mammalia > Primates > Hominidae > Homo > Homo sapiens. Next base: position 134,893,149 of record NC_000003.12, read on the forward strand.
GGTCCCAGGGGGTGTAGACATTGTTCTGAATACAGACTTAATTAGTTGCATAATTAGCAAATGTAAGCCTATAAAACCTTTTTTGTTTGTTTGTTTGCATCTGGAATGCTCCTAAAGACTGAAAACCTAAACTATGTTAACTGAAATGAGGAATGAACAAATCTGTTCACGGGTCGCTCTGCCTGGAACACTTCAGTGGTTTCCTTTTGCTCTGAGAATAAAGTGGAAAAAACAAGCAAACAAATCATAAATCCAAACAAAGAACAACCTTAATGTGGCCTGCAAGGTCCAGCCTGCCTGATCTCCCACCCCTCTCTCCAGTGCAAGCACATACTCTCCCTCCCACACCCCCTACACTCACATGCCCACCTCAAGAGCCTTGCACTTGCTCGGAAGTGAGGGATCCCAGGGTTGCCTCAAGGGCTCTGGACTTGCCCTTGCCTCTGTCTGACAAGTCCTACCCAGTACCAGCCTCCTCGCCATCATCAGGCTCCTTCTGCTCATCCCTCTAGTCTCAGCCTTGAGGCTGATTCTTCTAGGAAATATTTTCATCCTTATGTCAAACCAGGGCCCCCATTATCTGTTCCATGCATATGCTGTCGTATTGTGTCAGCTAAGGCATTTGGGTAACTCCTTGCAGGATACCTGCCTGTCTGTCCCTCCAGACCGTAAACTGTGTGGGAGTTGGGGTCCTACCTATTATGTTCTGAATTTCATCCACAGACCTAGCAGAGTGCCTCACAGAGCAGGTGCCTGTGGCCAAACTGTGGACCCAACTGAGCAAATGAAGGCAGGAATGAATGCCAAAGACAACAGTATCTTTCTTCCCTAAGGAGCGCTCTTAAATTTGCTTCCTCTGTTTTTCATCCTTATTCCACACCTCTTTTATTCCAATGTGCATGGCAGTTCTTCCTCCCCACTTACCAAGCTGAGCCTGTTTGGCTTCTTCCTACCAAAGCAGGGATTCTAAGCTGAAAAGAGCACCATCCCGTCTTCCAAGGATCCTTGCAGCCCAGCACGTGTGGGGCTCCTAATATTCCTGGAACTGAGTTGGTGACTTCATCTTGAGGTGCCTTGGGACACAGAGACACTTCCCTGGATGTCCCCTTTTCACCACTTCGGAGTTCAGCATGGTGTGGCTTGTGAAAAGAGGACTTGGACTGGCCATGAAGCTCAGGTCACCCCTCTCTTGGGCCTCAGTTTTCTTATCTAAGGCTCCTTGTAATCCTATGACTTGAACTTTCTGGAGGAAAAATGCAAAGGTGAAAGTTTTACAGCCTAGAAACCTTCTAAGAGGTTGTTTAAACCTTGCCTCAGCCTCCAGGACAGGTTGCACCTCGTGTGCCCATTTCTTCTCTGAAAGCCTGTGTTCTCTGTATTGTCCTTCTCCCTGTCTAAACACTGTTTATAAAGCCCAGATTGTTGGTTTGATTTTCCTGGGTTCTGACAAGTGAAAGAGGGCTCTGGAAGAACAATGGGGAGGTTCAGTTCAGAGCAAGGGCTCTGATATAGCAGACCAGCCAGCCTCAGTACCCAGACTCTCTGCTGTGCGCTTTTCAACATCACTACTTAGTTGGGTGTTTCATGAATACACCTGACATAGAAGGTAGGATTTTCTCTGCGTCCTCCTCGTGGTCACCTCTGATCTGCAGAAACACATTGAAGAGCCAAGTGCTTTGTTCCGGGAAAACATCTCCTTCTGTTGGTTTTATTCCCCTAACTGGTGTTTTTCTGTGGTTTCTCTTTTCTCTTCTTTCCTGGGAATGAAGTACTGTGGCTGTTATGCCAGAGCCTATTCTTTTCTTGTTTGAGTTCAACAAATCTCCAGCATCTGAAAGGAGTGGCTGCCTCCAGCCTTGGGCTTCTGCATTGAAACAGGCTTTTCACTCTCTCATGCACAACCAAATCTTCTACTTTAATAATCACTTTCCTCTCTTCTGGAGATTTGCAGTTTAAAAGATGTGATTTATACAAAATTAATGCAAAATAGGAGTCTACATTAGGAGAACCCCAGTGCCCTCTGCTTTTCCCTGCTTCCTTTCCACTGCATTGAGGGCCACCTTGCTCTTTCCAGCTCAGCTTGGCCCCAGCAGTTGACACCCACAGAGATCCACACCGTCTTGATCTTGTCTTCTCATTCTTTATTTGCTGGCTCACCAGATAATCTGTGAGTGTAACATTTTTCCCAGTCACAGAGAGTCAGGATCCAGATGGACACAGGGGTGGTCTTGGTGTCCTGTGCAGAAGGAGTGTGTAGGAGAGTGAGTGGCTATCCTTCCAACATCACGCAGAGAGAAGATGAGCTGGGAGAGAATCATCTCTGTTACCAATGCATTTTTTCCACAAGGAAAATAAGAAAGCCACAGCTTTGAAGTGGAAATTTTCCAGGCTTGGATGAAGCTAAAAATTAAAATATGGTGCTAGGACCTTTTACGTGCAGATACAGAATCTGAAAACATGCACTTTTCCAGTTAAAAATGCTCAAATATCTTCCCAGCACTCATGTAAGCAAAAGTGAATTCTGTATTTATAAGCTCTAAGAGGAAAAGCCACCCGAATGTTAAGCAGGGCAGCTTAAATTTCTATTCAAGTTTCAACTGCTAGAGAAAGTGGGCTGATAACAGAAGAGCGAGCCAGGTTTATCTTCTGCATTTTGAAAAGGATGGACAGGGTGAAGGAGTTTATGCAATTCAAATCCAAATTGAAATGAGCATGGGTCCCTTCATAAGGCTGTCCTCTACTTTTCCCTTTAGTTACAGCAAAATGTCCCAATTTCTGTAGCCTTTGCCAACCCATCTCTGGACTGGCAAACAGGCTTGAAGATGAGTTAGGGGCTGGGGAGAAGCAAGGAACTAGAATATTTCCTTTGACTCCCTCTTTAGTTTTCTTCACACATCTGCCAGCAGGGAGGTGTAGCCTTCCTAGGATCAATGGGGAGATGAAGAAATAGAAGCATTTTACAGGTACACCAGGACACATATTGTGGCATGTTGAGGCCAGGGGCTAAGCTCTAACTAAGATGCCACCTAGATCACCGAGACCTCCAGCTGCTCACGGGCCCATAAGCTCCTTCGTGCCCTCCCTGCAGAAGTCATCTCAGACCTGTTGAGCTGTATTTGACTTGAGTCTTCTGGCTGCTGAGCTTGTTCTTTACCAGTTTTCCTTGGCCTTGGCTGCCCTCTTCCATAATCTGGTGCACTGGATGTGGATTGCCTCATCAGCACAAGGGGGACAATCACAGAACCTGTCTCATAAGCTTATTGAGGATTAACAGAAACACTGAGACCATGCCTGGCACACGGTGAGCACCCAATAATGGTTGCTCTTGTTGTCGTGAATATTACTGTTATTATTCAGACAGTGATTATTTCCACCCCCACTGATGTGTTGTTGCTGACCTTTCTCTTTGTGGAGTGACCTGATGATTTCCTCTGCCAAGGGCCTGCTCCTTCATCGATGGCCCCACTAAGCATGCTGGTCTCCACTGTAAATCTCAATGGCGCTAACCTTCTCCACACCCTGCTCTCTGCTCTGAAGCCTTGGCTCATCAGGGATAATTCCCTGAGGTGCCAGGTTCAGGGGGAAGCCCTGCTTGGGCAGATTTGCTGGAAAGCACCACAGGTTTGGTGGTGACAGAAACCGCAATCTGTATGCCGACTGCGGCTATTGTCGTCAGGCCCTGCCCAAGAGCCCTTGGGTGTCCAAGCGAGTGGAGGTTGGCGAAGGGTGAGCCTAGTGGCTCTGCCTCCTAATGGCGAGCAAGGGAGCTGGATGGGGGTCCCTCCTGGTGAGTGTCATGCTCCTTGCGTAATATCTGCCTGTCACCAGGGGGCTGTATGGAGTGTGGGCCTGGGCCACACAGGGCCCTGCAATGAGATGACTGATACTTGGAGGGTTTTTCTGAAAAGCAGAGGGCAGAGGTGATCCATGATTCTCTGCCACAATCAGAGTTAAGTCAGGGAACCTGGGGCCCAGCCCAGCCCTCTACCATATTTATTCCTGAAGGGCAGTTATCTTCTTGGTCAGCACATCATCTGTAGGGTTCTGGAAGAGTCCAACCTTATTTTGGCCTGGGGGGCCTTGAATGGCCACAGCATCTGTAAGGAAGGGATACCCCAATCCCAGATCCTTTCTAATCCTCTGGACTCAGACCTGAGTCTCCTGGCAATGTCATTCTTGGGTCAGGGGTGAGGGAGGGTGGGGAAAGGAGCAACTGCTGGTGGGCAAAGAAAGGGCCAGTGAAGGAGCGGCCCTGCAGGGACCCTCAGTGCAGGCCAGCAAAGCAGGGGTTGGTTACATCACACGCAGGCCTCTTAAGGCGCTCCTCACATCACAGGTGTGTTCGATCTTCTGGCACCATCTTTTCTTCTGCCCAGGATATTTTCTCCACGGGTCTTTTCAGGGCCACAGCTCATCCACAACTCAAGGTGGCATTTCCTCTGGGCAGCCTCCCCTGACCACCCACTTTGAAGTGGCCAGCCCCCGTCATTCCCTTGCACTGTTGATTGGCATGTTGAATGGATGATGGATGAATGGCCACTTCTCCCTTTGGGGCCTTTATTCCTCCTCACACACCCTCCTTCATCTTGGCTTGAAAACCCTAGGATTGTCTGTGAAAGAAAGACCGTGCCTGGTTGTGGACATCAGCCCAAGTGGGCTGTGTCTGCACTCCCTCCATGGGGAGAAACATCTTTCTGCTCTGACAGCTGGGGCTGTCAGTGCTGCGACAAAGGGTGGAGGTTAAAGCCCTTCCATGGTAGCTCTTCTTCCTACTGGGAGGAGCCCAAGCTGTATGTGGAGTGTAGCACCCCCCTGTGTTTCATCACTAAATAATCCTTAGGTTCCATGATGACTTGGGGCCTCTCTGATTAATCCCAGGAAGGCAAATAAATCAATGTTATCTCTTGGGCCAGCTGACATCGATTCCGGAGTCTGTGGGGTGGGCTGTGGTGAGAGGGACCTTACCCTAGGTGGATGAGTGTGCCTGGGAAGGCAGTTGGGGGGTGACTGCACATGGGCCAAGCGTTTTGTGATCCCAGCGAATCAACTTCATGGCCAGCCTCCTATAAGTTACACTTTTATATTCATCTCATCACTCCAAATATCATTCCTATAAATGGATGTCATTAACAGTCCCATTTTCAGATGAAAAAAAATCACTTGATCATGATGACACCAAGTGCTGCTCATGGCAGGATGGGGCTGAGAAGCTGAGTGTGTAGGATTTCCAGCCCAGTCTCCACTGACTCCTCTTCATCTAAAGGAGGAGAGCCTGACCTCCTTTTTCTGACCCTGTCATCTAAAATCCAAGCCCTATCGAATGGCACTGATTCAGCTTCTCTCTGTACTTGGTGGCAGGCCAACCCCCATGCTCCCAACTCCCTGGAGACTCCAGACAAGTGACGGTAGAGTCTGCACGCTAGCAGGTGATACAGGGCTTCGGCACAATCTGTAGTCTGGAAGCAATTTTGTGTTTTCTAGGCACCCATCTGTGAGAGGAGAGCAATGTCTGTACAGGGTCTGTTTGCTTATGGAGGAAACAACTGCTGCTCAGGAGTGGGAATGTCTGCCCTGTCACGTGTGTCATTTCGTTTTCAAGCAGAGGAGTTCCAGGGATCCTCAGGACATGGATCCAGCCTTCAGGGGAGCTCAGCTTTCAGGCCTTGGGAAGCACCTTGACATTTTCCTTCCACATTGGAATGAAGTTTGTGCAGTGCTGGGTGTGCTGTGGACCAGCCTGGAGCTCAGGCCTACCCTGGAACTCTGACTCTAGGCAGTCTTCAGAAGACCTCTGCAGCCTCCACTTGGAGGGCAGGGAGTGGGGGTGGAGGGCACTGTCGGGGAGGCATGGTCTGGAGGATGTCATGTGTCAGTTCTTGATTGTCTCCCAATAGATGAGGAAAACATCCCTACTTATCACTTTCTATTTTCTTATTTTCCCAGTGTGCTGGACTGTGGGGTGGAGGAGGAGACATGGATTCATGGGCTTTTCACACCATTTGAGGGTTGACAGGGCAATTCCCAGGAGTAGTTAGGAACAGAAAAGACACCTTAGACCCCTGATGCATGAAGTTCATCATCATCATCATCTTTACCATCCTTCTCAGCTGCAGGGCTTCAGGGATTGTGGAGTGTTTTTGCTAGCTCTTCTAGGTAGGGAGTGAGATTGGTCCTGAGATTGGCCTGCGATGTTCCTTTACTCTCCTCATTGCACAAAGATTCTACACTGGGCAGCTTGTTGACCCCCCAAAACACCCAGATCTTGCATGCTTCAGTGCCTTCGCCCTGCTGTTTCTTCTGCCTAGAATGACCTTCCATGCTTCTTTGACTAGCACATTCCTACTCAAGCGCTAAGCCTCAACTCAAGCTCCCTCATTTCTCCTTCACTTCCCAAAAGGCAGAATAAATATCTTTCTAAATATAGTGTTTATCACATCCTAAAGTTGATATCTTCCTTATTTTCAACCACTCAAAACACACTCTTAGACTTGAAGCTTCTGTTTTTGTTTGTTTGTTTTGTTTTGTTTTGTTTGTTTTATTTGGAAGAGACAGGGTCTCACTCTGTCACCAGGCTTGACTGCAATGGCATGATCATAGCTCACTGCAGCCTTGAACTCCTGGGCTCAAGCCATCCTCCTGCTTCAGCCTCCCAAATATCTGGGACTACAGGCACATGCTACCATGCCTGGAGGAGCTTCTCCAGGAAAAGGGCTTTCCAGGTGGGGGCACAGCAAGGGTATAACAGAGAGTCATGACTATACCTGGTGAGTTTGCAAGGTAGTAGACTGATGGACCCAGAGATTTGTTCCAGGCTGGGAGTTGTAGGACATGGACTATGGAGGTCATTGTGTCTATGGTGATTAAACCACTGTAGGAGAATGGACTTTGGGGCTAGATAAGACTCTGGTTAGAAGCGGGCTCTGGTTGCAGTATATACTGAGGCTTTGGATTCTTGAGCCTTGGTTTCTCCTTCTATAGAAATGTGACAATAGGGCCTGTCTCATAGGCTGCTGGGGAGTCATGGCAGGCAAAGGCCACAGTTGTGCTCAGACATGATGACTGTCATGGAGATTGTTCTGGCTGAGAAGCCATGGCCCTTGGAAGCAGGAATCTTACCTTTTACATCTTTAGGTCTCCTAGTGGTCCCAGCAAAGTGCCTGTGCTTGCTGGCTGCTCATTTTTTATTTTTATTTTTTTTGTAGTAGTAATAGCTGAATAGAGATAACCTAAAAAGGATTTGGAACCAGGAATAAATAGAATAAAATGGTAGTCAAGGAATAAGACTGGTGGTGTGTGGGTAGGGCAGCTTAGAGGGTGGGTGGAGAGGTAGAATCTTGGTCCTGAGAAATCAGGATATTTTAAGTACACATCTAAAATAACATGGACTTCAGGCCTCCAGGATGTCATGACTCCTCTTCCTCCTGCCCTCCTGCCTGGGTTAACGGGGCCCAGTGAGGAGGTAGACCTGGCAGAGAGATGGGAAAAAGCATGTGAGGACATAAGAGCAAGTGTGTGTGGTGTGCATTTGTGTGTGGCCATGGGTGTATGTAGGTGTGAGGAGGACCTGGGTGCATGTGTGTGTGTGAGCACAGGTGTATGTAGGTGTGAGGGGGCATGGGTGTGTACATGGTGTGCATTTGTGTGTTGGTACAGGTGGATGTAGTTGTGAGAGGCACATGGGTGTGTGTTGGAGGGTGTTGTGTGCATACATTGTGTTGGAAGGTCTCAATGGACCAACAGACACATTTATGTCCTCACATAGCATACAGTTGCATGGGGAAGAATGATGTTAATGAAATTGTTAGTTGCAAATGTGGTGACTGGTCTGATGAAAAATTAGGGGACTCTAAGAATTCATACAGTACCTAATTTAATTCACACTTGGGGCTTGGGATGTGGAACTTCTTTTTAAAAAAAAAACTTTTTAAATCTTATTATAATTTTATTGAGCATAGTTTAAATATTTTTACATTAATATGTACATATTTTCTTTCTTTAACATAACCACAATATTATTATCACATCTAAAATAATTAACACTAATTCTTTAGTGTTATCAAATACCCAGTCAGTGTTTAGATTTTCCTGTGTGTCTCATAAAAGTTTTACAGTTGGTTTATTTAAATCAGGATCTAAACAAAATCTACACGTAACACTTGGTTGATTTGTCTCTTAAAAGACTCCTTAGGCTCCTTCGCCCTTCTTATTTTTTCTTATTTTTCATTTAATTTATTTGTTGGATAAACCAGGCTACATGTCCTATAGCATTTCCCAGGGTCTGGGTTTTGCTGATTGTATCCCCATGGTGTTGTTTCCTGGTTCCTTGGTTCCCTGGACATCCTGCAAACTGAGAGTTACACCTGGAGGCTTGGGCAGGTTTGGGCCCAGTTTGGTTTCCCCACAGGCTTCTCACCTGCTGGCTTGGCAGCCACTGGTGGCCCATATGGGAAAGGCATCTCACTGAGTGCAGCCTCTAAGCTACAGCCAGCAGGGCAAGAAGAGTCATCCAGGGGAAAGGAATGGTGGCGTTCAAGGCAAAGGAAGCCATGGGTGCAGCTTGGGCATGAGAGAGGATGGGGGTGGAACTGAGGGCAATTCTGGGGAGCTGTGTGGGTGGCCAGGGAGAACTGCAGGAGGCAGAGACAGAGCAAAGCTGTAGAAATGTGGACTACTCCCTCAGCCTCTGTATCTTCATCTGTCAAGTGAACGCAGTACCTGTAACTACCTCTTAAAGGGGTTGTGGATGTTAAAAGAGTGGATGTGACATATTCAGCACCAGTGACTGGCCAATAGGAAAGGAGCAATACTTGTTATTTGTGATGCTGATGACAGTGACAATGTGGAGGAGGAGGGAAAGGGAGCTTGTACTTTTCTCTGAGATCCATGGGCAGCTATTGAAAGCTTTTGCATAAGGGACAGATATAATCAAATTTGCATTTATAGAAGTCCGACCTGTCTGTGAGATGAAGAGTGAATTTGGGAGGTGCAAGAAAGGGGGCGAGACAGTAGTTAGGGGCTGATGCAGGTGCCTAGGAGAGAGGGGGCTGTGGCTGTATGGGAGCAATGTCAGTGGATATAGAGATAGATGGAATTATTGGGAGATATTCAGAGAGGAAGGACAGAGAAGAAGTGATAGAAAAGTGGATGAGAGAGGGGAGCCAGGAGTCCAGGAGGGTGTACAAGTTTTTGGCTTGAGTCACTGGCAGGAGGAAGGTGCCACCCAGTGAGATGGGAAGTGGTCTCCAAAACTCCAGGATCCCAGACCAAGCATCAGTCCCAAGACTTTTATATTTATGTATATAGTGAATGTGTGCATGTGCTACTGTGCTAATGCATTTTGTGCATTTTAATATATGCAATAAAAGGAAATTATTTAAAAATCAGATAAAGATGAAATAAACAATATTTTAACAGATCTTGCTATGATTAAAATGGCTTCTTCATCTCATTAGCTGGTACAGCAGGCAGAATAAACACTCAGGGTAAGGTTCATCATTAATGATAGTGGAAGTATAACTGTATTTCATATAGCCTTCTTGATTATTTGATATTTTTGCCAATTTCTTGTCATATCTGATTAGATTATCCTAGTTTTTAGCTCTTCGTGTGGCTGATGAAGAGCTATTACTGGGAGTAGGGTGAGTGTCAGCAGCCTCAGGCTCTTGGGCTTTATTTATGCTTTAAGGTATCAGAGTGGTTCGACTTGAGTATCTTTTGCAGCAATTTTGAAAGCCACTTATTCCATCTCTATAACGGTTAGTTTAGTCTAAACCAGATAATGTGGCCTGGAAATGCTCTTCACCAGGCATCTGTAAATTGCCATATTCCATGCAGATAATGAACATGGAGTTAGGGCACCCTGGCCACCCTTCCGCAGGTTGCCCTTGCAGGCTTTTCAGGACACATGGTCCTGACTATGGCCCAAGTTGAGGGTACTAGGTCCCATTTGTATATTCGGTATTACTAAAACTTATGTTTCTCTCATCTTATTTGATGTATTAAAAATAAATAGAAATAAAAGTGCGGGCACTCCACTTGGAGCTCTGGGTGGCTCCGTGCCAAGCTGGGGACAACAAAGAGCTTATCTGGAGGTCGTTGGAAGGAGCAGGGCTCTGAGAGCCTGCTCAGGGCTCCAGTCTGGGCTCCTGCATTCCAGGCATCCCCTGAAGCTTTAGGGTAGCTCCTACTGGTGCTGGCAAAACAAGGGTGAGTGTATGGAATGAGAGAGGCTGACTCTTCACATCCAACCTCTCTGGCCTCTTCAGCAGTGTGCCCAGGAGAGAAGCCTCAGCTTGCCTCAAGGCCTAGGATGTGCTGACGTGCACAGTGAGCACCGGCACTTTTAGCAGCATCATTTGTCATTAAAATGAATTTGCTTGGGATCGCTGCTGCCCTTTCTGAGAATCTCCTTCTCAGAAGGTCCTTGGGGCTGGAAGTTTGGGGTCCTTTCACTGTCCACTCATGTATACTTCCCTTCCACCCAGCCTGGACTGTGTACGCCTGGACCAGGTTTTATTCTAGGGATGGGAATGATGGGGCCTTGGTAAATGGAGGGACCAAAGGTAAGAATTCTATCAAAGGTAAGAATTAGGTAATAGATTAACCAGACAGAGTTGGAAGGAAAGATTTGTGAAGTTATTAAAAATTGCTTGGTGTTCTAAAGCTGGTTATTATTCCATTGTTGCTAATTCTGGGTCCCAGTGAATCCACAGGAGAGAAGTTTCACTGTGACCCCACCGCAGCCAGATGTGCCCACGAAGGAAAAAGCCTGAAGGCATTTCAGGCCCTAATTGGTTGTTTCTGTAATGTTTTTCATTGATTGTGCAGCGGCAGTGCAAGCAGCTGCCCAGGGAGCAGAGCAGGCAAGCACCGGGGGCCTTTTCAGGAGGGTGTGTCTACCTGTCATGAGGCTGTCTGCTGCTGGCCTAGGAGATCTCCAAGCCCTTTTGGATCCCCCAGCCCTGGAAAGGAGGCTGGCTCCAGGTGGGAGAAGAGGTAGCACTCTTGCCCAATTAGGAGCCTGTAGCTCCCAGGCTTTCCTCCTCTGAGTGAACATTTCTTTCTGAGGCTGGATTCTGCCCTCTGATTATCGCAACACATCGCCTGTTTGCTTTTTCTTGGTTTAACTCCCACACTAATTTTGTGCATGAATGAGTACAGTGAAACCAGTTTAATTTGCTGTTAATTCTCTGTTCAAAATATTCTCTTCTGTTTAAGGGACATAGTCGCTTTCATCTCTGAGGCAGCGTGTGAAAGCAGGCAGCTGCTAGGGTGGTGGAGGGGTGCCTGCGAGTGGGTGTCAGCCTGGGCCAGTGTGTCTGTGGTCTGTGGTCTGTGGTGGGGGGTGGCAGGTAAGCACCATGGGGGTGGACATTTCTCAGAAGCAACAACCCACAGTTTTTGGGGCTTTACACTTGCTGAGCCAGCGGATGGTTTGACTCTGCATGGGAAAAAGTTCATAGCTGGGAGAAATACCTCCTCACCAAGGGGCTATGGCTGAGAGATTTTGGCACACACACTGAGTAGCTAGTCTCTTGGAGATCACGAGTATGGGATGGGGAAGTGAATTCTACAGCTGATCACAGATAGTCAGGGAAGACATCTGACTGTCATTTAGGAAACACAAACTTTAAACATTCCTTCAAAGTGTCTAAATATAGTGTTTATACAATTTGTTCAAGCTTAGTTGGTGAAAGAGATCTGTTTTTGACAAAATGTTCTTGTTTGGGTCTGCTATGCCTAGCTCTTTTACTTCTCTGCTTTAACCAGGGGCCTTTTAGGGGAGCGGGCTTTGCACCAGGTGGCAGAGTGCCCAGTCACAGGACTGCACTTGGAGAGACAAATGATCTCTACAGGAGCTGAAACTGTAAAACAAAAGTAATGGGGCATGATTCCACAGCACTGGTCACCATGAGTCAGCCCCTGAGACCATGTGGGAGTGGTTGTGGCTGTGGGTGAGGGTCCTGCTTCACTCCCCAATAGCTGCATCAGTACCCACCTCCAGTGCAGTGTTTCTTTAGAATACTCTTGTAAGTTGCAGGTAGAGAAGATTGGATGGACACTGGGGATCAGCCTTCCTCCACTTTCCTCTTTGGAGCTATCCAAAGTGCTGGCTGAGGGGGCCCCAGGAGCCTCTCTCTGAAGCCGACATATTTTCTCTGTGAGTTTCCACATGCTGCTGGCCTACCAAACTGATTGTGGAGTGTGCGCACTGCAGCCACTCCCCGCCACACCTTCCACACATTTCTCTTGTCACTTTCCGCATGTCAGGCATTTCTCTTGTCATTCCCGGCATTACTGACTGCCCAGCATTGCCAACCAGGGGGCAGGGCAAGCATTCTGCTTTGGGAAGCACATGTGGTTTATCCATCAGCCCAGCACATCTGTAGGGACCACCCGCTGGGAAAAGGTGCAATGGAGTGGAAGCCTAAGGAAAAGAGGAAGAGCAAAGGCAGCAGGTGGTGAGGTGGTTTTACAAGGGCCAGTCAGTGTGGCCTGTGGAGTACACCACACTTCTGGCCTCCTCTTTTCCTGTGCTGAGGTCTGGCCAAATCTGGACTGACTCTTGGCTTATGTTTCCTCTTGGTGCTGACCAGGAGCCTTGCTGTGGACATTTCCTCCCAACTGCCCTCTAAGCTGTGAAAGCCAGACAGAGCCTTGCCGTTTCCCCATGATTCCCAGGCAGTCCTTGGACTGTTTCGATTGAGCATCTTGCTGTTGGCTTCCCTTCTGAAGCCCCCTTTGCCCATCTGCTAGCTTCACTCCTCTGCCACCTGATTTTGCAGTATTGAATTTTCTCTTGGCTGATCTCCTTTCTCATACCTCTGATTGGTGGTTTCCATAAGATCAGAGGAGACTCTTCCGAGAGCCCAGGGCCCATGGCCCTTCTGAGCGCTCCCATGGTGATGCGATCCCATTGATGTGCCAAGTCTACAGAAACCCAGCTGACAAACACACTAATTATACACGTTCCTCTGCAAATTCATTAATGGCAAATGAGGCCTGTGTTCCCCATGTTTATTCTGTTTCCCTTTATACCCCTTTGGAAGGACTCAAATTCCTTTTTGAATTTTGTTGAAACCATTTAGCCCGAGGGGATAGCATCATAGATCAGAATTAGGCCAGTCATCTTCTGTAGGTACACTCTATTTAGATGACTTAGTAATATAAATTTTATTTAATTTTATTTTTGTTCATTGAGTATCCTCTGGGTTCCAGCTGGTGATTTTCTGGTATTCTAGAGGTCACACAAACTTTTGTGGACGTTTATAGGTATGCTGATAGCTGTAAGAGTTTTTTCTTTTAATTGTACAATAAAATAATGAATGAAGTGATCAAACGTGAAAAGACAAGTTTTAAATATCACTGATCAAATTCTTCTAGCATGTTTGTCCAGGCCACAACCCTTCACTATCTAGTGGTGGGAAAATTATATATCATGGGCCAAATCCAGCCTATAGTTTGCTTACATGAGGTAATGGCAATGGCAGAATTGAGTAGTTGCAACAGAGATCTTATGGCTCCCAAAGCCTAACATATGAAGTTTGCCAGCCGCCAGAGCAGACCATCATAACACTTATCAGAGCAGCCAGTGTGGTCAGTGGTAAACCAAGGCCCTCTTGGAGAATGTGCTCCTGGGTTGGGCTGGAGGACTTTACCTAGACCTGTGCTGCTTTGCAGCCCAGAGGCTATCACCCCAGAGGTCTAGGGAGTTGAGCCACCATTCAACTGATGGTGTTGTGTTCAGTTTGTGTAATGAGATCTCAAACAGTAGGGCCAATGCTTGTCTCTTAATGGTCTTCTAAGATAAGATAATGCCTGTGAAAATAGTTTATAAACTCTAATGGCTAGACAAGTGCTATTTATAAAAGGCATATATCTGAATCCAACTGTTTAGAAATAATAATAATTAGCATTGATAAGTGATTATTATGGGCCAGGTGCAGTGTTAAACACTTCACAAAAAGTACCTCATTCGATCTTCAAATTAACGTGGGAAACAGGTATATTGCATCCATGCTACTGATAAGAAATCTGGGGCTCAGAGAGGTTGTGTGGGTTACCCAGTGCCACATTGCCATTATCAACACAGCTTAGATTGGAACCTTTATCTTTTGACTTCAACTCCAGTGCTCTCTTAGTTGCACCATGGCTGGCTAGGTAAGAGTCCACTAAATAAAGTAGATATGTGTTTTCTTCTGCTGGTAGACAAAGCTTTGCATCATTTTTCTAAAGGAAGGGCAGATGGGCCCAAAGTGCTTGGTGAAACATAAAGAAAACACAGCTCAGTTGTCTCTGGCCATTACCAGATTTAACACTGAGATTTGAATGCTGTAGAGTGAAGTTCCGTGTCATTTTGCTGAGATGCAAATTTGACCCACAGGCACTAAGGTACCAGCCAAGAGGGATGCAAGTGCTTTGCTGATTGCCAGTTATCATCATTGCATTACATACATTAGATTAACTGCCTCCCGTGAAGTGGAAGAAAAGTGACTGACCCCCCTGCCCGCCCCCTCCCCACCAAGAAAGCCAGCCAGCACTGGTGATGGAAATCTTAAAGAAAAAGAGAATAGACATCTTATAAGAAAGAGTAGAACTTGGCTGTATTACTCAATTTAAAAATTCAGTAAAGTCTTGGGCCATGCCCACAGTAGATGTCATTGACTGATTGCATTTCGGAAGTGAGGGATAATTGTCTATGTCAGTGTTTGCCCCACATGTTCTCCCCTCTCCAGCCTGCTAGAATGTGGCCTCCCCTCTCCGGGCCTCCAACATGCTCCTGCTCTTAAATCCAGAGTCCTCCTGGTGCAGGGTTAGAGACTAGAAATTTCCAAGCTTCCTCCTTTGAGGTGCTGCACACCACAGCTGGTAGCCAGGCTAGGGTCTCATTTCCATCTTCTTCCCTCACTGATTCAGTCACTCATGGGCTTGTGCTTTGTGTCCAGCCCTTGCCTGGGAATAGTTCCTGCCCTTACAAAGCCCACACTGCAGTGCAGTAAGCTGTGTATCTTATCTTCCTTTTTGCAAACCCTCTTCTCTCAGACCCCAAACACATGGTGTGGGGCCTTCTGCGTATGCATCTAGAGGCTTCAGTGTGTCGGCATGGAGGTGCTAACATTCCCAACAAACATGAGGGCTGGGGCCATGCCAAGCCTCTGTGACTCTGCAGCTCAGTGAATTCTGAGTGATAGAGGGGCTGGCCCTCTCCATAGGCTGTCTTGGGCCCAGGGCCCAGACCTCCAGCCATGCTTCCAGAGGCCCTGTGCCCCCATATTATCCTACCCAGGCAGCCTGCAGGGAAGGGGATTTGTTCCCTATGCCTGTCACTCTGCGCTGTGTGGAGGGCAATAGGGCTTTTGTGAGTTCCCAAGTGAACCCACTGGCCCATTGTCTGGCCCAACTCTCCACAGAGCTCCACCAGCGTGGTGAGGACAGGGGCAGGGCTGGGAAAGGCCTGATATATTCCTGGCCAGAGCTGCAAACACTGTTCATCCCAGAAGCACCCTGTTAAGCAGCAACAACAGCACAAAGAGGGAGGAGAAAGGAGAGAGTGGGAAACAAGGAGGGAGAAGGCGTGAGGAGGGAGAAGGAAAGAGAGGTGAGGAGGGGGAGGAGGAGGAAGGTGAGGGCAATGAGGAAGGGCACCTACAGCATGGAAGAGGAGCTTCTTGTCAGAGTCCTTCAGGTCCTGCACATGGATTCTGCAGAGCCACATTTCTCCTGGAGAGACTGTAGGATGCTCAGTGGAATTCATAAGGGAACAGATAGAGAGATGAAGTGAGCCTGATGGTGCCATGGGGCTCCTCAGACAGTTGTTGTGGTCCTGGAATCCATCAACAGAGGTAGGATGTGCCCACCAAGAAGGTGATAACCCACTTTTTCGCTGGGCTGATCAGACCCCGTGGAGCATATAGAGCTCAGCAATGGGTGCTGGCCCATCAGAGAACAGTACACACAAGGTGGGGGCGGGGGGCGGGCTGGAAGAAAAGCTGATGGACCCAAGAGTGTGGTGGCTAGGAAACAGAATGC
This sequence comes from Homo sapiens, assembly GCF_000001405.40. Taxonomy (NCBI): domain Eukaryota; kingdom Metazoa; phylum Chordata; class Mammalia; order Primates; family Hominidae; genus Homo; species Homo sapiens. Next base: position 134,909,178 of record NC_000003.12, read on the forward strand.
TCAGGAGGTCCTGGCCTCTCATAATCTGAAGGGATGCCATGGAGAAAGGGGAGTAGTTGATTCTGTGGGGGGCCTTTCAGGAACACAACAAGGACCAAGGAAAGGGAATCCCAAGGAGCCAGCCTTCTGAAAGTTGGAACCAGCTAACAAGAAAATGTCTCTCTGGGAAAGTAGTAAGTGCCTCATCTTTGGAGGTGAGCAAGCGGAGACTGCGTGACCACCTGGGTAGGGTGCTGTGGCCAAGGCTCAAGCTTGGGGTGGAGGAGCACACCATGCCTCCGAAGCTTTTCAAGCCTTGAGAGGTTCTGAAATGCGAGCCAGGCCCAGACTTAGGGCCCATCTTCCACTGCATTTGGATAGCAGGCAGTGCTATGAATGAGCAGATGAAATCTGGATCCCATCATGTCCAAGCTGAAAGACACAGAACAAACCTCCAGATCCTGAAGCTACTCACCTTGGTCTTTTCTCAGTTCAGAAGGAAGAGAACCACTGGTGTCATTTTTCCTGAAGTCTGCTCTTTTGGCCTCAGGAAAAGGATAGGGAGTCTTGAGGCCACAGCCCCTCAAGAAAACCTTCACCCCTACCTCCACAGGGAGAATTCAAAGCCAAGTGGACAAATGACTCTTTCCTTGAGCTTCCAGCATTACAAGAGGAAGAGGTGACTTCCAGATTGCCCCCAACTGCCCAGTGTTAGGAGACCAGGATCAGCACTTCAATTTCCACTCAGGTACAAGCCTCAGACTTCAGTCCAAAAGGACCTAGAGTGATCAGCCAACCCCAGGAAGATCGAGCAGAGAGAGGTCCAGCCCCACACAGTGTGGTTGGCTGCCTCCTAGTCCATTCCCTCCAACAAACTAATATGTAGGGCCTCTCTTCAGTCTCAGTTTAGCTGCTAAGGGAATGATTCCATAAAATGTTTGCAGTGTAGCTAAGAGTGCCATCCTTAGGCCTGGGGCATCTGGGTTGTGATGTGGAAGTTATCTAGTCCCTAAGGCTGCAAGTAGCTTTTTGAGTGTGACTGCTCTGGCCCTGGGAGGTTTGAGGCCCAGGACCCCTCCTTGCCCTCCCTTCCTCCTACAGTGGGTAGACCAAATGCTCACAGCAGAGTAGGAGGGCAGGAGGGACTCTAAGGTCATCATGCCTGTTTGCCCCCCACTGTGGAAAACCAGGACACCTCGAAGGCCAGCATGGGAGCTCTACCTGGATCGTCAAATTCCTCCAAAGACATTTATGCACAGAGGCATTCACTGCAAGAGCTCTGTGAGGCTGGTGAGGAGGATATTTATGGCATTGTGAATATTTGGGATCTCAGGACATGCTGGATGCCAGGAGCCAGTCAATGCTATTGATTGGGAAACACAAATAGAAGTTTTACCAGAGTACTCTCCAGATATCTTGGTGATAACAGAGGACATAGCAGCATGAGTGACAGGCAGGGCTGGACATGCATTCCCTGACAAGAAGGGGTAGAATGGCAAAAGGTTCATTCCTGCAGTTGGGAGCATCTGTGGAGTCAGAGGGGTAGCACTGGAGGGGCCTTGGGCATCTTGCCATTGACCCCTGGCAACTGCATAGCTAGAGGAGGTCAGAACTATGATCTCACAGACAAGAGTGTGCCGTACTCTCATTAGGCTTCTCTCATGGGTCGGCCCTTGGTGGTCCATTGATTCCAGCACCACCCTCCCCTTGACCTCCTGTGCAGTTGACAGTGGTCATGTGGTACAACAGGACAGGGTGAGAACTGGGACAGAAAAGCTATTGTAAGCACTTCACAATCAATCCTGTGGAACAGGGAGAGATGGATAAAAAGTGGAGTGATTGAGACCTGCTCTGAATGGTGAGACTATGCAGAGTTCAGGAATGGGACAGACTCAGTGGCTTAAGTTATCGGGGAGGCCACCTGGAGGAAAAGGGACCAGACTTCCACCTTGCATCCTGCAGCCTTTGAACTCCTGGGCCTGAATCATGCAGCAGGAAAGGCTCATTGGCCATCAGTGGATGCAGTGGACAGGGCATCTCTGAGTGCAAGGTACTCTGCAAGGTGTGGCAGCCCATGGGTGAGAGTGAAGATCCTGGCACTATTCTCTCAGAGCCTGCAGGGAAATGGAGCAGGAAACCACAGAAAAGGCAGCACAGAATGCAAGCCATGAAAAGTTGGGCTAGGGCTGTTTGTGCAAGGTGGGCTACATCTTCCGGGGAGGAGGGCCAAGGCTGGGCAGTTAGGCAAACTTCCCAGAGGGGCCGAGAGGGATGATGGTGAGGTTTTAGAGGGCTGGAGGGATTTGGTGGGGTGGAGTCAGGGTATGATGTGGTCAGCTTCAGTCAGGGAAGACTCCTGGGTAGAAGTCTGGGGGCTGCAGTAGGCCAGCCTGGCTCTCTGAAGAGGGGTGGCTGAGGTCTTGAACTGGAGAGGTGGCAGTGAAGTAGGCCATGAAGACTGTATGTGAGGGGAGTGGTACCCATGGGGCAGCAGCCTCTGCATGGCAACACTAAGAATGGCGAATACTTGGAAGAGGATGGCAGCAGCTGGTGTCAGCCTCCTGGAGGGTAGCTGCATGGTGATGCAGCCTTTGGAGCCTCAGCAGCACCAGTCTGGTCTGGGATGTGTCCAGGAGAACTTGAGAGCCTTCTGGGCCTGCCCCCACTCTTTCCTTCCCTGACTGGTTGCCCCTCACTGGCACGTCCCCAAGCCCCCCACAGCCATCCCACCCAGGGATCCTGGCTCTCCGGAGCTGCTGCCAGTGCATGCAGGGGTCCTAAGGGCACAGCTCAGTGCCTGTGCCATCTGAGAATTACTGTGCCACAGATCAATCAGGACTGAGGGCCCAGGAGGGCCTGGCAGGGAGAGGCAGATGGCAGCGTATTCCTTCTGATTAACGAGCCTGGGCCACCATCCATCGCCGGCCTTCATTAGGGCTGCAGAGAGTCATTTTGCATGGGCGTGCAGGCTCTCCTCCCCGCTCTTCTCCAGGGTGATTGATGCCCCCTGGGTGCTTGCATCCTCATGAAGTGAGAGGCCTTCTCTCATCTTGCCCACAAAGAGCAGGAGGCAGCAGGTTTATTATGCATGGTTCTTACTCATGTGCCATTGGCGCAAACTCATTGGTCTGTCAGAGTGGCTGGGGCAAACAGATTTAATCTCCCTTAGAATTCATGGTGCTGGAAGACTGGAACATGCCAGGCTCCTAAATTTTCATAGGTCTTTGACTCTCACCACAAAAATGCAAATAGGTGTAGCACTGAGTAGCAGTGGGCTTCTGGCCAGGCCTGCACCATCAGCATGCTGGGACATTGATTTAAAGGCTGTTTCTGGACCCCGGCATGCCTGTGTGGTTCTTTCCTTTCCTGGCCTCTGCCTCTCTCTCTCTCTTTGCTGCTGGATTGGCAGAAGGGTATGCTCTGTGTCAGGAAGGAATCTGAGTCAGGAGAAGGTGAGCCTTGGATAGAAGCCTGCCTACAGGTCTGATTAAATGCCCCCTGAGGCCTGATGGCCTGGGAGTGGGTGGGGCTGCCCAGCACCATGCCTGGGCCAGAGGGCAGCCTCTGAGGCCTGCCTTTCTGTGCCCACTGACATGGTCTGGCCAGTTTGGCTCCTGCCTACAGATGTTTGATGCTGGAGAGGTCTTGGGGTCCCCAGCCATGGTGGTAAGACCCAGTTTTCTTCTTGGTTATCTGGCTATGGCATATTTGCAGACATAGGAAAGGGCACATGTGGGCATGAAAGGGTATCTGGCCATCTTTTAGGATTTGGGGGAATCTGATATTTCCCGGTATCAGAATGGAAAAAGGAGCTGAGATAGAAGGAAAATAAGGCAAAGGACTGTGGCTATTTGGGACTTTGGTATCCCAAATGAAAGGCTTTTTGGTTTTCCATTTTCCTTGTTCCTGTGTTTGTCTCACTGGCTCAGGACTTCATCTTTATTGGAGAGCAGCGTCAGTCCTTGCATCCATAGTCGCCCCCGTCCATCAGTGAACCATATGGAAATGGAAGTTGTGCTAAGAGTGGGGAGGCCAAAGCGAGGGAGGCCCAGAACACCCTCAGTGGTGGGGAGCACACAGAGGTAGTGGAGGCTGCAGGGGCATGGGAGGGGTGAGGGGGGAGCTCAGAGTCCTGGGTGCCAGCCTTTCATGAGAACAGTCTCCTGAGAGCAGGCCCAGCGCTGAACTTTCATCTAACATCAGGCAAGAATACCATCAAAATCATTTTACTGTAAAGAGAAAACCTGCCAGGTCCGACACATCAGGGAGATGAGCAGCATGTTATCTGGGAGGTTGCTGCTGCCCCTGTTCTGAAGCACCATCCCTGACTTTGGGAAAACTCAGAGGGATAATACAGCGGCTTTCTCACCCCCTTCCCAAGTGCTGTGGATGCGAGGAAAGACTATAGTCTTAAGTTTTTGATTGCTTCCCAAGAGGAAACACTCTATGGCCGGGGCCCCTAACCCCCAAGCCATCAACCAGTACCAGGGCTGGAGAGCCCACTTCCATCAAGGGGTCGAGGGCAGGGTGCGAGGAGGGCAATGCTGGGAGCACTGGGTTTGGAATGTGGCCCTGTTCATCCAGAGCAGAGTCAGTGGCTAGAGCCCCTTCAACACCAGTCTCCTGTGCTCTGCATGTGTGCCAGGCATGGAGAGAAAGGCTCTTCAAAAACGCCCAGTGCAGTTCCACGTCTCAGTGTATATTGGTGGTGGTCGGTGGTGCTGTAACTATTTGGGCTCCTTGGTGACCTACATTGCTTTAGACCCAGTTGGGGCCACACAGGATGGCCTCTAGCTAGAGAGAAGTCCATCCCAGATGCCCTCATGCATGGTGTATGTGGGGAGGTGGAGGCTGTACCGAGAGCCCACATCTGTGGTTGTGCAGGAGTTGGCTGTGGAGAATGTGACTGGATGGCTAAGTTGGGTTTCTCAATGAACTGAAGCTGAAGGCTGGGTTTGGAGCCAGGCTTTCAGGGCCCAGTGGAACCAAGGTCCACCCTTCAAAGTGAACAGTAGGATTGGAGACTCAGTGGCCAGCCCAGTCTCAAAGGATGTAGGTAAGAGACTTGGGTTTGTGAGAGGTTCTACTCCCCACATCAGGACAAAACGTGGAAACATAACAATGACTGCTCTTTGCAGACCAACTACCACTTGTCAGAGGCTGCAATAGGTGCTTGGTAAATAATATTTTACTGACTTCCCACAAATGCCTTGTGAAGTGAACATTATTACCCTCATTTAGTGGATGGCTGAACATGAGCCTTAGACGTCTGAGTAATTTGCTGAAGGTCTCACAACCAGACAGCAATAAAGCTGAAACTCACACCCAAGGCTATCAGATCCAAGTCCAGTGTGTTCAGGACTTGGCCACACTGGCATGTAGCTGCCTCCTTGTGTGGGGGACTACAGGACTCTGGGGGGAGGGTTGTTGGAGACATGGGGGCTGCCTTCCATGGGCTACTAATTTAAGCCCTGAGCATCATCAGGGGTCTGGCAGAAACAGATGGCACAGTAGAAAGAGGTGATTGAGGGGAGATTAATGAAGTTCTGTTTACAAAGGTTCACAGAGTTAAAGACAGGCAACAAGAATGACAAAGCACTCAGGGACTAGCAGCAGCAGGGGGCTTTTACCACCCTTAGGTTTGAAGGACATGGGGAGGGAGCCATCTTCCCAGAACTAGGCAAGGGCTGCAGCTATAGGAGGGGCCACCAGCCTCTCCCAGTCAGCAGGCAGGAGCATCTCACTCCCCATGTCCTATAGGCTCCTGCTGGTGAAGGGGCCCAGTGGATGCCTCTCTCTGCCCAGGACAGGGAAGAGAAGGGTAGAGAGTGGACCTTGAGGAGCAAATAGAAACCATGACTCACCTGCTAGAATGGGTATCTTTGGAGGAAGCACCTGGCCTTCCTTGTGTCTGTGTCCCCCAAGCTCCCAGCACAGGCCCTAGTATTTGCTGGAGGAAATCCAACAGCCCCATTTCCCAGTGTCCTAACCCTCTTGTAATTGGTTGAATTCTGTCCCTCACAAAAAAGATATGTTGAGGTCCTGACCCTCAGTACCTCACAATGCAGCCTTATTTGGAAACAGGGTTAATGCAGATGTAAACAGTTAAGAAGAAGTCATACTAGAGTATGACGGACCCCTCATCCAATATGACTGGCATCCTTATAAAATAGTCATGCCACATAAAGGCAGAGACAGACAGGGAGAGCAGCATGTGACGAGGTAGGCAGATTGGAGTTGGCAGCTGCAAGCCAAGGAACACCAGAGATCCCAGGCAAACCACCAGAAGCAAGAAATGCCCAGGAAAGATCCTCCCCGATAGGTTCAGAGGAAGTATGGCCCTGATACTGTGTCTGGAATTGGTGGGTTCTTGGTCTCACTGACTTCAAGAATGAAGCCACGGACCCTTGTGGTGAGTGTTACAGTTCTTAAAGGCGGCGTGTCTGGACTTTGTTCCTTCTGATGTTCAGATGTGTTCAGAGTTTCTTACTTCTGGTGGGTTCGTGGTCTCGCTGGCTCAGGAGTGAAGCTGCAGACCTTCGCAGTGAGGGTTACAACTCTTAAGGCGGCGCGTCCGGAGTTGTTCTTTACTCCTGGTGGGTTCGTGGTCTCAATGGCTTCATGAGTGAAGCTGCAGACCTTCGCGGTGAGTGTTACATCTCATAAAGGCGTTGTGGACCCAAAGAGTGAGCAGCAGCAAGATTTATTGCAAAGAGCGAAAGAGCAAAGCTTCCACAGGGTGGGAGGGGACCCGAATGGGTTGCCACTGCTGGCTGGGGCAGCCTACTTTTATTCTCTTATCTGGCCCCACCCACATCCTGCTGACTGGTCCATTTTACCGAGAGCAGATTGGTCTGTTTTACAGAGAGCTGATTGGTCCGTTTTGACAGGGTGCTGATTGGTGCGTTTACAATCCCTGAGCTAGACACAAACGTTCTCCAAGTCCCCACTAGATTAGCTAGATACAGAGTGCTGATTGGTGTATTTACAAACCCTGAGCCAGACACAGGGTGCTGATTGGTGTGTTTACAAACCTTGAGCTAGATACAGAGTGCTGATTGGTGTATTTACAATCCCTTAGCTAGACATAAAGGTTCTCCAAGTCCCCACTAGACTCAGGAGCCCAGCTGGCTTCACCCAGTGGATCCCACACGAGGGCCACAGGTGGAGCTGCCTGCCAGTCCCGCGCTGTGTGCCTGCACTCCTCAGCCCTTGGGCGGTCGATGGGACCGGACACCGTGGAGCAGGGGGCGGTGCTCGTCCGGGAGGCTCAGGCCGTGCAGGAGCCCATGGCAGGGTGGGGTGGGGAGGCTTAGGCATGGCGGGCTGCAGGTCCCGAGCCTTGCCCCGTGCAGAGGCAGCTAAGGCCTGGCGAGAATCGAGTGCAGCTCCAGTGGGCTGGCACTTCTGGGGGACCTGGCACACCCTCCGCAGCTGCTGGCCCGGGTGCTAAGCCCCTCACTGCCCGGGGCTGGCGCGGCCAGCCGGCAGCTCTGAGTGTGGGGCCCGCTGAGCCCACGCCCACCCGGAACTGGCGCTGGCCCACAAGAGCTGCACACAGCCCCTGTTCCCACCCGTGCCTCTCCCTCCACACCTCCCGGCAAGCCAAGGGATCCGGCTCCGGCCTCGGCCAGCCCAGAGAAGGGCTCCCAAGGTGCAGCGGCAGGCTGAAGGGCTCCTCAAGCGCGGCCAGAATGGGTGCTGAGGCCGAGGAGGTACCAAGAGCGAGCAAGGGCTGCGAGGGCTGCCAGCACACTGTCACCTCTCAATACCATCTTGATTTGAGATTTTTAACCTTCTGAACACCTCTGTTGTTTTAAGCCACTGAGGTTGTGGTGCTGTTACAGCAGTCCTAAGAAACTAATACAGCTTCTAAAGTAAGTTCCATATTTTATTAGTGAAAAGCACTCACATAGTACAAGCATACACACTACTAAGCCACTGTAAGACCATGCCAGACCTGAGGATTCCAGAGACAGAAAGTCCATCGTAGGTCTAGAGGTCCCCTATAGTTTCTTGTCATGTTTCTCAGATACCACCCTAAGAACTAAGAGCCAGAAGAAACCCTCTGAACCATAGAGGAGAACGACCATCAAAAGCCATGTACCAAGGGCCAAGCTGGGCTGGGCAGGTAGGGTAGCCCTTCTGAAGCTGATTCCCAGCCTTACACAGCTCCGTACATTGAAAAGACCTTCCCATGTCCCCATGCTCTGGTCTGCTTCTCTGGAAGTCTACCTTGGAAGAGCCCTGGAGGGAGAGAAATGGCTCTGGGCCTTCCCACTTTTTCATGGGCTATGCCACGTGTGAACCAAGACCTAATCTAGGGCCTGTCCCAACTCCTTCAGACATCTTTCTATGCTGTGACCCATCTAAGCTGCGTCTTCTTTCTAGTTACCGTAATTAATTGCACCTTGGAACACAAAAGAAACAGAAGGAGGAGGATGTAGTGGGGAGGACTGTGCTGATCTGTATGTCCTTTAAAAGAGCAAATTTCACAGTTTGTTTTATAATTTAAATGCCTGTTCAGACTCATTCAATC